>NC_000003.12:69403939-69706969 GCF_000001405.40 Homo sapiens | reverse complement strand
GTTTCACTGTTATAACTTGTTGAATAATTTATGTATTAAGATGGGACACAAGTGATATAAACTGGGAAGTTCAGGCTGTTATATGGAGACTATCAATTTAAAAACCTCAAAAGTCTTCTTTGTCAAAGTTCTCTGACAAAAATAAATAAAATAAAAATTTAAAATAAGCCTTGGAAGAGTAGGCTTTTAGCTGTAGCTGGTAAGATGGCCCCCTTATTTGGCCTGAGTTCCCTGTTTCAGTGAATTCAAGAGAGGCCCCTCCAATTCTGCAGCTTTGTTCTCTTCTCCTCCTGACAGGAAGGAGAGGCTTCAGGAACCCTTGGCCAATTTAAAGCTTGACCAATTTGAAGTTGACAATTGTCTGCCACTCTGCACTGTTCAAAAGATGAGTGATAATGAGATGCTTCCTAATTACCAGGGTTTCAGCCTTGTCAGATTACAAATCTCTTCATGAGATGTAGCTAATTGGCACTGTCAAGGAGAGAAATTTAGAAAGACCTGGATAATAAGCAGATATTGGATTCAGTTAGGATGACTATTTTCTATTGTTTCTGTTCTTAGCCCTCTTACATAATAAATCTTCCATCTCTTGAAAGGATGGAGATTGTGTCCTTTCTCCTTCAACTTCAATGGTGTGTTGGTAAGAAAAGAACTTAGTGTAATATTATCTTTACTACTCACTGGAGGGTTTCTAGAACCTAAACCTGAAATTACATAGATGACATCTCAGTAGATTTGTTTTTAAGGCTCAATAACATGTCTTGTGAAATGAACTTGGGTTTTTAAAATGAAAGACAAAGTTTCAAATCAGTCCTGCTACTTATCATACATGGGAATGTGAGTAGCTTATGTCACTACTCAGAGACTCCATTTCTTCATTTGTAAAACAAAGAAATGATCAATTACTTCACAGAGACTTAGATAAGGTGAGTTAGACAAAACCATATGCATGATGACCAACCATAATAGGTAGTCAGTAATTTTTTTCCACAAATGAAAAAAGGAAGACTCTTCTTAGATAGATTTATGAAAAATAAAATTTTCAGGCGCTTCTTTTCCTATGCTTTGTTGCCACTACAAAGCCAAACAAGTACATTTGAAGAAAAACAAAATGAAAAAGGTGCTTACTTCATGTTCCTACCACTACCATAAGACATTAATCTAAAGCTCTCTGAAATGTATTGCTCAGATGCATTTGCATATGTGAATAAGCAGGTCCAGGAGTATATGGGACACACACACACGTACATATCACACTCTGGATTAATAATCTAACCGTGCTTCAATAGAAATAACACTATGCAGGAATAATACTGTTCAGACAATAAAAAATAGATAATTCTCTTTATTCAGATATTATATGATATGATATCAAAAACATTATTAAGTGAAAAGCAGCAAGTGCATATGTTTTCCTGGCTTTAGTATAAAAAAGAAAAGAGACACAAATACTTGTATGCACACTATCTCTGGAAGAATAAACTACAAACTGGAAACTCTGAATGCTTCTCGGGGAGCAATGGATAATTTGGGGGTTAGAGGGAAACTTCCTTTTGTAGAGTTTGAGTTTTTATTTTTATGGATGCATGCATATTTTGTTTAAAAGAGAATAAAAGAAAGAAAGAGTGCTGAGATGATTGGTAGAATATCTACATCTTTCTTCAGGAAGCTCTTCTGGAAGTGCTAAAGATCCTAGAGTTGTGGAATTTCAGAGTTGGGAAGAAATTTAAGATTACCTCTAGCAGTAACTTTAATCATAGCCACTTATCAGAATCACCTGGAGAGCTTGTTAAAGGTACAGTTTTGAGAGTCCTAGCCCAGAGCTCCCAAAATAGAATTTGGTTGTGTGTCAGAAGGCGGGCAAATAAGGAATTCACATTTAAAAGTAATATCCTTGCTGTCTGATGTGCAAACAGGTTTGGAAACCACTGGTTTAGAACCAAAATCTCAGTGCTTACCAAATTTTTCTAAATCCTTAAAATATCTTAAGATGTCACACCAGTGCCTGGAGCACATGGTTGGAATTGGTAGGGGCAGAAGTGGCTGGGGGAAATGAAGTTTCAGTTAGTAGGCATGGCTAGAGATACACACATGAAAGGCCTGTTTTCAAATATTATACATTATGGGAGACTCCTAGAAATTTCTTTTCATAAAGGGATTCTGCTGCTGAAAAGATTTTCAAATTATTGCTCCATTTGAAGGAAAATACTTCTATGACATCTCTTGCAAGTGATGGTCCAAACCCAGTGGACAAAAAACAAATTTTTCTTTCTACCTTTATCTTCCTAAATATATGTGTGTATAAAAATATGTATATATAAGGCCACATGATACATATACACAGACATCCTGCTATAGGAAGACAGATTTCTTCATGTATATATCCTCCACCACAAAGGACAGCAAACTTTCTCCATAAAAAGCAAGAGAGTGTTTTAGTTATTTTTTTTTTATTTTTAAATACAGATGAGATCTCCCTATGTTGCCCAGCCTGGCCTCTAACTCCTGGCCTCAAACGATCCTCCTGCTTCTGCCTCTGGAAGTGCTGGGATTACAAGCATGAGCCACTACACCTGTCCTAGAGAGGATTTTGAAGCTTTGCAGACTGTACAGTCCATCTCACCCTCCCAACTCTGACCTTATAGCATAAAAGCAGTCATAGACCATATATAAGTGAATGGACATAGCTGTATTCCAATAGAACTTTATTTATGGATACCAAAATGTGAATTTCATATAATTTGTATGTGTCATGAAAAACTATCTTTTCCATTTCTTTCTTTCTTTTTTGTTTGTTTGTTTGTTTGTTTGTTTTGGGACAGAATCTCACTCTATTGCCCAGGCTAGAGTGCAATGGTGCGGTCTCTGCTCACTGCAACCTCCACCTCCCAGGTTGAAGCGATTATCCTGACTCAGCCTCCTGAGTAGCTGAGATTACAGGTGGGTGCCACCACGCCCGACTAATTTTTGTATTTTTAGTAGAGACGGGGTTTCACCATGTTGGTCAGGTGGTCTCCAACTCCTGACCTCATTATCCACCTGCCTTGGCCCCCCAAAGTGCTGGGATTACAGGCGTGAGCCACTGTGCCTGGCCTTCCATTTCCTTTCTACCATTCTTAACTTGGGCATATAAAAACAAGTGATGGACTAGAATTGGCTGCCTTGCAATAATTTGTTGATTGCTGCTCTACCATCTAGTTTAGATAACATATTTCCCACTTCTTTGACATTCTACAAAGTTATTCCTCTCTCTTAGCTACAGAGTTCTCATCTTTAAAATGAAGTTGTTATTGGGCCCATTATAACAGAAATAATTACATTGAATGATATATGTCTGATACTCTCCCTCTTCATATACTAATATATTTATATTCTGCTGTCATTATTAGTCTGGATCCTAATTGCAAGTAATAGAAAAAAATTCAAACTGGCTTCAACAATAACATATATTTGTTGGTTTATGCAGCTGAAAAGCTCAGATATAACTGCATCCAGAGGCTTAGGCAATGCCATTGTATAGCCTATCTTCTTCTTTTTTTTTTTTTTTAACAGAGTCTCATTCTGTCACACCAGGTTGGAGTGCAATGGGCCAAATGCAGCTCACTGCAGCCTCAACTTCCTGAGTTCAAGTGATCCTCCTGTCTCAGCTTCCAAAATGGCTGGGACCATAGGTGCACACCACCATGGCAAGCTACTTTTTTATTCCTTTTTTTTTTTAAAGACATGGTCTCACTGTGTCACCCAGGCTCCCAGGCTGGAGTGCAGTGGTGCAATCATGGCTCACTGCAACGTCCACCTTCTGGACTCAAGTGATCTTCCCGCCTCAGCCTCCCGAGTAGCTGGGACCACAGTCATGCACTGCTGCACCTGGCTAATTTTTGTATTTTTTGTAGAGGCAGGGTTTCGCCAAGTTACCCATGCTGGTCTTGAATTCCTCTCCTCAAGTGATCCACCCACTTCAGCCTCCCAAGGTGCTGGGATTACAGGCATGAACCACCACACTGGGCCTACTGATTATATCCTTAGACAAGTTGGCATCTGGCAGCTTCAAGATTACCTTATCTTTAATACAAGTTGAAGAAGAAAGGAAGCATATATCTGCCAGATGCCCAAGCTAAGACTCAGAATTATCTTTGATTGAACCTGATTGGCTTCATTCAGGGTACGTATGTATCTCTGAACCAATCATCATTGTCACATGGATGTGATACTCTGTTGACTAGGCCTTAGGCACACATTTACTCCTGGAGCAGAGGGTGGAGGGAAGGTGAAATCAACTCCACTCAAACATATAAATTGAAAAAGTGGGGGGAAAAAATGGTTTCCCAAAGCAAAATCAGGATGCTGTTAACTGATAAAGGAAAGTGAACAGCAAAACTTACAAATGTAAACTTCAAAGTTCTCACCCACAAAATCTGATATCATTAAGAGTCTGGCCTAATTTCTTTCCAACACCAGGACAATGGCATGAGAGATATTTGTATAACTGATGATTCTGTTTTTAGAGCTGATGGTTTTATTGGATGTTTTTGCAATGTTTCAAACAACTGTCTTTTCAGTTGTTTATGTTTATCTCTCCAGAGAGAAATGACTTCAGATAATTAGATCCCTAAGGTTTGATTTCTCCCAGGAGACCTAAGGCAGATAGTGCTCTCCTTTCTCATACCACTTCTTTATTTTACATAAATTCCTTCCTTTCAATGATTCTCCTAGAAGCTGTAGGTCCAACCACAGAAAGTTTAAATTTGCTCTTTCTTATCAACTATCAGGCACCCAGCTGACATTTTATAACGACCTCAAATGCTGCCTTATCCACTGTCCTTAATTAGGATATATTCGATCATCCATGATGGCCTAATCTTTTTCTTCAAAAATTTTCCTGCTGACAGTCCTGGACCAATGGCTGAGATGCCATAAACACACAAAACAATGACCCAAAAACTATAATCTCTAAGCATAGCAATGTTGACTTGGGTCTTTCTTTAAAATTGCTGCCCTTTTTGGTCTAGTAAAATGTACCCTATCTTGGTTCTTTTCCTGTCATTCCATTTGGTCTGGGTCTTCCTCTCTCATGCTTTCTCTCTTCCTTTTTATCTCTCTTGGAATCATTTTCTTTCTTGTATTCCCTATGCATCCTCCCCAGACTCATCACTCTTCTCTTACTATACTTACCTTTTTTTTGATTTCATTCATTCCCACATTTCAATGATCACTTGATTCATCCCCAGTTATGAAAAGCTTTAATTTATTGCGTGTTTTCTGTTTATTGGCTCCTCTCAGTGGCTCTTGAGAGGCTGCTCACATTACTTAAAGTTTACAAGGAGGATTGGTGATTTACTGATGATCATACATTTAGTGATTAAGAGAGCTGAAGTTCAAGCCTAGCCTGTCTGATTTCAAAGTCTATTCCTTTTCCATTATACTTCACTATCTTTATTCATTCACTTGTTCTATTACTCAGCATGGATCTCTTGAGAATCTTCTTTGAACCGAGAATAGTGTATAAGAAATCACCAAAAACCCAGTCCCTGTCATTAAAGAGCTCACAGTCTAGTGAAGGATACATCATCCAATTTCATTACAATGTCATTGCTATGACAGAAGCACACATATCTTATGGAATTACATCTAAGGCCCAGATCTCTTGCCTGGCATCCAGATCCATGTCATCAAGGTCCTATTGAACATTTTTATTTGGATATTGTTTCTATTACCTATTACTGACTAGTGTAACACCTGAAGCTTAGTGGCTTAAAACAACAATGATTTGTTATTTTTCATCAATTTGAGGATTGACTGGGCTCAGCTGAGTGGTTCTTCTGCTGAGGTCACTCCTGTGTCTATCTTCAGATAGGTGTTTGGCTGTGGCTGAAACATGCAAGATGGACTCTCAGAGGCCAGGTGCGGTGGCTCACATCTGTAATCCCAGTGCTTTGAAAAACTGAGATGGAAGGATTGCTTGAGGCCAGGAGTTTGAAACTAGCCTGGGCAACATAGTAAGACCCTGTCTCTACAAAAAAAGACAAAAAACGTAGACTCTCATAGACCTGCTCTCTCTGCCTGTGACCTCTCATCAGTCAGTGATCTATCCTGAGCTTCCTTACAGCATGTTGGCTGGTTCCAAGGGGAAAAGCCTCAATGCACAAATGCTCATCAAGCCTCTGCTTGCACCATGTTGATGTCTCATTGGCCAAATAACTTACATGTCCAAGCCCAGAGTCAATATGGGAGGGGAATATCCCATAGCATGACTACCAGAGCCATGGATCACTGGGTGACACTAATGTAACAGTCCTTCATAGGAGGTCCATTTATCACCTCCATATTTTAGATTGAAATCACCATGTCCTGTCAAAACAATTTCATAATACTATTTTTATTTCTGGTATCACCATTCTTGAAACTTAGGAGTTACTGTCATCTCTGACATCTACCGTAACTACCTCTAATTAGTTCCTGATTTCTTTCAATTCCCTCAATAAAATATTTCACTCTTTTTCCTTCCTTTTTCATATATACCACAACCTATTTTGTTCCAGACAGTCTGCTAAGTTAGAGCATCCCAACTATGTGCTGGTGTTCACTACTGTGCTATAAAAGGGTTATAGGTGTGAGAAGATAGTAATCCTCATTTCAGGATTTTGGGGTGAAAGGTTACAGCAGCTGGAGTCTCTGGGATGGTCACCTTTGGCCAGGAGCTGTCTTGTCCGTTTGACCTAGTGAGCAAAAATATATCGATTTTTGTATGTGCCATAACATGAAAAATTTGGAAAATACTATCATAACTAATTTTCTTGCCTTCTATTCATCTCTTTTACAATCACCAGGTTAATCTTCCCTAAGTATCACTTCGTATCTTACCCTTCTTTCAATAGCATCAGTTGCCTATTGTACATAGTCCAAGCTGGCATTTAAATATTTCTTCCATTTGAATTGAAGTTACTTTTCAGCTTTTTGCCCACTCCTCCACAAAAAACCTACCTCTACCAAACTAATCTGATTAACACCTCCTAAGAATGCCATACTATATTCTGCCTCTCTGCCTTAGAGCAAGCTTACTGTATTGGAAAACTTTCAAACCCCAACCATCCTTCACATCCATCTCCTGTGAAGGCTACCAAATTATTCTGACCCAGGGTGATGCCTCTGATTTTCCTCTGACCTCCAAGAAGTTATTCCCAAGAAGACATTATCTATAGTTTCACACTGACCAATATGGTAGTCACTAGCCTCATATGCTTATTTAAATTTAAATCATTAATTAAATAAAATTTAGTTTCTCAACCACACTAGCCACATTTCTAGTTCCCAGTAGCCACAAGCAGCTAGCAGCTGCCATACTGGATAGCAAAGAGATGGAGCATTCTCCTCATCTCAGAAAATTCTGCTAAACATTTAGATCTATGCCATTTATTTGGCAGTTCATCATTGTTTCTGACTTTGAACTGGCTTTTCAACAACCAATTCTCAATTCCCTTATTTCTTAGTTGCCTCTTATGATAGAGCCTGAAAAACCCAGACTTCTTTTTCTAGACTTCTTTGAAGCTAGTCCTGTTCTTGTGACTCAGCACTGACCAATGCAACCTAAAGGTATGCTTTTTGGGAGGGTTTCTGGACAAAACCTCTTGCATATGATAAAAGAGAGAAGTGTGTGTGCAAGGAGAGCTCTCTCACCAGATATTCCCTAATCTAATGTGAGGATGTCTTGTCTAAATCTACGCAACTGTATTGTGGCCATGAGGGAAATGCCAAGACCTTCTCAGAGACCTACTCAGAGCCCTGAAATCAACCCTAGGACTGCCTACTTCTAAACATCTTAGTATGTGGTTAATTATATTATTTTATTATTTAATCGTCTGTTAGTTAGTTTTTTGCTATTTGCAACCCTTGAACATTCCTGCTAATAAAATCACATTGTTAACACAGGGACCAGGTATTGGACTCACTGCATAGCCCCTTTCTGAGTACAGCCCCATTTCCCTGACCTTTGTGGTTACAGGGACAGGGTTTCTTTAATGATGATTGTATAATTTCACCTTGGCCTCCTGGCCACAGTTGGTTAGATCACGACTGGGCATCTGACTCAAGCTAGACTAATAAGCCCTAAGATTTGGAATTGAGACTCAGAAATCCCAGCACTTATTTGTCTTTTTTTCTGAACTGGGGAAATACAAACTTTGGAGCTGTGGATGGTCTTGTTAGGCCATGTGGACTGGGAAGCAGAGAAAACTGGAATATGAGGAAATAAGAATGAAGAAGAAAAGTGAGTTCAGATGGAGATGAACTCTTGGTTCTAGTTAAGGCCTTGCACCATCGCATTTTTGGGGTTTTGGGATCTACCTCTATAAAAAGATTTATTAAATTTAATATTATATTTTATTACATACTCTTATATAATATTTTATATTTAATTTATAATTATTATAATAAATCCCTTTATTATAGTTCAAGAGGTGTTCCAATACTTTCAGTCCAGAAGAGTACAGTGTCAGTATGATTACCTATATTTATGCCTTACCTCTTTGACAACATTGCAAATACATTAAGCAAGAATATTTTCCATGATGTCCCTTGGACTTACCCTTAGCTCATAGAAGATGCTCAGTAAACTCGAGTGAGCTGATTTTTTTTTCCTCTGGAAAATAGATAATGAGTGGCTCCCAGGCTGGACCACAGGCTTGTGAGAATTTCTCTCCTGAAACTCTCTAATCTTAGCCTATGTGAAAAAGTGTGTCATTTTAACAACAGCAACACTTCATTCTATATTTGTACCTGAAAATTACACTAGAAAGGTGAGAAAGGGAGAAATATAGTTCTTCATTTTTATCTCCAAGATACACCCAAGACAGATCAATTTTTAAAAATTAATCTGGTAGTGTGATGTCAGTGACAATTTAAAAGGAATCTTTTGGGTCTCATTGAAAACTTTGCCTAATCTAGTCACACTTAGACTTGAGAATCATTTGCAGTATATGGTATATGCAGTGTGATGTCTGTGTGTGTGTGCATGCGTGTGTGTGTGTGTTCCCTTTGATGGCTCATAATTAAAGATGTTTGAACTAAAATAGGATATTACTGAGTTTACTTTAGCTGTTTTCATTTGCCTTTTGTTTTCCAAATCATGCCAAAATTCTCGGTCTTGAACCGATAGGAATTCTCATTTCATTCATTTATTTAACATCCATCATTGAGTACCCAGTAGACACCAAAGATCCAAACATAAAGAAGCCATAAACTCTGTTTCATTAACATTTTTATAGTGCTACAATTTAGAAAAGATCTCCTTTAACCCATTGCCCAATCCTAAGCTGTGAGCCTTGTTGACGCCCCCATGTGACAGGGGGTAACTCTAAGGCTGGAAGTGACTTGCCCACAAGTGCACAATGAAGACTGGCAGAGGAAGTCCCAGAACTGAGAACTCAGCTCTCTAAATCTTGGGTTTTTCCTTTTTTGTCTTGCTGGGAGGCATAACGGCATAAATTTACGAAACACTGGCTCTGTCATCAGAGTCAGATTCCCAGGTCCGCAATGTACAAGATGTATGACAAAGGCGAATTTCATGATTTCTCTAAGCCTCTGTCCCTTTAGCTATAAAATGGGGATAAAAACAGTACCTATCACCAGGCATGGTGGCTCATACCTGTAGTCCCAGCACTTTGGGAGGCTGATGCAGTAGGGTTGCTTGAGGCCGGTGTTCAAGACCAAAACTGTTTCTAAATAAGCTACTTATGGCAAATGGGATCAGCTAATCAATAAAGACTCCAGGGCCTGTTATAGTCCCAGTATTAAGCAAAGCCCTCTGGGAGAGGCTAATCAAAGCAACACTGTGCTTAACTTTTAGAGACTTGATTCCTTCTTTGAAAGCTCCTTTTTGCTTTCCATGGGGGTTTGGAAAAATCATAATTTCTCTGCTTGATTTTTAATCTTGAAAAATAGGGAAAATAACATGTTTTTCCCATGTCACAGGTGTTGTAAAAATCAACTAGGATGATGTATTTTAGAGCCATAAGTGGGCTAATGCCAATGTTAGCTATTGAAGGCAAGTAAAGGAGGGCATCTTCACTTTGCACAGAAATGTTTAGCTTCAGTGTATTTATACATATTTAAAATTAGGAAAGGACTAGAGGTCCATGTGGTCTCTACAGTGGGACAGCTCCATGACTGCTCCTGCAGAGCAGGGCTACCCCATAGGCAGAGAGTAGCGGCTCAGGGTAGTTCTGCAGTAGTACTTATACTTACTCTTAATTGTTTGCAGATTAAGGAGCAGTTTATGCAGAAATTTCTAGGGAAAACATAGTAACTTCTGGGTTGTTGGATTATTGCCATGGAAAGGGGTGGGAACTCCCGGGTGTTGCTATGGCAATGATAAACTGACATGGCACCCTAGTGGGTGTGTCTTATAGAAAGCTGCTTCAGCCCCTTCCCTGTTTTAGCTAGTCCTCAATTTGGTCCAGTGTCCAAGCCCTGCCTCCTGAGTCAAGTCTCACCTCCACTTCAAGACCTCTAGTCCTTTCCTAATTTTGAAGACACAGTTCTTTTTCTCTTTCCACTTTCTGGCAACTTTTAGCACCTAGCATAATCAATTAGCCATAACCTAACCATTCTCTCCTGCTCTAGCTACCTGCTTTTGCCTCCCACGGGATTTTATTACACATTATCTGTGCCAATCTGACCGCCTTCTTGTTTCCTAGAGTATGAGCTCTGCAGAAACTCTCAGACAGTCTGGGTTAAAATTCCAAGTCTGTCCTGTAGTGGCTGTGTGACTAAGGCAGGTTACTTAACTCCTCTGTGCTTCAATCTCCCCATGGATGATCACAGTTATCACCTCATACGGTTGTTACAAAGGTAATGAGTTAATATATGTAAAGTGCTTGGAACAGGCTGGTTTGTAGCCAGTGGCTGCTTATCGTGACTCAGCCTTCACCAACCCCAAGAGGTAAGCATTATAAAACTAATTTTATAGACTGGGATAAGGATACACTGCTACTCTGGGGATTGTGAAGACATTGATTTCATTTATATTAGTAACATATTCCCATAGGGGTTTTAAAAAAGATACTACAGCAATATTCAGGTTTATTTATAAAGCTCAAGCAAATTATTCTCTAAGTATAATTAAGCACTTTTGAGAGTCCAATAGGAAACAATTATTCACCACTAAATGGTAATCTTAATAATTCAAGATAATTAAAAAAACCTTCCTCTGACTTATCCTCAGGGAGAGACAGCTTTTTCAAACAGCTGAGAGATGTTCTGTAAATCTCAGGTAATGTGACTCCTGTAATTCATTATTTATTTACACACAGGCAGGCGCTGACTCAACAGGCAGGAGTTAGGCCATTACTTCATTACTGTCTCATTATTAATCTCGTTACATCCAATATCTCTATCTTGGTGACAGGTCTCCAGATTTTGTGGAACAGCTCCAATTTTAAAGATCCTATTATTGTCTCCCTCAAAGTATCAAAATATCTTTTAAGGAAGTGTCAATATGAGAAGCCCAAGTCATCTCCCAGATTGACTGGAAATGGAATTATCTCTATTTTTTAATTATATATGCATGGATTTTTTTCTTGGAAAATATCCCCACCAAGTCCCATAGATAGTAGAGGTGATAAATTTGAGAGCACAGCCATGAAAGATGTCTTGGTGTAGGGAGAAACACCCGGATTCTGGAAACTGAGGATCCTGGGAAAGATCCTCGTCCGGCAGTTTTAGCTGTGGGAATGGAGGCAAGTTGCTAAACTCCCTGGAGGCTCAATTTTCTATCTGGAAAGTGGAAGCCCTTAGGCACCTTCTATTTGCTTTTTTACTTCAAAGCAAAATGTTCAGGTTCATCTACAGTCCAGCAGCAAAAAAACAAAACCAAACAAAAAACCAAAAACTTGTGTTTTCATCTCAGACCAAGTCAGGAGTTCTTAGTTGAGATTGGGCTGATATTTATCTAGCATGCAATAGTTAATAACAGCTGCCTTTCTGATCAGATTAGTCTGAGCTATTCTGTATGCTCATGCTCACACTCTTCCCAATTTTAAATATAGTGACTGTGTCCCTCTCTTCTCCTTCACCCCACGTCCAAGTAAGAGGGTTAAGATGCATGTGAGCTCCAGAGTCAGAGAGACCTGAGTCTGAATCCTGACTCTGTGGCCTTGGGTAAGTCTTGTAAGCTCTACTGCCTTAATTTCCTGCTCTGTAAAGTGGGGACAGTAGTAAGCACGATTGAGCATTCAGTAAGCATCAAACTTGTTGTGGAATGCACATACCCAGTATATGTTCACTACTATCATTAGAGTGGGAACAACAACAAAAAGCTTCAAAGTCTTCACCTATAAAATGGAAATAAAAATACCCATCTAATAGGAGGATTAAAGGAAAATTTCACAATTGCTTAGAAAATTCACACGTCTGAAAAGAAAAATGATAACAAAGAAGAAGAAATGTAAGCAAAATTAACTATTTGTCTCATTAGTGAATAATATTTACTTAATCATATCAATGTAAATAAAGAATATTAATTTAACTAAATAAACTGTGATGGAACTATACTAATTAGGTGGGTGAAGGGGAAGGACAGATTTAAGAGAGTAAAGTCCTCATCAACCATTAAAAAATCAATATTGCCAATCTTAAGAAAGAGCAGCAAAAGCATATCATTTAGAAATGTGAATGCAAATGTGGGAAGAAACAGCAAAATCTGTTGTGTATGGCTGAGGAACAGGATATGGGCCTGACAACTGCTGTTTTTTTTTTTTTTTAACAAGCCTTTTAAAACCACATTAGTTGACATTATATTAGGCTGCAAGTAACAACAATAGTAACAAAGTGTACACAAATAACAAGAGCTTGAACAAGAGAAAGTTTATTCCTTGTTCAAGCAAAAGTCCGTAGGAGTGGTTCAGTTCTGGGAGGGAAGATCCATTCCAGCAGTGCCCAGGGAAATAAGACTCCCCTCAGCTCCCCATTCCACCACCCTTAGGGAGGGGCCCCCATCTTCATAGTCCAAAGCCACCCTCCTCTCAACAAGAGAGGAAAGGGAGAACAAAGAAGGCACGTCAGGTGCAGTTTAGTTATCTCTTAGGGAAGGACCCTTGAAGCAACCATACAACAGTTTACATCCCATTGGTCAGGACTTATCACATGCCCCTATTTATTTGCAAGGGAAGCTTTGATGCAGAATCTTTATTTAGGACAGCCGTATGCCTAGCTAAAAGATATCTTACTGTGGGAGAATAGAAAAATGGATATGGGGGACAGCTAAAACTTATTCCCACAAGCACTACTGACTTTTGCACTACTATTGTAACACTTCAAAGTAAAACCTAAACACAAGTGAGATACAACACCATGTGTTTTGTGGTAGGTAAGGGCTCAGGCTTTACGGTCAGAGGGCTGGGGTATGAATCCTGGATTATACACTTAGCAACTCTATGATAACCTCTGGGCCTCCATTTCCTTCCCTGTAAAATGAAAATAAAAGTATGACCAAGATCCTGGGTTGATGAAAATAGTTGATGTTAAAAATTGCTTATAACGGTTTCTGATATGTGGAAAGCATTCCTAAAGTGTTTGTTGTTGTCATCGTAAATATTCTACAATTATTAAAATAAACCAGTAACATTTCTGAGGAAATCCAATCCGAGAAGGACTAAAATAATAAACAGAAAAATTGAATCTCTAGGAAACATTTAGAGAATCATTCAAGGAATGGAATAGAAGATTAACACATTTTAATAAAGAGCTTGGTAACACCGCATGTATGAAACAAGAAATTAATGCACCAAAAGGACCAACCAGACCGTATTGGATACAACTAACACAACTAACGTATAGCCTCAGATTCTTTGGGCCTCACCAATCTCAGAAACACACAGTAGATGTGTGGCCACAGCCCCCGCCTAACATTGCAGCAACTTCTTATGCTGTAAGACACTTTTACCACCTGAGGCCAACCAGTCACACACCCATTGTTTCTGGCTCCTTCCACTGCTCTGGAAATGGTGTGGGTTCTGGCTTCCTAAGAGGTTGCCAAAGGGATGAGATTATGACATAATTAACATTGGGGATGATTTAACTCCCAGTTGGGGAAACTGACTGGTGAGTGGTCAGGAGAAAGCTGAACAACAGGAGGTGGCATAAATGTAAGTGCATTAATTTCATCTATTTGTTTTTTTAAAAAGCTAACTGGCATGTTCTAAGTTTTATATATCAAAAATAGGGATTTATATAGACTCTTCAATGCCCCAAAATTAATCAGTAGAAAAAACATTAAAAATAGAGTTAACAAAAATCGGAGGTTGTTGGGTAATAACAAGCCAGCAAGGAGTGAGTAGTTGTGTTTCAAAATTGAGAAATCAAGAACAAAAAGCATAAATATATTGTTTAAAGTTATAGTAGCTATTGCCAGAAAAAATATGCTATAAGAAATTATTTCTAGGTAGTGAGATTGAAAGAGATGTAATTTTCATATTATACTACACTATTTTTAAAAAATTCACAATGTTCAACTGTTACATTGATATAGCTTCAGATACAGATAATTACTTTTTTAATTTGGGAAGAATACATATAGACTCTCACGTTGGCGGGGGTTAACATTAGGGAAAGAGATTTTTGACTTTGTTTTATTTCCCTTAACATAATTTTGTATTGTTTGAATATTTATAATGATGACATCTTACATTGACAAATGAAGTGATTTTGGGAGAGACATTGATATAGCAATGTATACAATGCCTGCCATGCAGTGAGCACACAGTCAGTGACTTCTTTTCCTCATCTGAAGCAGTTCAGCACTGTGATTGAGGATTGAATGACATGGCGTATGTGAAGCATTTAGCACAGCACTTGGTATTGCTCAATGAAACTGGTTATTACTATCACCCTGTTGTTGCTGATCTTCAAGCTTCTAGCTTTCAAATTCACTGAACCGAATCCAATCTGAAACAACTAGGTTTCACAAACCCATCTAAAAAGATTCCTTTCTTCTATCAACTTAGCATCCAAAGATTTTCCAAAGACTTTATGGCTAATCCTGGTTCCCACATTCTCTCGCGATGTGCTTCTGAGCCTCTGAATTCTCATCTGAGAAATGGTGACATTATAACAAGATCAAGCCCAGAAATTATAAGAAGTTTACAGAAGGCCGGGCGCGGTGGCTCACGCCTGTAATCCCAGCACTTTGGGAGGCCGAGGCGGGCGGATCACGAGGTCAGGAGATCGAGACCATCCCGGCTAAAACGGTGAAACCCCGTCTCTAATAAAAATACAAAAAAAAAAAAAATTAGCCGGGCGTAGTGGCGGGCGCCTGTAGTCCCAGCTACTTGGGAGGCTGAGGCAGGAGAATGGCGTGAACCCGGGAGGCGGAGCTTGCAGTGAGCCGAGATCCCGCCACTGCACTCCAGCCTGGGCGACAGAGCGAGACTCCGTCTCAAAAAAAAAAAAAAAAAAAAAAGAAGGTTACAGAAGATATTGCGTTTAACATATGGCATATAGTATTAAATCCTCAATATGTGAAAGCAAGTGTTGCTGTCATGGTTACAAAGAGCCATGCAGCCACGTCTAGCTAACATCTTGAAATCAGGAAAGGGAAAGTGCCTTTACAAACAGTCCAAAGACAGATTCCTTAGACCCTCCTCTGTAATTGGAAGCAAAAGCCGTCACCTTGGAAATCCCTCAAGGCTGCAGTCATCACTAGGACATGCTGCCTCCCTGTGGAATTTCACAGACACAGTCATGAGACAGGCAAAGCTTCCAGCTCAGAATGTGGATGCCAAAAGCCAGAATCAGAAACATTCCCCAGGCTTTCTAATTGTTTTGTTCATGTATTATCCATATTCGAGCCACAACTGTCACGTTTTCAATGAGTCGTAGTCAGCCTACCCTATTTATAACAGCAATTCACAACCTACCCATTCCCATTCCCCTTTATGTCACGCTAGTTTTTCCCCTTTTCATTGCATTTATCGCCTTTTAACACACTGTATCACTTATTTATTCTTATTGTTTATTTTCTGTCTTTCTTTGTTACTTCACAGGAGCAGAAATGATTTTTTTAGTCTGCTTTGATCTCAAGTGACTATAACAGTGCCTGACGCATAGAAGGAACTCAGTATTTCTTGAATGAATGAATGAATGCTTTCTCCTATACCATGATATGAAATCGTTGGAAACCTTAAAGAGATTTTTTTATTGTGCTGAATGTATGCATGGAAGACCACAGGCCATGTTGTTCTTTTCTGACACAATTCAAATACTAGAATGGGTATCATTTCAACAACCTGATCCCTGGTTCCTGTACAGAAGTCTCAAGCACCCAACCAAACATTTCCTTCTGTACTTGATCAGCAAAGAAATGCAGTGGCGTATACACAACGTCAGTTTTCACTTTCCCAGGTAGATTCTCTGTGTATGTCTGTGTGTGTGTGTGTGTGTGCATGTATGTGACCCACTCAAGATTTTGAAGATGAATAAAATGTGGAAGGAAGAACTAATTTCTTCTCTGATGATTAGAGGGTAAAAGAGGGAAGAACAAATTTGATGAATCTTCAAGTCCTTTATCTTATATTTTTAGCCCATGTGAAAACCATTTTAAACCAGGGATTTAAAAAGCCTGGTCTGAAATGGAATGGGTATATCTGAGTGAGAACTGAATCATTTTCTGGTCTAACATAGCCAATTGGAGCATGCCTGTAATGTGAGGCTCTGAAGTCAGAGCTGAGTTCAAATTCCACCTTTGAAACCTCAGACCAGTCATTTTAATTCCCCTGAGCCTCTTCATCCTCACTGAGAATTAAATGGGATAACAAATTTGTAATACAATCATTTGGTGTTCCCCAGACCCTAAAATTCAGTTTTTTGAGTCTCTTTACCTTATAGAAAATTCTGGCTCAAGTTCACCCTCCCCTCTATACATGAAACCCAGGGATCCCTCGGTATTTTTAGTGGGGGAGTTGCTTTTCTTCCAGTAGCTTCTCTGATTTCCTGTTTCTTCTGTATCTTTTTCTGCCCCATGTTGAAGGAAATGTGGAGAATTTCATTATCCATCCCTATCAAGAGTTGGTTAACACAAGACAATTGTGTGGCCCATGCCCAAAACTGGTTAGGGGCAGCAGAGGGTAATTATCTCCCAGCACAATACATCAATCAAGCCAACCTCCCTGCTATGGTTTGAACATCTGCCCCTCCAAACCTCATGTGAGAATTTGATCCCCAGTGGTGGAGTTGGAGCCTGGTGGAAGGTGTTTGGGTCATGGGGGCAGATATCTCATGCATAGGCTAATGTCCTCCTTCAGGAGGGGGAAGGTGTGAGTGAGTTCTCACTCTGTTAGTTCCCGTGATTGCTGGTTATTAAAAAGAGCCTGTCACCTTCTCCCATCTCTGCTTTGCTTCCTCTCTGGCCATGTGATGTGATCTCCGCACACCCAGCTCTCCTTTGCCTTCTGCCATAAGTGGAAGCAGACTGAGGTCCTCACCAGATGCAGACACTGGCACCATGCTTCTTGTGCAGCCTGCAGGACTGTGAGCCAAATAAAGTTCTTTTCTTTATAAATTACCCAGTCTCAGGTATTCCTTTATGGCAACACAAAGAGAGTAAGACACTACCTGTACTTAAAGGCTCATTCGGTATTTCCCTGTGGAAATTTGTCACTGGACATGTCACCCCTGGGGTCTTTCCCTTGCTGCATTCCCAGACCTTGCTAACTTTTTCTTTCCTATAGTCACCTATAACCTCTTCCTAAACATTTGTGTTTTTAGCTCTTCAGCTCCCACCTTAACACTGCACCTACCTCTTTATCTCCAAAGGCTCATTAAGGGGCTCTGTTCTAGAAGAAACCATCTAACCCAGGACCTTTGTCCTCTGGCACGGCAAAGCAGCCACAGAGCCTATGACATCCCGTCTGTTATTTAATATGATTAGAATCTCAGACCTGGTTGGCTATTCCCTTTACTCTCTGTATGAAGAAGGAAGAGGTAGATTTATTTGTCCTTCCACAGATATAACTCACACCAGCACGATTAGAAGAAAAGTTGGCTAGGCATGGTGGCTCACACCTGTAATCCCAGCACTTTGGGAGTCTGAGGGTGGTGGATTACTTGAGGCCAGGAGTTCAAGACCAGCCTGGACAACATGGTGAAATCCTGTCTGTATTAAAACGTACAAAAATTAGACAGGTGTGGTGGAGCAGCCTGTAATTTTAGCTACTCAGAGTCTGAGGTACAAGAATCACTTGGACCTGGGAGGCAGAGGTTGCAGTGAGCTGAGATCACACCACTGTTCTGTAGCCTGGGAGACAGAGCAAAGCTCTGTCAAGAAGAAGAAGAAGAGGAAGAAGAAGGATGAGAAGGAGGAGGAGGAAGAGGGGGAGGGGGAGGGGGAGGAGAAGCTTTTTTTGTTACATTAGACTTGTATTAACTTTTTTTCCTTTGCACATTGTCTGGCACATAGTTCCTTCTCAATAAACTTATTACACGTTCTTCTTTGGGTAAGGTATTCACAGTCCTAAGAATAGAGGCAAAAAGCAAAACCATGTAGGGTCCTTACATAAGACAGAGTAAACAAATGGTGTCTTAGTTGGGTTTCCCCAAAGCAGAGCTTAAGATAAGGACTTGGGTGCAGATGGTTTATCTGAGACCCAGGAAGCAGAAGGAGGTAGTGGAGAGGAATAAGACAAGGAAAGGGATAAAAGCCAGTAACACGTATAGAATAAGCCAGTTACTGCTCTAGGCAACTGGGGCTTAATCATATAAGGGAACCTCAGAAGGGCCTTTTGTATTGACTTCTGACTTGCATAGGTTGTGTTTGCCTCTGGAGTATATGAACCCCCTCCCACCCCACACTTCCATGTTTGTCCTGCTGGAAATGGAGTGACTTCTGCAGTTTTAGAGAAAGCCCTAAAACAGAGAGCAGAGCCATTCAGGCACTTGAACATCAGAGACTGTCCACCACAGCTGCCACTGAGCACAGGGTGGGCTGCAGGGAGACAGAATAGCCTAGGTTAGCATCCACACTGAGGGCAAAGGCAAAAGCGTTGAATCTTAGTCGCGACTTGGCTACCAAATATTGTTTGAGTTTGAGTAAGGACTTAAGTCCTCTGTGCCTATAACCGTTTATTCCCTATTCTGGTAATGAGGAACAAGCAACGTTTATTATGAGCACACACTATGTGCTAAACCATCTTCTGGGAATTCCCAGGGGTTATCTCTGTCTTCATGAATACCTAGAGAAATGTTATTTTTCTCCACCTACAGACAGGAAAACTAGGATAAAAAGATATATGCCCAAGGTCATTCAGCCACCAAGGAAAAAAATAAGCCTTGAATCCATGCCTTTAAAACCTTTACTCCTCCATCACACAAGATGGGATGGGGAAAGAAATCATAATCCAATAATAAAGGCCAATACTCCTTGCAGAACACTGCCATGCAGAGAAAGCAAGAGTCCTTTCAAAATGGTTAAAGAGTTTTGCTGTACTCAGTAAAGTCCCTTCCTTCCTTCCTCCCTTCCTCATTAAGATGAACTGCTCAGGGCTGCAGTTCATCTTAGCTACTGCAACACCTGCAGCCAAGGAGCAGGTGGTATTTACTCTAGGCCCACACGGACCGGAAGCCTCTACACTGCAGGACGCCCAGGCAGGGCCTGGCAGGCAGATGGACTGAGAATTGGGAGTCAGGGAGACTGGGAATCAGGTAACTCACTTGCGGCCTGAGGCAGCTCCACATTTATCTTGCTCAGCTACACACACACACACACACACACACACACACACACACACACACACAGCAGCCATCTGCCTAACCTCCCCAACTCAATGGAGGGAGCTATGGCAGAGAGGATCTCAAATCCCCCCGTGTCTGTGACTTGACAGGCCACGAGGAACCTTCTGTTGGACCAGACTCTGAACTAGTAGAATTCATTTCATTTGAATGTTTCTCTGTTTTTCTAACTTTCCTTTTCAAGGGGTATTTTTATGAGTCATGTGCTGGCTTTTCTTCTCCTAAGTCATCTGATTTCCATTTAGATTTTGCTCCAGCTTCAAGATGCATTTTCTTTTACAGCCCTTTGAGTTTGACTTAATTGGTCTGGTACATGCTCTCACTGAAGTTTTATGTTTCTGCTTGTTTTGTAAGTGCCGGGTTTTTGAGATTCATTGAGTTTGGCCAGGTCCATATTTTCTTGCATCCTTTCTTCCTCTTCACTCCTCACTCCCCTACTGAGTTTTGCAATCAAATAACTTTAAATCTTCATAGCTATTTCACTTGGCTTGGGTTTTGCTAGTTGACTTTAATTGTTTAAGTATTTATTTCTCAGTATGCTTTGTTTGTTCCTCTCTTGCTTTTGTATGTTGCTGAGGAGTGATGGCCTTTCAGCCTCCTAGTAAGAGGCTCCAAAAGTAAAGTGACCATATGTCCTCATTTGTCTTGGACAGCCCTAGGTTAGCCTGTGGTTCTGATGGCCAGTCTAAGTATCCTTTCGAGAATGTCCCAGTTGGGTGATACGACATGGCTGCCCTATCTAAAAGTGTGTTTGCTTCACTGTTGTTGGCAGACCAGGATTTAATATACTTGGGTCTTACGGGTCCCAAGACAGAAGACATCCTATCATATGTTGTTCTCTATGGGTTTACCTATAGTCTGGGAAAATTCTTCATGTTCTCTTTACTTTGCTGAGGTTGTACATCAGGGATAAGTTGTTGATTTACCTTGTGGTTAAATTTAAACTTGTGATTGGGCACCCATGTAGAACATGCCTTACGAAAGGGAGGGAATGAGAAAAGGTGGGGAGAGGTACAGCATTAGACCTACTGAATTTATTTAGAGTAACATTATGAAATTAAAGTGACAATGTCCTAGATTGTTTCAATATTTTCATTGAAAATATGGAATCCTGGGGGTTCCTCCTGCCACTCGTGTATTTGAAAGTGTTTTGGATGGTTAGCATGGATTTGAATCCCAACTTCAACCGTTACTAATTGTCCAATCATGGACAAATTGCTAAAGCTCTTCTAGCTTTCCTTTTGTATATTGAAAATGCATTAACAAATATTTAATCTCTCAAAATTTTGTGAGGCTTAAATAAAGGTAACATGTGTGGAACTAGAGAGAGGTGATGGTTGCAGAACATTGTGAGAGCACTAAATGCCACCAAATTGTAGACTTTAAAATGGTTAATTTTATTTTATGTGAATTTTACCACCAAAACATAAATTTGAAAAAGATAATGTGAAATGCTCTAATATACAGCAGGTGGTCAGCAGAAGTTCATGGCCCTATCTCTGTTATTAGCAAAGGGTCAAGGGGTCTTTCTGACAGTTTTCAATGGGGCTTGATGGTCACAGGGCCAGGCTTCCTTTTAGGCTGGGTGCTGCACAACCCTTCTGCTGCTATCTGCATTGCTGAGCAAGTGAATGGTGCCCCCCGTTAGGTGGTGCCCTGACCCTTAGTTCACAAATCTGGATGGTTGCACCAGAATCCCCTGGGTGAACTCATTACAGTGACAAAAGCACAGGTTCCACTCTTGGAGAATCAAATGCAAGAAGTCTGCAGTAGACCTCCAGGTTTTTATTTTTAACAATCTCCCTGGGTATATCTTCCACATGCTCCAGTGTGAGGATCACAAACTTAGACACTTTTATCCCTCTGTGATGTTTTCCTTTGAATCAGACTTCAGTGATCACAATGAAAGCTTCTGGCAAATTCTTTAGGATACTAATAATCATGCCTTATATTTGTACAATGCATCAAAGTGCTTTATACTTGCCAGATCCTCACATGTGTTCTCTCCAGTTTGCTAGGCAGGATTTACCATTCCCATTTTACAGATATGGAAACTGAGGTGCAGCTTTCATCCATGGTTCCATAGCTCACCAAGGGGAAACCAGAACTTGATTCCTCATCCCCTGACTTTCATCCACGGAGACCTTCCTTTCTCTGAAAATAAAATTATGCTCACTATCTGTCTAAAGCACCTTTACTTTTTTGTTACTGCTTCTTGGAGATGTAAAAATTATTATTCCATCTCTCCCTCATTTTATCCTTAAAGTATTATTTTCTTGCTCACATAGCACCATTATTCCTCTTTATTTATAGTACATTTTTTTTCACCCTTACAGAGCAGCCACAGAGGGTGGCTCTATGAGTGAATGTACATCCATAAAATGAAAGCAATATGCAGTTCTTTTTGATTGACACCTTAAAAGAAAGGAAAGGGAAAGTGTTGCCTAATACATTGAGACATGAGAAAAATAGCTCACAGAGGAGCATTTGTGTGTGTATGTGTGTGTGTGTATACGTGTCACAACAAAGTTTTGAAAGTATACTTATATATTCATGGAAGAGATACAAAATAAACTGCTGTCTGTGATGTGCCCTCTGGTAAGTTGAAAAACCATCCTTTTTTGCTCAGGACTGGGGGAGTCCTGAGAAACAAGACTTTCAGTTTTGTTTTATTTATTTATTTATTTATTTATTTATTTATTTATTTATTTTATTTAGAGACGGAGTCTTGCTCTGTTGCCCAGGTTGGAGTGCAGTGGTGCAATCTCAGCTTACTGCAACCTCTGCCTCCTGGGTCCAAGTGACTCTCCTGCCTCAGCCTCCTGAGTAGTTGGCACTACAGGCACCCACCACCACACCCAGCTAATTTTTGTATTTTTAGTGGAGACGGGGTTTCGCCATGTTGACCAGGCTGGTCTTGAACTCCTGACCTCAAGTGATCCACTTGCCTCAGCCTCCCAAAGCATTGGAATTACAGACATGAGCCACCACACCTGGCCCAAGACCTTCAGTTTTAAAATTGGGAAGGTCTTAGGAAAATAGAGACGTGTTGGTCTGCTTACCTCTGTCAGTGATGAGATTGGAGGTGTGGTGGCGGAATGGGGCATGGAGCAGAACTGCAGCCTTCTCCTTTCTTCTTTAAACAACTTCTCTAGACTTCAGGGATTTATAGCAGTTGTTTTGACCATAAGCTTTGGAATCTAACTGCCCAGGTCCAGTTTAGAAGCTGGGTGATCTTTGCAAGATACTTCCCAGCTCTGGGCATCAATTGCCCATCTGCTAAAACAGGCTTGGTCAGAATAACTTCCTCCATAGAATTCAGATAAACTAATCAATTCATATACTGAGAATATTACTTGGCACATAATAGGTACTCAGAAGTGAAAGGTGTTATCTTACCTCTGTGCTATTTGAATCTTTATAAATGGCATTTATAAACTCTATCATTTAAATCACAAAGTTTTTTGTTTTTAATTTCAGGGAAATAAAACTTAAGAAAAACCCTCTGCTACCCTGGCACCATTCTTCGGTCTAGGCTGTAACTATGTCTTGTCTGTGTGTGCGATTCTCTGTGTATCATCTGCTAAATATTTTCCACAGCTGTTCCTTTTTATTCTATTATTAAATAAATATGCTTGACTTCAATCTATCTCAGTGCTCAAAAAATAAAGCAGAGCCTCTCTTTTGTCACATGCAGGGAATAAGTCTAGTCCTCTGCATTCTTCTTATTTGCTTATTTAAACAGTTTTTTGTTTTGTCTCTGTCTTTATTCAATAGGATGGGATGTTTGGCCAAACCCCGCAAATTTCACTTGATTTCACTGCCAGCTGTGGCACTTGCCTTGTCCTGCAACCCAGAGAGGTGCTTTGAGCAAGAATCAGCAATGGAAGACAATTAACTCATTCTTGCCACCGGGTCATGTTTACCCTTCCATTGTCAAGGAAAATGACCTGTTTGCTTAACCTGAGGTCCCTGGGTTAAGCCTGTTAGTAAAAGATGCCTACTTGAAGATCAGAAATATGTGAGAATTGTTAGTCTTGGGTGTCTTAAAAGATTCCTGCCTTCAAGTCTCTATAAGTTTTCAATGGCATTGAGAAATTTAAACTTAGGAAAGTGTAACTATTTATTCAAGCTGACAAACATGTATTCTTTATAATAGGGCTGCAAACAAACCTTTATTTCATGGTTTTATTTCATTGGCTTTAAGACAGAATTGGTTACATACTTGTACTCTTAAAACCACAGTCCTATTGTTGTTTTCAGCCAACACAGATGTCACCTGTGCAAATTGCCCAACTTTTTCCTTACCTTTTCATTAACTTGTTTTTTTACCTGCTATTAAGGAGAAGGCAACAGAGCCGAGTGGTTGAGAATTCAAGTTCTGGAGACAGACTGACTGAAATCACAGCCCGACAGGGCGGTGTTAGGCAAGCTCTTTAATCTCTCTGTACTGCGGTTGCTTCATTTGTAATGATAGTAATATTTTATCTTACAGGGTCTTCAGAAGAACAAATGACATTATAAACATAAATGACTTAAAACAGTGCTTGGGCTGGGCACGGTGGCTCATGCCCATAATCCCAGCATTTTGGGAGGTGGTATTGGGAGGATCATTTGAGGCCTGGAGTTCAAGACCGGCCTGAGCAATAGTGAGATCTCACCTTTACAAAAAATTTTTAAAAATTTTAAAAATTAGGCCAGGTGCAGTGGCTTACACCTGTAACCTTAGCATTTTGGGAGGCTGAGGTGGGAGAATAACTTGAAGCAAGAGTTCCAAACCAGGCTGGGCAACCAAGTGAGAGCCCATCTCTACAGCTTTTTGGTTTTTTTTTTTTGTTTTCTTGAGACAGAGTCTTACTCTGTCACCCAGGCTGTAGTGCAGTGGCACAATCTAGGCTCACTGCAACCTCCACCTCCTGGGTTCAAGCAATTCTTCTGTCTCAGCCTCTCCGGTAGCTGGGACTGCAGGTGCATGCCACCATGCCCAGCCAATTTTTGTATTTTTTTAAAGTAGAGATGGCATTTTACTATATTGGTCAGAGTGGTCTCGAACTCCTGACCTCAGGTGATCCACCTTACTCAGCCTCCCAAAGTGCTGGGATTACAGGCGTAAGCCACCGTGCCCGCCCTACAATTTTTTTTTTTTTAATTAGCTAGACATGTGGTGTGTGGCTGTAATCCCAGCTACTCAGGAGGCTGAGGAGGGAGGATTCCTTGAGTCCAGGAGTTCAAGGCTGCAGTGAGCGATGATCATGCTACTGCACTCTAGCCTGGGAGACAGAGTGAGACCCTGTCTCAAAAACAAACAAACAAACAAACAAACAAACAGCAAACGGTGCTTGGCACATACTGAAGAAACAAGCACTAACTTCAACTATATGTGTATATGTCTTTATACCAGAGAGAGTGGGGATTTTGAAAGTCTCTGTAACAGTGGTAGGCTAATGTGTAGCCATCTCATGTTA
The DNA here is from genome assembly GCF_000001405.40 of Homo sapiens. NCBI lineage: Eukaryota > Metazoa > Chordata > Mammalia > Primates > Hominidae > Homo > Homo sapiens. The sequence continues at coordinate 69,681,731 of NC_000003.12, read as the reverse complement.
ATTTCTGCCCTTCTCCCTTACTCTCTTTTTCTGATAACCAACTTCATTTTTTGTAAGAACTGTCTCTGGTAAGCCTGCCAACCCCAGCATCCTGGGAACAGGGGAGTTCACCAGCCAATGAAGTCATTCCCCTGGATTTTACTGACATATGATAATGATAATGACAATGAGGGTAATAACTAAAATAGTAAACCTGGCCCAGTTCTAAGCAGTTTTCATATATTAACTCATTTAACCATCATGACAACACCAGGGGGTAGATGCTATGATTATCTCCATTTTATAGATGAGGTTCAAAGAGATTCAGCAGCTTGCTCAAAATCACGCATCTGGTCAAGTAGAAATGTTAGGAGGTCTTTTTTCTTCCCACTACCCAATACCGCCTTGCCAGTTTTGTACCCCCTTCATCTGGGGTCCCTCAGCTGGTGATGGAAGCCTGGAGCTGTAAGAGGCTGTCTGCTGCCTTCTTCTCCTGCCACACAGTGAAAGGGCACCTATAAGAGGCAAGAATCAGGCCAACATACGGAGGAGAGCAAAGAGAGTGAGGGGGAGAGACGCAAAGAGAGGAGGGAAAGGTGGTGGGGATAGAGAGAGAGAATATCTTGACAACATCGTCTGAGTTCCTGAAATCAATCCCTAAGGTCAACTCTACCCCCGGGCTTCCCAAATTTGTGAGATAATGAATCTTCTCCTCACCCTCCTTTTAAAAACCAAAGTGGTCTGATTCTATCCCTTGCAAACAAAAGAATCCTGATTAAATTAGTTAACGAAACATGGGTTTTATTTGGTTCTGTTTTCTGTTGTGATAAACGCACGTAAAATTTACCATTCAAAATATTGTGCAACCACCACACTACCTAGTTCCAGAATATTTTCGTCATCCCAAAAGGAAACTCTGTACCTATTAAACAATAACTTTCCATACCTACCTGCCCCTCAGCCTCTGGCAAACACTAAGCTCCTCTATTTCTCTATGGATTTGCCTATTTTTGATATTTTATATAAATAGAATCATACAATGTGTGTCCTTTCATGTCTAGCTCCTTTTATTTAGCATAGTGTTTTCAAGGTTCCTCCATGTATCAACACTTCATTCCTTTTTATGTCTGAATAATATTCTTGTATGGATATACCACATTTTGTTTATCCATTCATCACTTGATAGACATTTGGGTTATTTCCACCTGTTGACTATTGTGAATATTGCTGTGAACATTTGGATACAGTATTTGTTTGAACACCTGTTTTTAATTCTTTTGGGCATACATGCAGGAGTGGAATTGTTGGCTCATATGGTAATTCTATGTGTAATTTATTGAAGAACTGCCCAACTGTTTTCCACAATGGCTACATTATTTGACCAGCAATGTAGAAATATAGCTATTTTTAGATGTAAGGAAAGAAAATAAAATTCCACAAAAGATCTTGTGGAAGTATTGGTTTCTTGTAAAGGTTTTGGGGGTGCTTCGCAGCACACACACACATGGATTCATGATGCAATGTTTAAGCATTTCCTTCTACAGAGTTATCACCCAAGCTTTACAGTTGGTATAAAAGAGAAACAAATTCACCTGCAGTGCTCAAAAAGCTTGTGATAGAATAGAGGCTGCAATCAAATTGCCCCCTTGCTAAAAAAAATTGTTATACATAGGCAATTTCATATGATACAACCTAACATATAAGCAGTTATTAAAGGTAACATGATTTTAAGACTGCGATAGTGTGCTATTTTCATTTAATTTTATAGCCTAATATATATATTGAATTAAGGACCCATTTAATCAGCCAACAAATATTTTTGCAGGAAAGGTATTCCCAAACTGTGCTAGATAGGGTGCAAAGCTCTATAATACAGACCTGATGAGTTTACTCAGTCTGATATAAATCTGAAGCAGTAGCCCCAGCCCCCAGGAATATTCATTAGTGACCACAAGAAGAGAAATTTGCTGAAATTTTAAGTGTCTGTCTCTACATTACTGGATCAGAATGTCATTTTTATTATTCTCTTTTTACTCTTTTGTATCTTCCAAGTTTTTCTAGAATGAATTTGCATTACTTTGTTAGAAAAAAAAATCTTTTACAAATATGTTCACTTGGGCAAGCTATAGAAGGAGCAAAAAACCCAATTAATTTGTGGTACACCTAAATGAACATTTTTGTATTGTTAAGATAATCTTTTATAACTAAAGGTGAGTGTTTTGAGCGATTTTTTGTTCAGCCTGAATCTAATTGCTAAGTTATTTCTTAACATTTCTCACTCACGCCTGTAATCCCAGCACTTTGGGAGGCCGAAGCAGGTAGATCACCTGAGGTCGGGAGTCCGAGACCAGCCTGACCAACATGGAGAAACCGCATCTCTACTAAAAATACAAAATTAACTGGGAGTGGTGGCGCATGCCTATAATCCCAGCTATTGGGGACGCTGAGGCAGGAGAATTGCTTAAACCTGGGAGGCAGATGTTGTGGTGAGCTGAGATCACGCCATTGCACTCCAGCCTGGGCAACAAGAGTGAAACTCCATCTCAAAAAAACAAAAACAACAAAAAACAAAAAAAAAGTGTCTCAAAACTATGGCATTGATATATCCCAGTTTCAAACATTTGTTTTTATTATCTCCGTTTTTGTATATTTTAATATCTTCTTACTCTGATGCACATAAAATTATTGCTTTCAAGAACGTCTTGATTCCACTTAAAGTCCTTAAAATAAATCAGACTGTGTAGACTAAGGTCTTGTTAGACACCGTTAATAAAAAGTTTGCTCTTGGAAATGTGCGTTTTATTTGGTTTTCCAGATTCCTATTGTGTCCGGAATTGGTGGGTTCTTGGTCTCACTGACTTCAAGAATGAAGCCGCAGACCCTCGCGGTGAGTGTTACAGCTCTTAAGGTGGCGCGTCTGGGGTTTGTTCCTTCTGATGTTCGGATATGTCCGGAGTTTCTTCCTTCTGGTGGGTTCGTGGTCTCGTTGGCTCAGGAGTGAAGCTGCAGACCTTCGCGGTGAGTGTTACAGCTCTTAAGGTGGCATGTCTGGAGCTGTTCGTTCCTCCCGGTGGGCTCGTGGTCTCGCTGGCTTCAGGAGTGAAGCTGCAGACTTTCGTGGTGAGTGTTACAGCTCATAAAAGCAGTGCGGACCCAAAGAGTGAGTAGCAGCAAGATTTATTGCAAACAGCAAAAGAACAAACCTTCCACAGTGTGGAAGGGGACCCAAGTAGGTTGCCACTGTTGGCTTGGGCAGCCTGCTTTATTCTCTTATCTGGCCCCACCGACATCCTGCTGATTGGTAGAGCCGAGTGGTCTGTTTTGACAGGGTGCTGATTGGTGCGTTTACAATCCCTGAGCTAGATACAAAGGTTCTCCTCCTCCCCATCATATTAGCTAGATACAGAGTATCCACACAAAGGTTCTCCAAGGCCCCACCAGAGCAGCTAGATACAGAGTGTCCATTGGTGCATTCACACACCCTGAGCTAGACACAGGGTGCTGATTGGTGTGTTTACAAACCTTGAGCTAGATACAGAGTGCCAAGTGGTGTATTTACAATCCCTGAGCTAGACATAAAGGTTCTCCAAGGCCCCACCAGAGCAGCTCGATACAGAGTGTCGATTGGTGCACTCACAAACCCTGAGCTAGACACAGGGTGCTGATTGGTGTGTTTACAATCCCTGAGCTAGACATAAAGGTTTTCCAAGGCCCCACCAGAGCAGCTAGATACGGAGTGTCGATTGGTGCACTCACAAACCCTGAGCTAGCCACAGGGTGCTGATTGGTGTATTTACAATCCCTGAGCTAGACATAAAGACTCTCCACGTCCCCACCAGACTCAGGAGCCCAGCTGGCTTCACCTAGTGGATCCCGCACCGGGGCTGCAGGTGGAGCTGCCTGCCAGTCCCACGCGGTACGCTCACACTCCTCAGCCCTCAATGGGACTGGGCGCTGTGGAGCAGGGGGTGGTGCTCGTCGGGGAGGCTCCGACCGCACAGGAGCCCATGGAGTGGGTGGGAGGCTCAGGCATGGCGGGCTGCAGGTCCCGAGCCCTGCCCCAAGGGAAGGCAGCTAAGGCTCTGTGAGAAATCGATTGCAGCGCCGGTGGGCTGGCACTGCTGGGGGACCCAGCACATCCTCCGTAGCCGCTGGCCAGGGTGCTAAGTCCCTCATTGCCCGGGGCCAGCAGGGCTGGCCGGCTGCTCCGAGTGCGGGGCCCGCCAAGCCCACGCCCACCCGGAACTCCAGCTGGCCCGCAAGCGCCGCACGCAGCCCCGGTTCCCGCTCGCGCCTCTCTCTCCACACCTCCCTGCAAGCTGAGGGAGTGGGCTCCGGCCTTGGCCAGCCCAGAAAGGGGCTCCCATAGTGCAGCGGTAGGCTGAAGGGCTTCTCAAGTGCCACCAAAGTGGGAGCCCAGGCAGAGGAGGCACCGAGAGCGAGCTAGGGCTGTGAGGACTGCCAGCACGCTGTCACCTCACTATTCCTTGAGAGTAAAAAGTAATTAAAAAGCTAAAGAAGTGCTTCTGGGGTAGAATCTTGTAGTATAAATACATTTAAACATATATGCTTTCTTTATATATTTATTAAGGGGCAGCCACGTGTCAGGAACCATACACTGGTTAACTCTTGCAATCCTCATAATAATACAGTAAAGCAGGATTTAATTCTCTGTTATACATGAGAAATTGAAGTCTTCAGCAACTTCTAATGCAATTTCTTCCCTAAGATTATACAGCTGGTGCAGGGAAAGAGCAAGATTTAAAGTCAAATTAATCTTGTGTATTCCCAAACTGATGCTTTCTCCACTATATTTCTTTAATAGAAGAATGAATAAAAATATATTTTAAATTATATCGTGATGTTTCAACCTCAGCATAATTGACATTTTGGGCCAGATAGTTTGTTGTTGTGGGGGCTGCCCTGTGCATTGGAGGATGCTCAGCAGCATTTCTGGCCTCCATCTGCTAGATGCCAGCAGTGTCCTCCACTTATAACCACCCAAAATGTCTCCAGATAGCGCCAAAGGCCTGTGGGGAGCAAAATAATCACCGGTTAAGAGCCATATACTAAATCATATTCACATTTTTCAGAAGTAAAAATGATCAGTTTTGAATTTTCATAAATATGATGTAAGGAATTTCCCAAATAAAGCCTGCTGGAAAAAGTCTATGGGTATGTCAACATGAAACAAATAGAACCAGATATTAGAGATTTGACAATAATTGGTCTGCTGCAGACAGAACAATGAGGTAATTTAGACTCCAGAGCGGCCACCTGCCAACTTTCTCCTTCACTCACCACCCTGCCTCTGGAATAATAGCACTAAAAGAGCTATGTCATATTTATACAAGGAAAGAAGACTTTCCTTTATAACATAAAGGATAGCACAGTCCTCCAGAAACATTAAATCAAATGAGACAAAAACCCAGAAAAGCAGCCAGCCAGTGAACAGCTTTTTAGAAGTGCCAGCTCCATGGTGGTCATTGTTCTAGACCCTGGGGATACCTCAAGGAAAAATAAACAATGGACTCCTTTATGAAGTTTGAAGTCTAATGAGGAAGACATTAAGCAAAAAAAATTACAAGCATGTGTAATTAAACAATTACATGTATGCACGGGCCTGCAAAGTATTCATCTTTGTTCTATTTTTTGATGCCAGGCCAAAAAGCACACTTGATCACTGTGCTTATTATTAAGCCATTATCTCTAAGTTCCAAATCCATCTCTCTCTATTCTGTCCTCGGGTTACACACAAACTGCATTTCCCAGGTGCCGTTGTCAGGGGCCTTCCTATTGGATCCAGTTAACAGGAAGCATAGAGGGAGCTTGGAAGTCAAGCAAAAGTGAGAAGGAAGCAGGAGGCCCTCAAGACGGGATTGCCTTCTGCCCGCTTGGTTAAGAATCTGCACCAGCCCAGCAGCAGCATCTGGCTCCAGGCTCCAGCCCCTCCCAGGAGCAGCCTCAGGCCCCCTCAAAGGAGCCCTCACAGAGTTGTTCCCTCATTTCTGAGCTCCTACAACCCTAATAACCTCAAACTTCCCTTTTGTTTCACCAGCTCTAGGGGTGAAAATTGGATCGTCTTAAGTGTCTACACTTTTTGCTTTTTTTTTTTTTTTTCAGACAGAGTCTTGCTCTGTCGCCCAGGCTGGAATGCAGTGGTACAATCCTAGCTCACTGCAAACTCCGCCTCCTGGGTTCAAGAGATTCTCATGCCTCAGCCTCCCGAGTAGCTGGGATTACAGGCGCTTGCCATCATGCCAGGCTAATTTTTGTATTTTTAGTAGAGATGGGGTTTCGCCATGTTAGCCAGATTGGTCTTGAACTCCTGACCTGAGGTGATATGCCTGCCTCGGCCTCCCAAAGTGCTGGGATTACAGGCATGAGCCACCACCCCGGCCCACTTTTTGCCTTTTAAGTTCTGCAGTGTCTGTGTACTAATACCCTATACTAAATCTCCTCTATTAAAATACCTAGTGTGTTTTCTGTTTTCCTTCCTGATATATGATTTCACTCTGAGCCTAGCTCTATCCAAAAAGTAGAAGCACAGCTATTCTTTCTGTTAATGAAGGCAGGAGAAGGTATTGGGTTTGGCTTTGCTATTTAAGAGGGCAACTTCAAAAGACAGAATTGGTAGAAAATGGCAACACTTGTCTGGGGACAAAGCAGCAACCAAGACAAAGTCCCTGCCCCAGTAAAGCTCATTATATAGTGGGAGGACCCAGAAAATAATCAAAGACACAAATACGTCACATGGTTGGGCAGGGCGTATTAGTGTCCTGTGGCTGCTGTAATGAATGACCACAAACTGGGTGGATTACAGCAACAGAAATGTATTCTCTCACAGTTCTGCAGGCAAGAAGTCTGAATTAAGGAGTCATCAGGGCCATGCACCCTCCTTCCTTGCCTTTTCCAGCTTCTGGTGGCTCCAGCTGTTTCTTGGTTTCTGGCCACATAACGCCAATCTCTGCTTCACCTTCACATTGCTTTCTCCTCTTCTCTCTGTGTCTCTGGTAAGGATACTTGTCATGGGACTAAGGGTCCATCTCATTAATCCAAGATGATTTAATTTTGAGATCCTTAGCTTAATCTGCAAAAACTTTTTTTTTCCCAAAAGAAGATTACATCTACAAGTTCCAGGGATTAAGATGCAGACATATCTTTTGGGGGACCACATTCAACCTGCTATCCACAGTAGGGAAGTAGAGTGGTGGGGGCCGGCGTAAGGTGAGCAGTTTTATATAAGGCGGTCAGGTGAAGACTCCGTGAGCACAAGGAACAGCCATGGGGATATGGGAGGAGATTTTCAGACAGAGGGAGGAGCAAGCGCTGAGGGCCTGGTCTTCTTCCACTCTCCTGCTCTCCCACTGCATCTTAAATTCAACATCTGTTTCTGCCTCATGGCTTTTTGCACTTTCCTTTTGCTGTTTCCTCTGCGTGGAACTCTTTTGCATGCGTCTTACAAAAGTGGTCCCTTCTTAGCACCCAGATCACTGTTTAAAGGTGGTGCAGGCCTATAATCCCAGCTCCTTGGGAGGCTAAGGCAGGAGCATCACTTGAGGTCAGGAGTTCAAGGCTAGCCTGAGCAACATAATGAGATCCTGTCTCAAAAAACAAACAAACAAACAAAAAAACAGGAAAAGAAAAGATCTCCTCCTTCAGGAATCCATCTGTGGCCACTCTTTACGAAATATGCCCACCCCAATGTAGCAGAAACCTATCATGCCCTGCTTCCCACCCCCTAAGCCCACGTCTGACTTCAGCCGAAGCTGAAGTGGACCTTTTGTGCCCTCAACCTTGCTTTGTGCTTGCAGCATCCTGCCCCAAGCTTGCACCTCCTCCTCCTTCTTTCTGTGTCAGTGCTGTCTCCCTGACTGTGTGTGGACCTCTCATCCTGCTAGGAGTTAATGGCCCTGGGGTCTGGATGGGTTGATAAATGCCCCATGTTTCTCGAGGGGACAATCTGGCAAGTATTTGACATATTCCTTTCTCCTCTCTCAAGATTGTGAGTGCTGTGAGGGCAGGAACTCTCTTACTTCACATATCTAGTTGCCATCTGTTGAGTATTCCCACGTGCTTGGTTATTTCAGTGACTCTTTTAATAATGTGGAATTTAAAATCCACATTTCATAGATGAAGAATTGGAGTCTTCTCCAAAACCATATCTCAAGATCATCCCTAGTAAATGAAACTTAAAATCAGGTGTTTTGGATTTCCAAGTCAATGCCTTTTTCACTCCTTAATACTTGCTTTCCCTGAGTAATGAAACAGAATTTTCAACATTAGCCATCAAATAAAACTTGATAAATTTAGTAGGGGCTGGATTTCTCTTATGAAACCATTTTTCCTAAATAGAGAATGAGGGCCAGGCATGGTGGCTCATGACTGTAATCCCAGCACTTTGGGAGGCCAAGGCGGGCAGATCGCTTTTGAGCTCATGAGTTCAAGGCTATCCTGGGCAACATGGTGAAACCCTGTCTCTACAAAAAACACAAAAATTAGCTGGGTGTAGTGGTTCACACCTGTAGTCCCAGCTACTTGGGGGGCTGAGGCAGGAGGATTGCTTGAGCCCAGGAGGTGGAGGGTGCAGTGAGCTGAGATTGTGCCACTGCACTCTAGCCCGGGCAACAGAATGAGACCTTGTGTTAAAAAATAAAATAAATAAATAATAAAAAATAAAAAAATAGTGAATGGGAATGAATGTTTATCAAGCATCTACCTTAACATTATCTAATTTCCTCACTAAGTACATAATAGAAGATGTACTCTCTAAACCCTTATATTTACCTGAAAGCCTTTGATTTCACACAGAAGCATTTTCTTCTGCTTTTGATAATCGAAGATTGTTGGTAAAAATCTGAACTCATCGAAGGTCACACAGCTCAGTTCCCTTCAGGAAAATCAGGCCCAGTGAGGATAATACCAATAACATCATCAGACCAATTGAAGGAATTACACTGCAGTGGGTCACAAGGGTGCTGCTAGTCATTAAGTGATTCCCAATAAGTTCATTCACAGCAAGTCCAAATTACACTTACTGTGGCTCTTAAGTTTAGTAATAGTTTTGACCTCTGCTCTGATACCCTCATCTAAACTAATATTTACAGGTATCAGGCACACTGCCTGTGATTTTTTACCCACTTTAAATTATCCTCACAACAACCCCTGTGAATTCTATGCCATTAGTATCATCATTTAATAGCAGAATCACAGAAAGTCTGAACTTTTTGGGAGCATGGAGAGAAGTTATAGGCCACTTTAGAAATCTGATGAAAGCTTAGGGATGCCTTAGGAACAAAAATGTGTATAACCACATGATACAAACTCATACACAACCCATATACTTTCAAGGGGGTGTTCATGAACTTCCTAAGTCCACACATGAGGTTATATATGAACTTGAAGTTAAATCTTGAGTACAAAACTCAGGGTCACCACCATCAGTAGCTTGCATGGGGTCACCTAACTGATAAGGAGCTAGGTATGTTGGAACTCACATCTGTTTAAGTAGACTCCATCGAACACCCTATGGCATCCCAAGCGGTGACAGTCAATTGAAACCCACACACACTTAAATTAAAATAGAAAGCAAGCTCTTGTAAAGACTGCAGGATGCTAACTTTAAGGAAGATCATCACAGCTGTTAGTAAAACCCCATTAACCCTGGGGAAAGTGCATTTGCTTTCCAACTCAGGGAAGATCTGAAATCGGGAAAAGTCCAGTCCAGAATATTCACGCCAACCCGTTTGGCTGGGGCTTATCCCATAGAAGGGCAGCCAGCATGGCCATCAGGTACAATTCCCGGCTTTGCCTCCCCATCTGTGGACCCATCATCACAGGAACAGTCAACTCCCTTTGCTGTTGTGCTGTGACCCATCATCACAGGAACAGTCAGCTCCCTTCACAGTTCTCTGTGGCCTGAACACCAGCCAAGTCCTGTGCTGCTGCCGACCATGTCTGCAGTAGATGCAGACTAGGACACACTAAAGGCTATGGTCAGCATCAGGCTCTGGGTTAGTGCTGAGCAAAGGCAAGTCTCATATTTTAGACTTGTCAGTTCTTATTAGCTCCACATGGAGTGAAGGGAGAGTGCTGTGATGGGCACTTGACCAAGCAAATTAAGCTAATTTAGCCCTAATCTAGTAAACTGCAGAGAGGGTAGAGCTCCAGGCTCTTTAATTTGCTGCTTTATTCCCATGCAGACGATTAAACGATAACGATGATCTTTTTTAATGAGGATTTTTTAAAAATCTGGAATTGGAATTTTTTCAGCACAATAGAGAAACCGTTCATTCAGTTGTTCTAATACCTTGAAATTTTACTTATAATACATTAATTTTCAAACATAATTTGAATCTGAATCCCAGATTTTACATGAATTTGAATAACAGAGGAATTTGGAACACCTAAATTATATTTTTGACAAGAAATGAGTCCAGGGTTGCATTTTGGGAATATACCAGCAGATGGCAATGTCTGACAAAGAGTTTTGCTAGTTTCTACCTTCCTTCCCCTCATCCATCTTCCCAAAAGTTGTTTTCAAAAGCCATAGCAAATATATGCAAAAATATAGGCACTCTTCACTTCTTATAAGTGCACACTGCAGCTGACACTAATTGTTTCAGTCCTTTGGAAAAGCAAAATTAAATGATTATTTTGAATTGCTTTTCTAAAAATCCCAGTGGGTTTATTTCAATAAATCAATCATAATTATAGATTAAGGTAATAGAAATGAATTTGCATCACTAAAAATCATTAAAAAAAATGACCGGGTGTGGTGGCTCACACTTGTAATCTAAGCACTTCGGTAGGCCAAAGCAGGCAGATTGCTTAAGGCCAATAGTTCGAGACCAGTGGGCACCATAGGGAGACCCTATCTCTTAAAAAAAAAAAATTATGGATGGAACGGTGGTGATTCATCACTTCTTTTTGCCTCATGAATTTCCAATATCATTAGATTTTGCTTTTATTCATGTGTGCCAGGCACTAAATTACAATCTATTTGCCTGGTATCTTCCTTTCCTGATAACCGAGTACTGATCAACGAAAAAAATATTCAAGTGGTTAGAAGAAGAAATTTAGAGTTTACCAGTTCTGGCTAGAACCCCAGTTTTACTTATCCTGAATATAAAACTATTCCTACTTATTTTTCATACCACCTTCTGTTTATATGTCTGTCTATTTTAAATTATGTCTCATGAACTGTGCTTTTATACATAATATATACATATATTTACATATATATTACAAAATAACACTATTTTATTTAACAAATATCTCAGGTCCTGTGCTAGGAATTGAGGATCCAGTGGAAAGGAAGCCAAGTCCTTGCCTCTATGAAGCTTGCATTCTGGCAAGGACAGGCACACAAGAAACATATATACAAATAGTACAAGTTTCAGAAGTGATCATTGTTATAAAGAAAATAAAGAAGGGTAATGAATTGCACAGGCAAATGGAGGTGGTCTGGCTGAGCCTTTTAGAGTTGTTGACTTCTGAGGTGAATCCTGAATGATAATGCGAAAGAGAAATGGCCAGATGTGGTGTAATCCCAGCACTTTGGGAGGTGAAGGCAGGCAGATTGCTTGAGCCTAGGAGTTCGAGACCAGCCTGGGCAACAGGGCAAAACCCAGACTCTACCAAAAATTAGCTGGACATGGTGGCGCATGCCTGTGGTCCCAGCTACTTGGGAGGATCACTTGACCCAGGGAGGTCAAGGGTACAGTGAGCCATGATCTAGCAATTGCACTCCAGCCTGGACGACAGAGCAAGAACTTGTTTCAAAAAAAAAAAAAAAGAATGAGAAATTGGTGATATGATCTGGGAGAAGAACATTCTAGGCTGAGGAACAGCAAATGCAAAGGCACCAAGGCAGGAAGGAACTGGGGATAATTAGGCAAGTTAAGGGGTTCTCTGTGGCCCACCCTATTGAGTGGGTGACAGTGACAGGAGATGGGGTTAGAGAGAGGGGCAGAGGCCAGATCATGTAGGGCCTAGAGGCCAAAATTGAGGAATCTGAACCAACTACAAGTGCATGGGGAGACATTGAAGATTTAAAGCAGAGGACAGAGGAGTGACAGTGTTCAAATTACTCTTTTACAAGATTTCTTCATGGAGTATGATTATTCCCATTTTATAGTTAAAGAAACTGAGATTTACAATAATTAAACAATTTGCCAGAGATCACTCAGCTTGGAAGGGGTGAACTAACATAGGCCAAAAGCTTCATTCATGTGTGCAACAACCATTTAGTAAAAGCCTACTTTGAGATCCACACTAGTAGCTATGAAGAATACACAGAGATGTTATCCTTACCTTTTAGTTTTAAAATCTAGTCAAAGAGATACGATAGATTCAGAAAGAGGGCACGTTTAAAAAAAAACAAAACTAGAATGTATCTGTTGATACAAATGACTAAAGAAATAACTGGATTAACTGGAATGCAACCATTAGCTCTGCCAAAGAAAACAATGTCCCATTCAGGATTTTAGAAAATGTACAGTGACAGACACGCCTCACAGTGACTCCCAATGCTCCATACCTTATATAATTTCCTCTCCTTTAGCAAATCCAGGATGTGTGACTTGTTTCTAACCAATAAATATGGCAACAGTAATGAGATGTCAACTTTGTGATAATGTTTTATTACATAAGAATCTGTCCTAGTAAAATGGGGAGAGCTTGTCCTTTGAAGAAGGACACTGCCATAATTTTTACAGCTGAGTAATAATGAGTACTGCCAACAACCTTCACAGCTTGGAAGCCATTTCTTTCCCACTTGAGCCTCTGATGACACCTCAGCCCCAGCCAACCCCTCCATTGCTTAACTCCAAACCAGTTAAGCCATGCTCAGATTATGACACACAGAAACTGAGATAATAAAGCATGGTGGGTTTTTTTGTTTGTGGGCACTGGAGTGCCGTGGTGCAATCTCCACTCACTGCAACCTCCGCCCCCTGGGTTCAAGCAATTCTCCTACCTCAGCCTCCCAGGTAGCTGGGATTACAGGCATCTGCTACCACACCCAGCTAATTTTTGTATTTTTATTAGAGATGGGGGTTTCCATGTTGGCCAGGATGGTCTCAAACTCCTGACCTCATGATCAGCCCATCTCGGCCTCCCAAAGTGCTGGGATTACAGGCATGAACCACTGCCCCCAGACAAAGCATGTTGTTTTAAGTGGCTAAATTGGTAATTTGTTATACAGCATAGAAAACTAACGCATGTAACAATTTTCAGAAAACGCCTTGGGGCTCTTGCAGTTTCACCTCACCCTCATCTGTACCTCTTGCTACTTGACTATGAACCCATGTTGCACAATCCTCAGGTAGGAAGGCCCAGAGGCCACAAGACAAATAGAAAATTCATTATATTCTGAAGAAGAAACCATTGGGAAAGATATTCCAGAAACAATTATAGAAACAAGTGAACCAAAAACTTTTTTGCCTGAGTCTGAGATTACCAGGAATTTGAATAACATGAGCCCTCCATTAACAAAGCATTGTACTACTGAAATTGTTGTTCAAAGTATCAAGTAGTGTTCCCCAAAGTATATTGGGTAGAACACAAGTCCCTAGTGTGCTGAGAAAAGAAAAGATGGGACAACTTCATAATATGCCCTTTGCTGGAAGTTGTCAATGCAGACTTGCATGTTAAAGGCCTGCACAAAATATACCCCATTATAACCCGTTTAATCAAGAATTTCCGAAATGTAACCTGGAAGCCCCTCTTCGTTTTTCAGTTATTGCCTGTATTGACAGGCAGAACCAGTGTTCCTTAGAACATATCTTGGGAAATGCTAGTGAAAGGCACAGATGAGAAGTTAAGGTCACTGGAGTGAGAGGAGTTTCATAATCTTTAGTTAGAAAGTAAACATCTCCATGAACTGGTTAAAATAAATAATTTAAAATGTACTGAAATTATTCTTTATTACTTCATCAAACGGTTAAAGAATTGAACATTAGGTTACTCAGTGTTATGATAATAAGTTGGTTCCAAGTAAGGTAGATTCAACTCTACAGAGAATGACTTCTAGGATTATTTTTGAAACACTTACATAGGATTAACTTTGTGCCAAGCATTATTCTAGGTACTTTACAAACATTAAAACCTCTAAGGTGCATACTATTATTTGCCCCATCTTACAGATTTAAAAAAACAAAATAAAAATACAACAAACAACTGAGGTACATATGTAATTTTTCCATCGTTATGTAGCTGGAAAGTGGCAGAACTAGGATTTAAACCTGTGCAGTGCAGGCATAAAATCCAGTCCTACAACTCCTTTATGAGGCATCCCCTGCTGGGCTGCTGTCTACTACAGAATCATTAAGATGATGCTGTATCAGTAGAAGTGCCAACTTCCAGTAAATGAGAAAAACTAAAGTAAAAAAAAATCAGAATGAAACCTTGTACTATTCTATATTTATTTTAAAAATAAAAATACGGCCTGGGTGTGGTGGCTCACGCCTGTAATCCCAGCACTTTGAGAGGCTGAGACGGATGAATCACTTGAGGTCAGGAGTTGGAGTCCAGCCTGACCAATATGGTGAAACCCCATCTCTACTAAAAATACAAAAATGAACTGGGAGTGGTGTGCCTATAATCCCAGCTACACGGAAGGCTGAGACAGGAGAACTGCTTGGACCCAGGAGGTGGAGGATGCAGTGAGCCAAGATCACACCACTGCACTCCAGCCTGGGCGACAGAGCAAGACTCCGTCTAAAATAAAATAAAATAATAAAATAAAATAAAATAAATAAAATAACAAAAATATACGTACTATATATGCTCTCACAAAATCATGCATTAACTTTTTCTATTTTTATTTGTATTTTCTAAATTTGTCTTCAATGAACATATGCAAATTTTAAAAAGGTTTTAATTTTGTATGAGAGAAAAATTTTAAAATAGTGTATGCATAATGAATACTACACTAAATATCTAATCTAGTCATCATTCAGAACTAACAATGTCAACACTTTGTCATATTTGCTTTGGATTATTTGATGAAAATAAATAATGTATGTATTACTTCTCCATTATTCAAATATTACATGTTCATTGCAGAAAAAATGAATATATAGAAAATTAAGAAAAAAATTAAAAGAAAAAATCTACTTTAACCAAACCTCTCATGGGCAACTACTGTTTTCATCTTGACAAGTAACTCAACTTTTATCTATATATAATCCACATATTAAAAAATAAAAGCAAAAATTTAGTACTGTTTCATAACTTAGTTTTAAATTTTATTTTATTTTGAACATTTTTCTGCTTTGATACTAAGTAAAAAATAAAATCCTTAAAATAAAAAAAATGTGATTTTTAGCATCTAGATCCATACAGTCCAATATGATAGTCACTTGCCACATGTAGCTACTAAGCACTTGAAATGTGGCTTGTCTGAATTGAGATGTGCTGTGTCATATGCTCTGGATTTCAAAGACTTGATACCAAAAAAAATGCACAAATCTCATTAATAATTTTTGTATTGATTACATGATGAAAGATCATTTTAATATATTTTGTATTATAATATATTGGTATTATATTAATGCATATTAATATTATGATACATTAATATATAGTATTATTAAAATTATTGAAATTAATTTCATTCTGTCTGTTTCTCTGTTTCTCGTTACTTTGTTTAATGTAGCTGCTATAACACTGAAAATTATATATGGCCCCCCTTCTATTTCTCTTGGACAGTGTCCCGCTCATATACATTCATGGCACCTTCAGTTCTGCTTCTTCTCTTCAGTTCCTCTTCAGCAGTAAAAAATAATGTGGAAAGAATAACCCCATTTCCTGATTCCAGGTCTGCCTAGGTCACCTCCACCCTGAGGTGCAGTATGTGCATGTGTGGCTGACCTAGAAAACTCTGGGTCTGAAACCTTCCAAAGGGTCTAGCAAACGTACAGAAAGCTTTCCGGTGTCCTGAGCTCCTCACTTGTTTTCTCCTTAGAGGCTTTAAGCTCCCTGAGGATAAGACCTTGTCCAGCTTCCTTCCAGGACCCATAAAAACATGTCATACTTTTAAGGCCCCCAATAGAGATTGGGTCAGTTCATCTTCAGAGTAAGTAAAGAGTTAAAAACACAGACTGAAAACTCCTCAAGGGGTTTTGTTATTTCATTAGGCCTCACTTGAGGCCATAGCACACCAGAATCAATCCTTCCTGCTCCATGTCTCCACCAGGGCAGACAATATTAGTGTGAGACATGGAATATCAGCTTACAATTGTGTAACATATGGGGTCTTACTGCCTATTTCTGGCTACTCCCTCTGCCCAGGAATGAAATTGAAGTGAAGGCTGTGTCAAAACCTGGGGAAGCCCAGAGCTCATGATCCCACCCTAGAGCACTATCGGATTTATGCTTCCTGCAATTCACACTATTTCCTTTCCACACCCAGCAAACTTCCTAGGGTGCCCATGGGCAGGTGACAGCCAGCTAAACCTCCTTCCTGCAATGTGTCCTCGTTTCCCAGGAACCAGAGGCAAATAAATACCCCGATGTTTGCTATGAAACGGGCTCTGGGGAGCAGACAGAAAGCTCCTGAGCCTGCTAGATCTTGATTAACATCCCTGCAGCTGCCAAGCCACTTACTCACTGTCTCCCTTAGACATAATACAAATAAGCACTTCACACTTGGACAGCCCTCACAATTACTGCACAGTGACTCCCAGGGTGAGATTGGTAGCAGAATTTCTGTCACTTCCCAGTGAATTAGGGGGAAAAAACTACATACAGCATGATTTTTTTTATAAATCAGAATTTAATCCATTGAAAGCATTGTACTTTATCTTTTTTCAAAAAATACTAAGATGTCCTTACTTTTATGAAATAATTATCATAATAAGCAGCAGGTATGTGTGTTTCTAGTGTCTTTATTGACAGCCTCATGTCAGACCTCAAATATGGGTAGCATCATAAATTGTCCAAACACACAAATGTCTAGGAATCACTAATCCAAGCTTACCCTCAGGGGCAGCTTCCATAACTTAATGCAAAAAGGTCCTATAGGTTTTCTATGAAAAAGACATGACCTTGGATTTCCTTAACATTCCAAACTCTTGAAAATAGAAATTGCCCTTCCGTCCTCCCATCTTATTCCCACAGGCTGTCCAACAGTGCCAGGGACATGAAGGTTCTCAGCGCATACATGTGGACTTGTATAATGTAGTAACAACAATTGCTCGTGCTTTAGAACCGTATTTGATATATTAATTTGCCTCTAATTCTAATTGAACATTGTGCTACAGATTCCAGAAAAGAGAGATTCAGAGTGCAGAAGGAATAACAATGCCTTTTATGTGTAACTTGTATCATAAGATATTCTGTACTAAAAATCCTGTATGTGTAAATAGCAAAATAAAGATACAAAGTCTAGAAATAACAAAACCCCTTGAGGAGTTTTCAGTCTGTGTTTTTAACTCTTTACTTACTATAAAGAGGAACTGACCCAGTCTTTATTGGGGGCCTTAAAAGTATGACATATTTTTGTGGGTCCTGGAAGGAAGCTGGACAAGGTCTCATCCTCGGGGAGCTTAAAGCCTCTAAGGAGAAAACAAATATGAGCCCGGAAATATCACTCAAATGGGATATGTTTGATGTGGAGAGATGGGCTGGATTTGAATTCAGAAAACTCCCGGACAAAGTTATCTAATTTTTTTTTAAAGGGAGATTTCAAGTGAATATCTAATTAGTTACCAGAAGAAAATAGGAGGGGAAAAAAAGACATTTTGAAGTGGGGTATGGATCTGTAAAAAAGAGGGACTAAGGATTAGCAGAGGTTTCCATTCGTATCTCGCTCTCCTGATCGGGAACTTTCTAAGAGAACCCAGAGTTATATTCAGATTTTAGTTTCAAAATCCTGAGTGAATGAAGAATCCTGCCCAGATGTGGGTGGATACCTTTGTACAAACCTTCAGAACAAAAGGCAACTAGGGCAAGCCAGTTGGAAAGGACTGTCCCTTGTAGTAACCATTATAACCATCACTTCTTTGCACTTGAGGAAAAGAAGCATGTGACCTAAAGCCAGGGAGAGCCACCAGCTTAATTCCCAAAAAAGCAGCATTGAGAAGAATTTCATTAGGCAGGATATGTTAAACGAACAAACAAATAAACATTGCCCATATACTTAGATACATAACAGTTAGGGAGTTTTTGTGGAAGTTAATCCCATTTTCCTGCATTCATGCTCAGTAATGATGATGTTTGGGAAATAATGGAATGATATTGACATAAGGTGACTTCTTAGACCTACCTAGTACCATCCATGAAAGACTTTGATGTCTCCTGGTTTCTATCAGAAAGCTCATGGAGTTTATTTAATTAGTTTGCTTTTTCTTATCAGAGTGATGGGCTAATGAGAAAAGAAGAAAAAATAATGGATTCAGCTCTTTTCATATACGGGTTCCATGAAAGCTCACGTTGTTGGTCTGAACGCTATGGGGGAGAATTTTTTTTCAAACCAGAAGAATTGACACTACATTACAAAACTTCATGTTGTTTTGTTTTCATAGAACAACTGACCTAGTAAATAAACCAGAAACAGTGAAAATGTAAACTGCTGGAGGTCGGGCAGTGGGAGGGAGGGAAGTTTGAAGAGTAGGATTTTTGCCAGCCAGTGTCTGCCAGTAGTACAGTGGTCTGGGTCTGAGTCCATGACTCTCCCACATTCTTGGCTTTGTGATGTTGGGCACAGAATTCTCTGGGCCTAACATGTAAGGGAATGAGCCAGGTGCTCTAATTCTAGAGGCTGTGTTCCTAATACTAAGCCAGACCATCTCTTTTTTCTTTTTTTAGATACAGGGTCTCATTCTGTTGCCCAGGCTGGAGTGCAGTGGTGATCACAGCTCACTGCAGCCTTGAACTCCTGGACTCAAGCCTCCTGAGTAGCTGGGACAACAGGCGTTCACCACCACAACTGGCTAATTATTTTGTTTTATTTTTTGTAGAGGCAGAGTCTTTCTAGGTTGCCGAGGCTAGTCTCAAACTCCTGGTTAAGTAATCCTCCCACCTTGGCCTCCCAGAATGCTGGGATTACAGGGTTGAGCCATCAAGCCCAGCCCAGCCCAGGATACCTCTTTTATGGAGAAGGAGTTTTTCTCTATCATCCAGGCTGGAGTGCAATCTCAGCTCACTACAACCTCCGCATCCCAGGTTCAAGCAATTCTCATGCCTCAGCCTCCCGAGTAGCTGGGATTTCAGGAATGTGCCACCACGCCTGGCTAATTTTTGTATTTTCAGTAGAAAGGGATTTTGCTATGTTGGCCAGCCTAGTCTTGAACTCCTGGCCTCAAGGGATCCGCTAGCCTCAGCCTCCCAAACGCTGGAACTGTAGGCATGACACACTGTGCCCAGCCCAGACCACCTCTTATATATCTCAGGATTTCTCAGTAGAGACTGAAGTCATAGTTCTGGGAGCACATAGAGACTTTGGGGGTTTTTTTGTTTGTTTTCTTGATAGCTTTTACACACCCTTACTTTTCATTGAGGGATTCAACTCTCACTATATCTTAGCCTGGGGCAGAATTTATAGCCCGGGCCTCTGCCAATGAGCACTGGCCACAGTGATTAAGGGTGGGCATGTTTTCCAAGCTGGTTGGTCCAATGAATCCTAAGAGTTTTATGGGAATGTTAGAAAAACATCTTTCTTTTCCTTGAGATTTGAAACTATCGTCACCGTCTTGCCATCACATGTAGGCAGAGAAGGAAAGTGATACACAAAAGACAATGTCACAGTGACATACGGAAAGGAACTAGGTCCTGGTCACTTTGTTTGAACCCTGAATAAGCCTTGCCTAAAGACAGACTGGTCTTGGTCTTTTGAGTTGCATTATTCAATAACTTCCTTTTCGGCTTAAAATAGTTTGAGTTTCCCTTGATTCAAAGTAAAATGTACTCTAGCTGATAGAAAACACCATAGAATTAAAAAGAAAAAAAAAATCCTCATCTTTTTTCATGTGACCAGGTTTTCAATTGCTGACTAGTAGAATCTTATAAAATTGTGACATTAACATGATATTGTGTCTGGAATTGGTGGGTTCTTGATCTCACTGACTTCAAGAGTGAAGCCACGGACCCTCGCGGTGAGTGTTAACAGTTCTCAAAGATGGTGTGTCTGGAATTTGCTCCTTCTGATGTTCAGTCGTGTTCCGAGTTTCTTCCTTCTGGTGGGTTCACGGTCTCGCTGGCTTCAGAAGTGAAGCTGCAGACCTTCGCGGTGAGCATTACAGCTATTAAGGCGGCACGTCTGGAGTTGTTCATTCCTCCTTTCCGGAGTGTGTTCACTCCTGCCGGTGGGTTCGTGGTCTCGCTGACCTCAGGACTGAAACTGCAGACCTTCACAGTGAGTGTTACAGCTCACAAAGGCAGTGCAAACCCGAATAGTAAGCAACAGCAAGGTTTATTGCAAAAAGCAAAAGAACAACGCTTCCACAGTGTGAAAGAGGACCCAAGCAGGTTGCTACTGCTGGCTCGGGGAGCCTGCTTTTATTCCCTTATCGGACCCCACCCACATCCTGATGATTGGCCCATTTTACAGAGAGCTGATTGGTCCATTTTGACAGGGTGCTGATTGGTGCGTTTACAATCCCTGAGCTAGACACAGAGTGCTGGTTAGTGTATTTACAATCTCCCGCTGGACATAAAAGTTCTCCAAGTCCCCACCCTACTCCGGAGCCCAGCTGGCTTCGCCTGGTGGATCGCGTGCCAGAGCCGCGGGCGGAGCTGCCCACCAGTCCCCCCGCGCTGCGCGGCTGCACTCCTCAGCCCTTGGGCGATTCATGGCACTGGGCACAGCGGAGCAGCAGGCGCCGCCTGTCGGGAAGGCTCGCCCCGCGGGGAGGCGGCTGAGGCCCGATGAGAATTCGAGAGCCTCGCGGGCGGGCTGGCAGTGCTGGAGGACCCGGCGCCCCCTCCGCAGCTGCCGGGCCGGGTGCTAAGCCCCTCACTGCTGGGGATTGCAGCGCTGGCCAGCTGCTTCGAGTGCTGGGCCCGCTGAGCCCATGCCCACCCGGAACTTGCGCTGGCCTGCTAGCGCCCTGAGCAGCCCCGGTTCCCGCCTGCGCCTCTGTCTCCACACCTCCCCGTAAGCAGAGTGAGCCAGCTCCAGCCTCAGCCAGCCCAGGGAGGGGCTCCCACAGTGCAGCGGCGGGCTGAAGGGCTCCTCAAGCCTGGCCAGAGTGGACACCGAGGCCTGGGAGGTGCTGAGAGCTAGTGATGGCCGCCAGCACGTTGTCACCTCTCAATATTGTCAAGCGCAAACACAAAAAGATCTCTAGGAGAATAGCTCATGACAGCAAAAACACAATAAAAGGACATCCGCCAAATCACAAGCCCATTACTGCCTTTATCTCGTTGCTGCTTTGAGATATGACTTTAATATTTTCTCTCTGTGGACTGAATATTTTTTTCACCATGGCTAATCCTTGTTAACTTCATGAAGTCAATACAGTTACAATTTCCCCCTTGCAGTAGATCTTAAATAGTGCAATCTGTCCTGAGTGAGGCTATCCGTAATCCGGAGTTGTTCATTTGCTGAGTGTGGCTTGTGAGTATCCTGACCAAGACACATTTTCACAATCTCAGATCTGTATAAAAATACACTTGCAGGGCTACATTGTAACTTTCATCGGCCCTAGACACTTTTGCCTTCATGAGCTCCTTCCTCCATAAAAAAAATTAAAGATTATGTTTCATCACTACTCTGGTGTTAAGACAAATATAATCCAAGCTGGATTATATTGATTTTGTAATCTGATTTTAAAAGGAATTATAACGTTTTCAGGGGCTCCTAAATGTGTCCTGGGTCATAGGCACTGTGTGCACTGTGCATAAGGGCATGTCTGTCGTGTATATTTACCAAGGCAACTTAATCAAGGCAATTTAGATTTAGCAGAGTCCCAAAGCCTGGGGTTTAAAACTTGTAAATGGCCCCTCTGTGCCTTTCGCACTCTCACCGTTCAACAGGAAGTTTCTCTCTTCTTGGTGTAATGACAGAACTGGATTCCACACGCCAGCTCCCACACTTTCCAGCTGTGTGAACCACACTTTTCTTAGCCCCAGTCTCTCAAGTGTAAAATGGAGGTAACACAGCTGCTGTCTTCACAGAGTTGCGAGCTTGGAAGACAGAATGCACCAAAGAGTGAATAACATGGTGTCTGGTCCATAAGAAGTGTTTAATCATAATACTAATAATGCCATGGCCTTTTGGATCATTCCGCACAGAGGCAACATGGCATGGTGGCTGGGAGTGTGGGCTTTGGAATCAGATTGCCCAGGTTTGAATCTGGTCTCTGCCCCTAACGTACAGAGTGACTTTAGGGAAATAACTTCATCGCTATCAGCCTGTTATCTCCTCTTTCAAGAGGGGACAATAATATCTCTCCAGATGGCTCCTCTAAGGGTAAGAGATAAGGTACCTACAGCGCCTGGCACTTAATAAGTGGGAGATAATACTGGTATTTGTTTTATGTTTTTTATATTATGTAAAAACCACTTGCAGTTTCCCCACTTATTTAAGTGTGTTAAAAAAAACCTTTTAAAAACAATAATTGCAAACTTAAGGAAAAGTTGCCAGAACAGTACGAAAATGCCCTGAATCTCTTTCTCTTGGATTCCCTAATTGTTAAGGTGTTGCCTTGACTCCATCTCCCATGCTCTCTATAAGTATTCATTATCATTTTTCTGGATCTTTTTGAGAGCAAGCTAGACGTTATGTTCCATCATTCCTAAGCATTCCAGTGTCTGTTTCCAGGAAACAAGGACGTGGTCTTACAAAACCAGCATCCAATCCTTCCAATTGGCACAACACAGATCCAATGCACAGATCCCTTTCAAATTTTGCCAGCTTTTCCTTTCTTGTCCAGGGATATGTTTTGCATTTAGTAGTTATCATGCCGTTTTGAACTTCTCTAATCTGGAACAGTCCCTCTGTCTTTCCCGTGTGTACTTTACACTTTTAAAGAGGAGAGGCTTTTCATTCTGGAGAGTGACCTTCCCTCTGGGTTCACCAATGTTTCCTCATGATCATATGCTGGTCATATATTCTCAGCAGGAACACCCAGAAATGAAGCTGTGCTCTTCTCTGCACATCACAAAGGGAGGTGTGTGATGTTGCTTTGTCTCCTCACTGATGATGCTAACCTTGAAAGCCTGGTCAAATTACTGTCTACTGTTTTGCCACCTTACCTTCACCAATTTTCCCTTTGTAATTGATTAGTATTTTATAGGGGAGATTTTTGATAATTACACCCAAATTCCATTTCTTATCAGATCTCCACTTACCAGCATGAACATCCATTGATGAATCCCACCTGAACCTACCATCTCTATTTCTCCATTTGTTATTTATCTATATATGTATAAATCATGTTAGTATAGAATCATGAATTCTTATTTTATTTAATGGGTAATACTTTACTATCTTATTTATTTTGATGTTCAAAATCTTCTCTAATTGGCAACTGGGGGCTGCTTCAAGCTAGCTATTACATATTGTAATGCATTATTCATGAGCATTTCCTTACATTCTGACACAAAATGATGTTTCACATTCATATTGCGCTTTGCCTGCCCCAACCCTGGAACTAGCCATTTCTCTGAGAAGTACTTGGTGAATAGACGGTATTTAGAAACCAAGATCTGAGTGTTGAATGTGCTTGTAGCTACTGGGCTGTCATTGTTTCTTGGCTCTCGCAATAGACAGAGTTTGAAAATATTTGTATGTATTGACATACATACATAAACAGATATTTGTAAGTACTGTGTTCCCCTGCATATAGATTTTATAAAACCATGAGTTGATACTGCCATCTACGATTCCAATCCAACACTACTGGGATTTTTCTAGCCTTCTTCTTTCCACATTTGTAATTGTCTTCTCTGGCACTGAGAAACTTGGCTCTCAGTACCCCTAATACAGTACTTATAAAATTGTTCACCTGCCATGCTGAATTTAAACCAGGAAGGAAAAAAAGAAATGGAAAACAAAAAGAAAGAGAAAGAAAAGTGGAAAGGGCAGGGATTTCCATTTTTTTAAAAAATAAATGTTGAGTCAGACTTCTTAATTTAAACTGAATAAATCCTAATGTTCTGTGTGAAACTTGGGGGTAATTCTATCATACCCATTTTGAAGTTCTGCCTTGGAAATGTCTAAGTAAGAGAGGCATTCTTCACAAATACAAGTAATTATCTTAAGCAATGAAGTGAAAGAAAAAGCTGATTCATGTCAGCCAATGTAGGAAAGACATTTTCATCACTGTATATGCAATCAGTTTCATATTATTCAGGAATTACTTTGAGAAAATCTGATTAATTTAAACACAGATAAACCTAATATGCACAAGAGTACACTGAAGGCTCATTGAAGATGTTTTTTCAGTTAAGAGAATTTCTTTGATTTCTGAGAAGAGTCTCAACATCTTTAATTGCTATAGTTTTTGGTCTTACATACATTCACTGTAGGTGTTATAAAAATTTATTGGGGCTGGGCATGGTGACTCATGCCTGTAATCCCAGCACTTTGAGAGGCTGAGGCAGGAAGATAACTTGAGGTCAGGAGCTCAATACCACCTGACCAACATGGTGAAACCCCGTCTCTACTAAAAGTACAAAAATTAGCTGGGTATGGTGGCACGTGCCTGTAGTTCTAGCTACTTGGGAGGCTGAGGCAGGAGAATCAGTTGAACACAGGAGGCTGAGGTCGCAGTGAGCAGAAATCATGCCACTGCACTCCAGCAGGGGCAACAGAGTGAGACTCCATCTCAAACAAACAAACAAAAACCATTAAATATTAGCACAATGATGTAATGTTACTAAATCACTCAGAATTGAGTTGTATTGAAATGTCGACCTCAAGGTGACTTCCTTTCCATGAAGTTTCCTCTTGCCCTAGTGGAATTCAGGACTTGGTGGCACAGTTGTACAGATTGGGCATTATACATTTTCAGGGAAACATTGTGCACAGAAACTTTCATAGTTTCTAATGTAAATGGTCCCCTCAACCTCAGGAGATGTGCAGAGCTCAACCTGTGCAGCTTCACACAATGACCTTGACACTGACCATTATTCTGTCCTCTCAATGCCTTTGATAACTGTTGCACATGTCTTGCCTGTGTGTATGTCTTGCCTGTGGTGGTCCCAGCTTGGGCCAATGCTGTGATTCAGGTGTGTCTGGTCCAAGCTTAGACACTTTGTAGGACAGGCATAACCAAAACCTATTTACACAGCAACTGAGAAACATTTTGCCAGGAAACAGCCTTAAGTGGAGGAGAAACAAATAACATGATTCTCAAGGGAGAGCTTGGGTCTTGCTTTGAAATGAACTATCTGTAACCTTAAGCCAGTAACTTTTTCTAACCTAACATTAAGAACATAAAAGTTTTATGATATAAAATAATATATACTTATTAAAATATTCAGAAAACACAGACATTTTAAGAAATATGTATTCAAGCAAACCTATTACCCAGAAAGAATCACTGCTAACATTTTGGCATGTAGTCATCCGGGCTATTCTATTCATGTATATGTACATTTGAGTGTCAGGGAATACGTGGAGTAATTACAAATGGGATCACTTTATGTCTGTGTGTGTGTATGTGTGTGTGCATATATATATGTGTGTGTATATATATATATAGTTTTTAGGTCTTTTGCACCTTTTAAAATTAATACAACTTGGAGATCTTGCATAACAATGCTACATACTGTTTCATAGCCTAATATTTTCACCTAAAATAGTTTATCTTTCCATATTGATACAAATATTTCCATGATAATTTTTAATCGCTTTGTAGTATTTCATTATGGAGGTTAGCCTTAATTTATTTAACCAATTCCATTCAATGGACTTTAAAAATTTCAATGTTATAAATAAACAATGGTATAGACATCATTCTGCATAAGATATAAATATGTCATTAGATTTAATTTATAAATTATATGTTTAATGTACAATATAGCACGATAATAATATACATATTATATATAATGATGTTTCTCTTACAGTTATCTATAACAGTGAAACTTTTTAAACAACTTATATGATTATATAATATAAAATATAACATTTATTTCTGCTCTCATATTTTCTTCTGTATTCAGTCCTAGAAGTAGGACTGCTGGATCAATAGCCCTACATTCTGTTATTCTAGTGGGCTTTCAGTGAATGTTTTCTGAGGATGTTAGGCCTTCAGAATAATAGGCTTTCCAAGGAGCAGAATTATCACATTGCAAACATGATCTGTGCTTCATTAACAAAGAAAGCCACGTGATAAAAAAGAGGAAAATCATTTTGGAGAAAACAGAAGAGTGATGTCTAATATCAAGCTTATAAAAATATCTAGAAGATGGCCAGGCACAGTGGCTCATGCCTGTAATTCCAACACTTTGGGAGGCCTAGGCAGGCGGATCACGAGGTCAGGAGATAGAGACCATCCAGGCTAATACGGTGAAACCCTGTCTCTACTAAAAATACAAAAATTAGCCGGGCGTGCTGGCAGGTGCCTGTAGTCCCAGCTACTCGGGAGGCTGAGGCAGGAGAATGGCGTGAACCTGGGAGGCGGAGCTTACAGTGAGCCAAGATCAGGCCACTGTACTACAGCCTGGGCAACAGAGCGAGACTCCGCCTCAAAAAATAAATAAATAAATAAAAATAAATAAAAAATAAAAAATCCTCTAGAAGATAAGCTTCTGAAAGTAGAGGAAAAAAAATAGCTACTGGTTTTGTTTAAATCTATACATTTTATAGAATCGGTAGTCTTCCAGGTAGGTTTAACTACATATATGGAATAAAATATCAAGATTTAGCTGTGTTTTTGTTCAAAGAGCATGTTTCATTGTAATGTAAAACTCCAAACAAACCAACTGTAAAAAGATATTTTTAATACAAAAAGAAAAATTTGAAGAAAAAAACTGACTGGAAATTAGATGATATTAAAAAATCACTGTTAAATGTTTTCAAGTGTGAATAACAATATTGTGGTTACATGAAGAAAAAAGAGTCATTATCTGTTAGAAACACATGCCGAAATGATATGACACCTGGGATTTATCTTAAAATAATTCAGCAGGGTGGTAGGGAGACTTAGGGGAAAAGGCATAAAAATGAAACAGAAAGAGCTGTGCATTCTTAATTGTTGAATTGGATAATGGAACATAAGTGTTCATCACACTATTCTCTCTACTATTCTGTATGTTCAAAATTTTTCAAAATAAAAATTTGAAAAGGCTGATGTAAACCCCAGAAAGACAGGATTTCCACCTGTCTTGCTCACTCTCATGCCAAGCACAATAAAGAAATATTTGTCGTTTGGAAGTGTTAGAAATATGTTATTCTGTGTTATGTTGTTTTTATCTTAGTTGCTTGTTAGGCAAAAGTTTTAGGTATTGAAACCTCCTGGCAATTATAGCACAAGAGGGAGATCCTCATTGGTGAAGTATTCAAACACAGACAAGAAGACTTGTTGGGTGTTTATGTGAGATTAATGGATTAGGTAAAGATTTGGAGTAGGTTAATGTTCTCTGTCAACTCCAGGGATCTGTTTAACTTAACGTTAGGAAATGTTTCTCTATCTAGATTTATATTTATGTTTTAGCATTCTGAATAGAGCTGAATGGAAAAAATAAAAATTTTTCTCAAGTTGGGAGTCACCTTCCTTTTGCCCTGGATTTTTTTTTTCTTTAGGTTCCACTGTCTGTTTAGATCTGTGAATGCAATCATGGATAATCCCACAAACTCAACATATTACTCCAAGTAATCAGATTTAAGTGAAAGTAAAGGTAAGCACCAAAAGAGTAGGAATCCCAGTGTTGGGATAGGATTTCTCAGGTGTCATGGACAGCTTATTTAGGATTTAAGGCAGTCAGCTGTACCATCAGCAACGGAAACAGATGGATCTCTTGCTGTTATACTGAACTTCCTTCTATGCCCATCATTCCATAGCCTCTGCTAACTCATACCTTTGCTTTCCTCATGACCCCAAATTCTTTATGGCCTTTCTCTGGACATCTTTGTGTTTCTGTTCCTAAAAGTGACTAGCAACACCATCTCTGTATCTTACTATTTCATATCATTTGAATCCCTAGGGATGGGGTGGGGTAGAAAGTAAAAGAAAGAGAATGAAACTTATTAGTAACCATCATATCTGCCTACATCAAACTTTCTTTTTTTTTTTTTTTTAAGATAGGGTCTCACTCTGTTGCCCAGGCTGGAATGCAGTGGCACAATTTCGGCTCAGTGCAACCTCCACCTCCGGGGTTCAAGCGATTCTCCTGCCTCAGCATCCGGAGAAGCTGGGACTACAGTTGCGTCCCACCATGCCCAGCTAATTTTTGTATTTTTGGTAGAGACAGGGTTTCACCATGTTGGTCAGGCTGGTCTCAAACTCCTGACCTCAGGTGATCCACCTACCTCGGCCTCGCAAAGTGCTGGGATTACAGGCATGAGTCACTGCACCTGGCCTTTTTTTTTTTTTTTAAAGAGTTGGGTCTTGCTCTGTTGCCCAGGCTGGAGAGCAGTGGGATGATCATAGGTCACTGCAGCCTTGAACTCCTGGGCTCAAGCATTTCTACCTCAGCCTCCTGAGTAACTGGAATTATAGGCCTGAGCCACAGCACATGGCAATGCATGAGGCTTCACAGTAGCTCACCCCACAGGTTGCCAGCCTGCTATTGGTTGGCTACTCTTAGATGAACTGTCTATTCCCAATCCATGATTGGGATTATCTGGTCAACATGTAGTTTTGAATTCCTGCATAAAGAATATTTAAGGGTAGGGATTCCCTAGAAGGGACAGGTAGTAGGGGAGGCATTCCATCTTGCAAGCCCATTACATGTTGGCAGTGAGAAAGGGGATAGAGAAGGGAGATGACTCAGGGGTCAGTGGCTGAGATAAGGATGTCAGACAGCAAATTATGTTTAACCAGAAGAAGCAAGTGCAGATATTTGGCCACTGAAGAGACACATAAATTGCACTTAAAATCTAATCTTAGATTTGAATCCCAGGTCTATGTCATACTGGCTGTACAATCTTAGAGAACATTATGTGTCTCTTGGGAAAAGTTTTGTCTCTCTGAACCCACAATTTCCTAGCCTTATCAAAAGGGCATACAACTGCCTCATTTGCAGGGTAGGTGAAAGAGTCATATGAGGTTGTCTTAGTCCATTCGCATTATTATAACAAAATGCCAAGGACTGAGGAATTTATTAAGAATCAAAATTTGTTTCTCACAGTTCTAGAGGATGGAAGTACCAGATTGAGGCACTGGCATTGCTGTCTGGTGAGGGTTGCTCTCTGCTTTCAAGATGGCACCTTGATGCTGTGTCCTCAGTGGCCGAAGGCAGAAGAACAAGAGAGGCAAACTCTCTCTAAAGCTTCTTTTATAAGGGCGTTCATGAGGGCTCCACCCTTATGACTCAATCACCTCCTAAAAGGGTCCAACTCTTAATACCACCACAATGGGGATTAAGTTTCAGCATGAATTTTGAAGGGGACACTACATTCAAACCGTAGCAGATGTAATGAATGCAAAGTCCTCAGCATCACACCAGTATGTAATAGGTGCTTAATAGATGATCTTGTTCTTATCACACCAGTCCTTCTAATGCTCTGTGGGATCCCAGCCTTCTGAAGCTGAATCAGAATCCAAAACCCAGCAACATTCCAGGGAAAATTGTGAGTGGTGGGATTCTTTCCCTTTTACTATATATGTTAAAAGGATTTAACTAATACAGAGGCTCTCCTTCTCCTTAAAAATGACTCCCCACCCCCAACCCCCTGCTGACTTATCCAGAAGTGAGCTGTTATCAACAGGTAAAGAGAGATTGCAAGAAGCCAGACCCCAGGGCCTTTAGATCAACTTGGATCTCCTGAGTTCTCTGCAATCCGTTTATCTCTATGCATGTCTCTCTCCTTTTTATTGTTCCATTCCGCAAATGCACACACACACACACACACACACACCCCGTCCTCCTACCAAGCAAGAAGGGGGAAAAAAGAGTTTTTTTAAAATAGGAGAAAAATAATGTTGCATGGGTCTGGGGAAGGGAAACCCTTGTTAAGATGAAGCCTACCCAGCAGCCTGTATCCTTTAGGCAACTAACTTAGGGGTTGCTATTTGGTAAGCATTTTCTGGATTTTTTTCTGAAAATGAGCATTTTCCCTAGGAACGCTCTGGGTGATGTTGTTAGTAAAATATAGGGCTTTAAAATCAAGCAGATCTGGACTTAAATATTGCCTCCACTGTGTGTGACCTTGGGCAAGTTACTTCCTCTTTCTGAGCCTCAGATTCCTCACCTGCAAAATAGAACTAACAAGATCTATGGAGGCTATGGAGATACTTGAATGAGAGCATACATGGACAGTTTCTAGCACAGTACTGGCAGGGACTGAGAACTCAGTTCATATAGCTTTGGTTCTTCATTAAGCATTTTATTCACATTGCTTTTAAAGTAGTCTCTAAAAAATCCTTAAGTGACATTGGTTTGTTGAGTGGTCTCAGAATCCTCGGGTGATATTGTTATTAAAATATGTGGCTTTAGAATCAGACAGCCCTGGACTTCAATGCTGGCTCTTCCACTTACTAGCTGGGTGGCATGGGCAAAGTCATTTAAGCTCTGTGAGCTGTGGTTTCTTTAGCCATATTGTGGGGATGATCACACTTACCTCAAAAGGTTGTTAGAAGTAAATAGTGCCCAATACAGCACCTGGCAGATGTTAAGGGCTTGTCAACCAACATAAACAGAAAGAGCCTCTCTAAAATAAAAGATATGTATTTAGGAATAGGCATTGCAATGGGAATATGCATGCCATAGTAAATGGTGTGTGTATTCAGGGAGGTAAAGGAAGACAAAGGGTTTTAAAGGAAAAATGAGGAGGATTACATAATTGTTTTCAAATGATTCTTCTTGGCTACGGAGATCAATAACAAGAGTGACATCAGTCTGATGTTGGACAGGCAGTTGCTGGGCAGATGTCTCCACAGAAGTACTTTTTTGTGCAAGGTTGTGATGGCCTTTGGCAAGGTTGCAGTTTTTGCAGAGTCTTTTATGATAGTTTTTCTTATCAGGCACAGAAGTTTGAGGACCCTCTCTTTACAGCCTTCCCTGCCTCTATTTGTCATGGCTTTTTGTTTTTTGTTTTTTTAAACACAAGCGACTCCATTTTGGTTCTGACAACTTTCTCAGGCTCAGTAAAAAGTAATTCTGATGATGATGATGTTGATGAGGAGGAAGGTGGCAAAAATGATGCTCTGTTGATGCTTGTATAAAGAAACAACAGAATTTCATTTTTGGTTATTTCAAGCATGGACTTGAAGGCAGGGGCAATGTTTTGCTTCCATTTTTTTACTGCACATAATAGCTAGCCTATAGTAGTTGCTCAATAAATATCTGATGTATGAATGGATGAAAAAATGGTTGATAAATGAGAGCTTTGATGATAGAAAAAAAGTTATTTCACATACCAACAACTTTGGCTTGGGAATCAGACAAATAAGCATTTATATCTTGACTTAGTCATTTCCTATGTAAACTTGGCTAAGTTACTAGATTTCTCTCTGTGTCGGATTTCCTATTTGTAAAATGAAAATAGTAATAGAATCTACCTCAGATATTGGAGTCAAATGAGAGAAGTGTGTAAAGAGCTTGGTTCTGTACCTGAAATGCAACTTTGTGCTCAGTAAATGTTACTGCCAGGAAAAGGAAGGCACTTTATGGAAAGTTACCATTTAACCAGAACTAACCAGAAAAGACGGGCTAATGTAACTCAGCTCACTTGAATTCATGCCATGTTTTCCTAATGTGCCAAAATATCCTCCCTAGTTGGAAGCGTGCAAGTGTTTAGAAAGCCTAGCCATCTTCTAACACTCATCAAGATGACAAAAATAAGTGTGGAGGACAATTACCGTTTGTGAAGTGCCCATAACCCCCACACAGTAATTCTGTCTCTCAATGCGCCATTGCAATTAAACATGCAAATAGCAGGTCTTTGGATTCTTATCATTTCTGGTAAGGATGAGCATTTTCAATCTGCTGCATTTGCATCCATTTAGATAATGATAATGAAAGCAACAGATCCCTTCCATTCCACTCTGCCTTTCATTCAAAGATTGAGACCCAGAGGTGCTTTTAGAGACCACATTTATAGATTAATTTCATCATTACAGAGCTGCAAGAATCCCTGGGGCAGCAAGAAGCACATATTAACTTTTGCCAGTGATGCTGCACAAACACCAGGTTAGGAAAGCAAATGGCAAATAACTCACCCAGTTGAAAATGTAAGGGAAATTTATGAAACCAGAAAGAAAGGAAAAGCCACAATGAGTAGTGCTGTTATTTAGTTACAGATTTCAAATAACAAAAAATCCTCAAGCTAATGTTACTTCCCCTCATACTCTGAACATTATTTGGAGAATGACTCAACAGGAAGGGAGAAGAAGGCACCTCACTTGTTACCACCCACATCCCTCTTGTCATTAGATAATTCCACAATGGACAAAGGAGTGAATGAACTAAGCTCCGGGCTTGCATTGCATGCCAGTTAGGTCCAAATCTTTCTGAGCACTGATATTTTGGGCTCCGCCGTCCCCTTCAGGACTAAAACAAGACTATCATGCAGACCTCATCTTTCAGGGACATTCCTGCCTACTCATTCCTTTCAAAAGCCCCCATTCCCCTTGGTTTAGTTTGTTTGTTTGTTTGTTTGTTTGGTTGGTTGGTTGGTTGTTTTTGTCATGCAGCGGGAGAAAGGGAGATCTTAATTTTTTGAGGAGATTGAATTATGTCAGTGATTTGTATCCCCTTTAATACATCCTACATTCCTTTGGGAATATGATGAAGGCTATGGATTAGCTTCCCAGATAAATGTATGCACAAGTATACACACAGAGATTCAATCACAATTTAGCATTCATTTTAGAGGAAATTCATTGAACTTCTGCAGTTTATATCTGGATCTGGGGTCAAAAACACCTCAATGAATTAATTTCGAAGATTGTATCTCTGTCTGCCATTCATTTCTTCACTCATTCAGCATATACGGAACCACTGGGTTCCAATCCCCATGCTAGGTACTGGGATTGCAAAGGTAAATAAAGCATTACCTCTGCTTTTGTTGTGTTCACTGCCTAATAGAGGAGATGGACGTTTAAATTTATCATTTCATTAAAGGTTGATAACTGCCTCAATAGAAGCATAAAAATATACCAAATATATATAAGAAAAGGCATGGCCAGGTCTGGCTCAGGAAGTCACAGAAGGCAGTACAAAGGAAGTGATATTTGAGCATGGTGTTCAAGGTGTATAAACCCACTAAGGGAGTGGAGACCATGACAACATTTCTGACAACGGAGACAGCAGGGACAAAAGCTTGGAGTTGTGAAAAACCCTGGTATGAGCAATACAAGGGTTTGTTGTGGTGAACACACTGAGTATATAAGGGAGAGGCATGCTGGGAGAAAAAGCAAAGTTTTGTAAGTCATGTGGACGTGAAGTTTGGACTTTATCATGTGCTTAAGGGGGAGCTGCTGAAGGATTTTAAGCATGGAAGAGAAACAAAGTCAGATGTATGTTTTACAGAGATAATTCTATTCTGTGCAGGAAAAACAAACCCAAGCTTTCTTGATGTCAGTGAAACTATTATCATACCCCATTTTCCATTGCCACCAACACCAAAAATAAAAGCATGCAGTTAAACCAGTTTTCAGACTACTCAAAAAGCCTGGTGGAAAAGGAAGTATATTTTTAGAGTAATGCAGTGTCTGGTACCCAGTGGGGATGGGCATGCAATATTAACAGATGATGACGCAAGCTTCACAAATTTGAACCAAGAAAAAGCAGCAGCTACCTTGAACTCGTCATGAATAATATTTAGAGTTAACCACGAGCTGATAGCACTTTGTGGATCTTACAGCCACTGATGAGAAGTATCAAAAGTAAGATATCATAAACACAATGGAATTTCAATTTGAAGTGGTGGTGGTGACAATGGGAGGGGCAGGAGTGGGGAGAGCAGATGTTGCTTAAAGCAAAAAGTAGTTATAGCCAAAATTACCCTTGGAAATTCCTCAAATTACCCATTAAGTACAGTACACACACAGCATAAATATGCAGTATTATTTATACATGCAATCTGTACACAATTGCAAGTATAAATATATACATATAAATATATAGGTAAATATCTCTAAAAGGATATATATTACCATGAAATTTTTCAGTATTTTCACTATAGCAATGTATTTTGAGTTTGCATAACTTAAACGCACGGATGATAGGGACACCACTGTAACGTTTCCAACAGTAGAACTGGCAAATAAATGTACTTTAAAAATTTAAATTAGAAGGGTTTCAAGGTTGTCCCCACTGTAATATAACTGTGCTGCATCCTGATATTCATCTTGAGTAGCTAGCACAACCAGAATTGGGAAATGCTTTAAAAACTTAAATTACTCATAACCCACCACCTGTCTCTTGTGGCTCAGAATGTACTGAGAACTTGGTACTACTGTATGGTTAATAGTTATTATGGAGATTCACAAATTATTGTAGACCTCTACTTCCCCTCAAAATATTTTGGGTCAAAATTTGGGTAAATCTCTTGGAAAGTGCATTGTATCTGAGCAACATTTGTCACATGTCTTGGAGATAGTAGCTGAAATCCATTGATAACTGCTGTTACAGACTTTCACAGAGGGTGAGACGCTGATACGATGACTGGGAAACTGTGCACAGTTAATACTGGGGTCTCAGATGGCACTAGATCAACATGGACGTTTCCATTTCACCACGCTTGTGTGTCACACAGAGGTCACCTTCAGGAGCCATCGCTTCCGGAGGTCCTCCAGCTGCTGTGGCCGACAGGTGGCTGAGGTTCATCCGCTGCCTGGCGGGGGCTGGCTGACCTCCACTGGTCAGCTGCAGGGGACAACTCTGCTGCCAGGATAGTTCACTGGAGATGTCACTCCAATTTCAGGGAGGAATATCTTTTTCTAAAACTTAAGAGGTTGACTTCAAGGGCCTGTTTTTATGTAAATTTGGGTTCAGCAATGACCAGAAACGGATTTTGAAAGACTGTAATTCCTACCGTTGCAAATGGCAGAGCTGGTCATGACACTAAGAGACCTGTCACCACCAGGAAGACTGATGCACAATTAAAAATACATCAACATCTTCCTCCTCAGCTCTTTCCTCCTCCTTCTTCCTTGAGCAGGCCTTTATCTACACACACACTCTCACACCCCAGGGCGGTTAAAAGTCTGTACCTTGGGTTCAAACACACCTGGATTCCAATCTCAGCTGGATCCTGGACAAGTATTTATGATTCGCTGTAAAATGACATGCTCAGCTATAAAATGGGGATTAAAAAAGTCCCTACGCCCTAAGATTGCTTTGGGGAGTGAATAAGAAAATACATACCCCATGCTCAGCACAGTTCCTGTCATAGGGGATACCTAATAGATACTCTTATGTATCGTTCCTATTATAATTTTTATTATAGTTATACATTGCCTCGTAGCCTGCCAATTTCAATTACAATACATGCTGTGAATATTTTATCATATCAAGAATAGTCTTCTAACTTATGAGATTGGGGCTGGTTGTGATGGCTTGTACCTATAATCCCAAGCCTTCTGGGAGGCTGAGCCAGGAGTTCAAGACCGGCCTGGGCAGCATAGTGAAACCATGCCTCTATAAAAAAAAAAAAAATTTAGCCAAGCATGATGGTAAGCACCTGTAGTCCTAGCTACTTGGGAGGCTGAGGCAGAAGGATTGCTTGAGCTCAGGTATTTGAGGCTGCAGTGAGCTGTGATCATGCCCCAGTACTCCAGCCTGGGTGAAAAAGCAAGACTTGGCTTTAAAAAAATTAAAATAAAATAAATTTAAAAATGGTTTAAAGGAGAGCAGATGCTACTGTCCACCAGTGAGCCTTGTAGGACATAGTGAAAATACAATGCACTGACAATTTAAATGCTATAAAATGCCGAGTATTAGTAACTTCTCAGGGCCTGAGTAAGGTGATGATTATGACTTTCCTTTTGTAGATGCGAAAATGGACATGACTTTGACATGGTAATAATAAAGTTGCAGCTTATGCTTGAGTCTTCACTCCCAAGTCTTGTCATTTTCTTTGAATAATTTTTTTATTTCAGTAGCTTTGGAGGTACAAGTGGTTTTTGGTTACACAGATGAATTGTATAGTGGTGTCATCAGAGATTTAAATGCACCCAACACAGCATTGTACACTGTATCCAACAGCTTTTTATCCCTCACCCCCCTTCCACTCTTCCCCATTCTGAGTCTCCAATGTCCATTATACCCCTCTGTATGCCTTTGCATACCCATAGCATAGCTCCCACTTATAAGTGAGAACATGCGGTATTTGGTTTTCCATTCCTGAGTTACTTCACTTAGGATAATGGCCTCCAGCTCCATCCAAGTTGCTGCAAAAGACATTATTTCGTTGTTTTTGATGGCTGAGTAGTATCCATGGTGCATATACACCACATTTTCTTTATCCACTCATCAGTTCATGGGCACTTAGGTTGGCTCCATATCTTTGCGATTGTGAATTGTGCTGTGATAAACATACGTAAGCAGGTATCTTTTTCATATAATGCCAAATCATGTAATTTCTAATGCCATACACACTGTCGAGTTTCATAGACTCCTCTTCTTCACAAAGCAGTAAATCCTTTACTAAGTGAAAGAATTCTTGCTTCATTTTAGCAAATAATTAAGAGATTAGGTGGGTTTTGAAGAGAGAATCATTTTTTTCTGAATAAAATGAGCTTTTGATTATCAAAATGCCACATGCTCTTTATGGAATGTCTAGTAAAACAGTTACACATAAAGAAGAAAATAAAAATCACATATCTGTAACCCAGAGAGGAACCTTAACAAACATTTTGGTGATTAACCTTTCTGTAGTACAGTTATACACACCCAAGCACACACTTCTCTTGTATGGGATTCCATGGTTCTGTAATGTG
The DNA here is from genome assembly GCF_000001405.40 of Homo sapiens. Classification (NCBI taxonomy): domain Eukaryota; kingdom Metazoa; phylum Chordata; class Mammalia; order Primates; family Hominidae; genus Homo; species Homo sapiens. The sequence goes on along the minus strand of NC_000003.12, from coordinate 69,644,748 downwards.
TTTTTCAGTCAACAATATGTATTTACTAATATTGATATTAATAAATGATAATGAATTAAAATATAAATTATTCTATGTCATTGCATTTAATCTGTGCATAACCACAATTTATTTAATCAATTCCCTCTTGATGGATATTATGCTCTTTTTCTTTTTTTCTTTAGGATTATACAAAATTTCATCACCCACTTTGACATAATCCTTTGTGTATTCCTGATTTAATCCTTAGGGTAAACTCTTAGAAGTGCAAACAGTAAATCAAAAGATATACACTTTATACTTTATTATTATTTTATTATTATTATTATTATTATTATTATTATTATTTTGAAAGAGGGTCTCATTCTGTCACCCAGGCTGGAGTGCAGTCTTGGCTCACAGCAGCCTCGACCTCCATACTCAGGAGATCCTCCCACCTCAGCCTCCGCAGGTTCACACCACCATGCCCAGCTAACTTTTGCATTCTTTGTAGAGACAGAATTTCATCCTCCCAGGCCTTCCAAAGTACAATGATTAAAGGCATAAGCTACTGTGCCCAAGCCCACTTTTTACATTTTTAATTCATAACTAGTTTCTTAATATCTACATAATTGATTTTGCCAAAGACAATGTAGGGGAGCTTCCCGTTCTTCCTGGTTTGTGGTGAACAGTGGGAGTTAACGAAGTGGTGAGATGGTGAGACGTTTGATACAACTTTCCTAGGTCAACAGGGTCAGAGAGCACAGCTCCCAGAACCTTGAGGATGGGACTCACTCTTTTAGTCCCTTTCTTATCCCAGTTCATATCTCCTCAGGGAATAACAGTTTAAAGTTTGGATTAACTCAGTTGCCTGACTTTGAAATACTGTTTCTAGCACCTTCAGAGACTCAAACTGGGATCCCAGGATAGTAGAGTTCACAGATCCCATTGCAATCTAGAAAGAAACTACCCACTGACCGATGACATTTAAAACTTTAAAAACATCATTCCAGGCTGACACTGTGAGATTACTTATATATTACAACATAATCTTTGTTTCTAGAAAAAAAAATAGATAGTTATGCTATTTCCTATGACATCTGGGAGAGAAAGAAATTTTCCATGGAGCTCCCCCAAAATCCAGGTCTTCCCAGTATACAGACAAGTGTTATTCCCCTATAATAAACAGGGAAGGAGCACCACATCCTATGATCTTTAAATGCCTTAAATTTTAGAGTGAATCCACTATTACTTGAAAGTCTTTCTTGCTTTATTAACTCAGTCTCACTGTATAAAGTGCAATATTTTCAATGATTCCCCTCTCTAGGGTGACACATAGCGCGTAAGTACCAGGGACACATGGGTGAAGAACATTTTTTATTTGACACGCACAATCTCATTGCATTTTAATTACATTCACCCTTTGGTGTCTAGGCATGAGTAGAATATCAATAGTATTTGAAATGATCCAAAAGCTGAAGAGCAGAAAAATTTTTATCTCCCAATTTTGTGTCTTCCTAGGAGCTGCATTCCGTGGTTTGGTATCATATCACAAACCAGTATATTTTAAAGTTGAAAAAAATAAATAATGCTTTATTTGAGATACAAATATAACTTGTTTATTGTTTATACATTTTCACTTCTGGCCCAGCCCCCTGTGGTAGGTATTATTCCTTCCTTATCACTCCCTCAGGATAAGCACAATAGCTTCTATAAAATTACAACTGATGACCACAGAAAGGGAAGAAAATTCAAATTCTGGAAGGGTTGGAAGCAATAAGAAACCTGTCCCTTCCCATTTCACCAGAGAAATGCATTTTGTCTTCCAAATACAGGTTTCCAGCACTTCTGAGATCACAGGGTGCTGCAGTAGGCTTACAGAGAGGAATGAAAACCTCCTCCTTCCCTCGCTTCCTCCCAGGTTGATATTTCAACGGAAAATGATGACACTCTGCATTTGTAGAGCACTTTACAATTTTTAAAGCACGCTCACCTATCTTATCTCATTTGGTCCTTGCCTGGGGAGGAGGCACTTAGGTAGTTATTAATAGCTCGGTTTTATCAGAGAAGAAAAATTAGGCTCAAAAATACTTGCCCAAAGTAACGTAAGAAACATAACTTGGATAATGCCTGGCATAAGCTTCAATCAATGGGAACTGCTAAGATGATGATGATGATTATTATTAATTATTACTGTCACCAATGACCTTAGCAAAACCAAGACTTAACCCTTCACTGCCACATACTCCTAATTCTTTTCTTTAACTTTTATTTTAGATTCAGGAATATATGTGCAGGTTTGTTATATGGGTAGACTTCGTTTCACAGGGGTTTGGTGTACAGATGATTTTGTCACCATCTACTAAGACTGGTACCTGATAGTTATTTTTCCTGATCTGTTCCCTCCTCCCATCCTCCCACCTCAAGTAGGCCCCACTGTCTGTTGTTCCCCTCCCTATGTCCATTGGTTTTCATTATTTAGCTCCCACTTATAAGTGAGAACATGCAATATTTGGTTTTTCTGTTCCTCCGTTAGTTTGCTAAGAATAATGGCCTCTAGTTCCATCCATGTTCCTGCAAAAGAAATGATCTCATTCTTTTTATGGCTGCATAGTATTCCATGGTGTATATGTACTATATTTCTTTATCCAGTCTACTGTTGATGGGCCTTTATGTTGATTCCATGTCTTTGCTATTGTGAATAGTGCTGCAATGAACACATGCGTGCACGTGTCTTTATGGTAAAACGATTTATATTTCTTTGGGTAATGGGATTGCTGGGTCAAACGGTAGTTCTATTTTTAAGTCTTTGAGGAATTGCCACACTGCTTTCCAGCATGGTTGAGCTAGTTTACACTCCCACCAGCAGAGTATAAATGTTCCCTTTTCTCCGCAGCCTTGCAGCATTTGTTATTTTTTGACTTTTTGATAATAGCCATTCTAACTGGTGTGAGATGGTATCTCTGTGTGGTTTTGATTTACACTTCTCTAATGATTAGTGATATTGAGCTTTTTCATATGTTTGTTGGCTGCATGTATGTCTTCTTTTGAAAAGTATTTATTCATGTCCTTTGCCCACTTTTTCATGTGGTTGTTTTCTATTGTAAATTTGTTTAAGTTCCTTATAGATGCTGATAGATCCTGGAATTAAACCTTTGTCAGATGCATAGTTTGGAAATATTTTCTCCTATTCTGTAGGTTGTATGTTTATTTATTCATTTATTTATTTATTTTTTATTTTTTGAGGCAGACTCTCTCTCTGTCACCCAGGCTGGAGTGCAGTGGCGCCATCTTGGCTAATTGCAACCTCTGCCTCCTGGGTTCAAGTGATTCTCGTTCCTCAGCCTCCTGAGTAGCTGAGACCACAGGCGTGTGCCACCATGCCGAGCTAAATTTTTGGTATTTTTAGTAGAGACGGGGTTTTAACATATTAGCCAGGCTGGTCTCAAACTTCTGGCCTCAAGTGATCTGCCTGCCTCAGCCTCCCAAACTGCTGGGATTACAGGCATGAGCCACTGCGCCTGGCTGTTTATCTGTTTATTATGTTGATAGTTTCTTGTGCTGTGTCAAAGTTCTTTAGTTTAATTAGATCCCATTTGTCAATTTTTGCTTTTGTTGCAATTGCTTTTGGTCTCTTTGTCATGAAATCTTTGCCAGTTTCTATGTCCAGAATAGTATTTCCTAGGTTATCTTCCGAGGTTTTTATAGTTTTAGGTTCTCCATTTAATTCTTTAATCCATTTTGAGTTGAGTTTTGTATATAGTATAAGGAAGGGGTCCCGTTTCAATCTTCTGCATATTGCTAGACGTTTATGCCCGCACTATTTATTGAATAGAGAGTCCTTTTCACCCTGGCTTGTTATTGTCAGCTTTGTTGTAGATGTGTGGCATTATTTTGGGGCTCTCTATTCTGCTCCATTGGTCTATGTGTCTGTGTTTGTACCAGTATCATTCTGTTTTGGTTATTGTAGCCCTGTAATATAATTTGAAGTTGGGTAACATGATGCTTCCTGCTTTATTCTTGCTTAGGAATATCTTGACTATTTGGGATCTTTTTTGGTTCTATATGAATTTTTTTTTTTTTTTTAGACGGAGTCTCACTCTGTTGCCAGGCTGGAGTGCAGTGGCACGATGTCGGCTCACTGCAACCTCCACCTCCCCGGTTCAAGCGATTCTCCCACCTCAGCCTCCTGAGTAGCTGGGATAACAGGCACGTGAAACCACACCCAGCTAATTTTTGTATTTTCAGTAGAGATGGGGTTTCACCATGTTGGCCAGGATGGTCTTGATCTCCTGACCTCATGATCCACTCACCTCAGCCTCCCAAAGTGCTGGGATTACAGGCATGAGCCACCGCACCGGGCCAGTTCCATATGAACTTTTTAACAGCTTTTCCTATTTTTTTTGAAAAATGTAATTGGTAGTTTGATAGGAATAGCATTGACTCTATAAATTGCTTTGTGCAGTATGGCCATTTTAACAATATTGATTCTCTTTATCCATGAGCATAGAATGTTTTTCCATTTGCTTCTGTAGTATCTTAATTCTTTCAACAGTGCTCTGTAATTTTCATTGTAGAGATCTCTCACTTTCTGGTTAGCAGTATCCCTAGGTATTTTATTCTTTTTGTGGCAATTGTGACTGGAATCTCATTCCTGATTTGGCTCTTGGCTTGAATGTCATTGGGGGTTAAGAATGCTACTGATTTTTGTCTGTTTATTTTGTATCCTGAAACTTTGCTGACGTTGCTTATTAGTTCAATGAGCTTTTTTGGCAGAGACTATGGGGTTTTCTAGGTATAGAATCATGTCATCTGCAAACAGGGATAGTTTGACTTATTCTTTTCCTATCTGGATGCCTTCTATTTCTTTCTCTTGCCTGATTGTTCTGGCCAGGACTTCCAAAACTGTGTTGAATAGAATACTCTTACTTCTTTCCCCATCCAGGCTTTTAATGCTAGTGATGTTTTGTAACTCCCAGAAAGATGCTAAAAATCAATAAAACTTTCTGTTGTATTAGTTGCCCTGATTTGCAAGTATATACTATGTCTGATGTTCAAGTCTTGTTGTAAACAGGATACAATGGAATTATTTATCCCACGATAAGCGATAGTCACCATGGTGGTTAATTTTATGTGTCAACTTGATTGTGCCATTGGGTGCCCAGATATTTAGTTAAACATTATTCTGTGTGTGTTTATAAAGGTGTTTGTGAATGAGATTAACATTTGACTTGGTGGACGGAGAAAAGTAAATTGCCCAACCCAATGTGGGTGAGCCTCATCCAATCTGTTGAAGGCCTGATTAGAACAAAAGGCAGAGTAGGGAGAATCTCCTCTTTCTGCCTAACTGTCTTCAGGCTGAGACATTGATCTCCTGCCTTCAAACTTGGACTCAGATTGTAATTTACACATTTGGCTCTTCTGCTTCTCAGGCCCTTGGACTTGGACTACAACTATACCATCAGCTCTCTTAGGTCTCCAGATTGCCAACTACAGCATCCATAACTGTGTGAGCCAATTTCTTATAATCTCTTTCTACACACACACACACACACACACACACTCACACACACCACATACACATCCTATTGGTTGTTTTTCTGGAGAACTTTGGCTAATACAGTTACCATCTAACTCATGCTATTTTAAAGAAAAGACAGTGAAATGTTGTTTCTTTCAAATTAAGTAATGGTTGCAAAGATTAACACTAAAATATTTAATTGCTTCAAATGTCTTTGTTTAAAATACATACTAGGAAGCCCTAGCCAAAGTAATTTGTCAAGAGGAAGAAATTAAAGGCATCAAGATAGGAAGAGGGGAAGTCAAACTATCTCTCTTTGCAGATGATGTGATTCTATACCTAGAAAACCCCTTAGTCTCTGTCCCAAAATTTCTAGAACTGATAAACAACTTCAGTAAAGTTTCAGGATGCAAAATCAATATACAAAACTCAGGAACATTTCCATACACCAATAACTCCAAGCTGAGAGCCAAATTCACAATAGCCACAGACACACAAAAATTAGTTAGGAATACAGTTGACCAGGGAGGTGAAAGATCTCTACAATGAAAATTATAAAACACCACTGAAAGAAATCAGAGATGACACAAACAAATGGAAAAACAGTCTATGCTCATGGACAGGAGAAATTAATATTGTTAAAATGGGCATATTGCCCAAAGCAATTTATAGATTCCATACAATTTCCATTAAACTACCAATGTAATTTTCACAGATTTAGAAAAAGCTATTCTAAATTTATATGAAAGAAACAAAGAGAACAAAATAGTCAAGGCAATCCTAAGCAAAAAGAACAAAGCCAGAGGCATCACACTACCTGACTTCAAACTATAGGGTTACAGTAATCAAAACAGCATGTTACTGGTACAGAAACAGACACATAGACCAAGGAAACAGAATAGAGAATGCAGAAATAATGCCACACATCTACAACCATCTGATCTTTGACAAAGCTGACAATAACAAGCAATGGGAAAAGGATTCCCTATTCAATAAATGCTGCTGGCATAACTGTCTAGCCATATGCAGAAGATTGAAACTGTACCCTTCCTTTCACCATATACAAAAATCAACTCAAAATGGATTAAATACTTAAATGTAAGACCTAAAACTATTTAAACCCTAGGAGAAAAACCTAGGAAATACTATTCTGGACATATTAGGCCTTGGCAAAGATTTCATGATGAAGTCTCTAAAAGCAACTGCAAGAAAAACAAAAATAGACAAGTGAGACCTAATTAAATTAAAGAGCTCCTGCACAGCAAAACAAACTATCAATAGAGTAAACAGATAGACTACAGAATGGGAGAAAATACTCAAAAACTATGCATCCAACAAAGGTCTAATATTCAGAATCTATAAGCAACTCAAACAAATCAGCAAGTAAAAGCAAACAGCCTCATTATAAAATCGGCATAGGACATGAACGGACACTTCTCAAAAGAAGACATACACAAAACCAACAAGCATATGGAAAAATGCTCAATATCACTGAACATTAGAGAAAAGCAAATCAAAACCACACAGAGATACCACCTCACACCAGTCAGAATGACTAATCACTAAAAAGTTAAAAAATAACAGGTGTTGGTGAGGTTGAGGATAAAAGGGAATATTTATACACTGCTAGTGTGAATGTAAATCAGTTCAGCCACTGTGGAAAGCAGTTTGGAGATTTGTCAAAAAACTTAGAACTGTTGTTTGACCCAGCAATCTCATTACTGGGTCAAGGATTATAATATAAAGGAATATAAATCATTCTATGAAAAAGGCACATATGCACACTTCCAAGATGGCTGAATAGGAACAGCTCTAGTCTGCAGCTCCCAGCAAGATCTACACAGAAGATGGGTGATTTCCTCATTTCCAACTGAGGTACCTGGTTCATCTCACTGGAACTGGTTGGACACTGGGTGCAGCCAACGGAGGATGAGCCGAAGCAAGGCAGGGTGGGTGTCGCCTCACCTGGGAAGTGCAAGGGGTCGGGGGATTTCCCTTTCCTAGCCAAGGGAAGCCATGACAGACTGTACCAGGAAAAATGGTACACTCCCACCCGAATACTGTGCTTTGCCCACAGTCTTAGCAACTGGCAGACCAGGAGATTCTCTCTTGTGCTTGGCTCAGCAGGTCCCATGCCTACGGAGCCTTGCTCGCTGCTAGCAGAGCAGTTTGAGATTGACCTGTGAGGCTGCAGCCTGGTGGGGGGAGAGGCATCTGCCATTGCTGAGGCTTGAGTAGGTAAAGAAAGTGGCCAAGAAGCTCGAACTGGGTGGAGCCCACTGCAGCTCAGGAAGGCCTACTGCCTCTGTAGACTCCACCTCTGTGGGCAGGGCAGAGCTGAACAAAAGGCAGCAGAAACTTCTGCATACTTAAATATCCCTGTCTGACAGCTCTGAAGAGAGCAGTGGTTCTCCCAGCATCGTGTTCAAGCTCTGAGAATGGACAGACTGACTCCTCAAATGGGTCCCTGACCCCCATATAGCCTGACTGTGAGACACCTCCCAGTAGGGGCCGACAGACACCTCATACAGGTGGGTGTCCCTCTTGGATGAAGCTTCCAGAGGAAGGATCAGGCAGCAATATTTTCTGTTCTGCAGCCTCCGCTGGTGATACCCAGGCAAACAGGGTATGGAGCTGACCCCCAGCAAACTCCAACAGACCTGCAGCTGAGGGTCCTAACTGTTAGAAGGAGAACTAACAAACAGAAAGCAATAGCATCAACATCAACAAAAAGGACATCCACACCAAACCCCATCTGTAGGTCACCAACATCAAAGACCAAAGGTAGATAAAACTACAAAGATGGGGAGAAACCAGAGCAGAAAAGCTGAAAATTCCAAAAACCAGAGTGCCTCTTCTCCTCCAAAGGATTGCAGCTCCTTGACAGGAAGGGAAGAAGACTGGATGGAGAATGAGTTTGACAAGTTGACAGAAGTAGGCTTCAGAAGGTCGGTAATAACAAACTTCTCTGAGCTAAAGAAGCATGTTGTAACCCATCTCAAGGAAGCTAAAAACCTTGAAAAAAGGTTAGACGAATAGCTCACTAGAATAAACAGTGTAGAGAAGAACTTAAATGAGCTGACATAGCTGAAAACCACGGCATGAGAGCTTCGTGACGCATGCACAAGCTTCAATAGCCAATTCAATCAAGTGGAAGAAAAGATATCAGTGACTGAAAATCAAATTCATGAAATAAAGAGAGAAGACAAGATTAGAGAAAAAAGAGTAAAAAGAAACGAACAAAGCCTCCAAGAAATATGGGACTATGTGAAAAGACCAAATCTATGTTTGATTGGTGTACCTGAAAGTGACGGGGAGAATGGAACCTAGTTGGAAAACACTCTTCAGGATATTATCCAGGAGAGCTTCCCCAATCTAGCAAGGCAGGCCAACATCCAATTCAAGAAACACAGAGAACACCACAAAGATACACCTCAAGAAGTGCAACCCCAAGACACACAATTGTCAGATTCACCAAGGTTGAAATGAAGGAAAAAATGTTAAGGGCAGCCAGAGAGAAAGGTCAGGTTATCCACAAAGGGAAGCCCATCAGACTAACAGCGGATCTCTTGGCAGAAACCCTACAAGCCAGAAGAGAGTGGGGGCCTATATTCAACATTCTTAAAGAAGAGAATTTTCAACCCAGAATTTCATATTCAGCCAAACTAAGCTTCATAAGTGAAGGAGAAATAAAATCCTTTATAGACAAGGAAATGCTGAGAGATTTTGTCACTACCAGGCCTGCCTTACAAGAGCTCCTGAAGGAAGCACTAAACATGGAAAGGAACAACCAGTACCAGCCACTACAAAAACACGCCAAATTGTAAAGACCATCGATGCTATGAAGAAACTGCATCAATCAACGGGCAAAATAACCAGCTAACATCATAATGACAGGATCAAATTCACACATAACAATATTAACCTTAAATGTAAATTGGTTAAATGCCCCAGTTAAAAGACAAAGACTGGCAAATTGAATAAACAGTCAAGATCCATCAGTGTGCTGTATTCAGGAGACCCAGCTCATGTGCAGAGACACACACAGGCTCAAAATAAAGGGATGGAGGAAGATCTACCAAGCAAATGGAAAGTAAAAAAAAGCAGGGGTTGCACTCATAGTCTCTGATAAAACAGACTTTAAACCAACAAAGATCTAAAGACACAAAGAAGGCCATTACGTAATGGTAAAGGGACCAATGCAGCAAGAAGAGCTAACGATCCTAAATATATAAGCATCCAATTCATAAAGCAAGTACTCAGAGACCTATAAAGAGACTTAGACTCCCACACAATAATAATGGGAGACTTTAACACCCCACTGTCAATATTAGACAGATCAATGAGACAGAAGGTTAACAAGGATATCCAGGACTTGAACTCAGCTCTGCACCAAGTGGGTCTAATAGACATCTACAGAACTCTCCACCCCAAATCAACAGAATATGCATTCTTCTCAGCAACACATCACACTTATTCTAAAATTGACCACATAATTAGAAGTAAAGCACTCCTCAGCAAATGTAAAAGAACAAAAATCACAACAAACTGTCTCTCAGACCACAGTGCAATCAAATTAGAACTTAGGATTAAGAAACTCATTAAAAACCGCACAACTACACGGAAACTAAACAACCTGCTCCTGAACGACTACTGGGTACAAACGAAATGAAGGCAGAAATAAAGATGTTCTTTGAAACCAATGAGAACAAAGACGCAATGTACCAGAATCACTGGGATACATTTAAAGCAGTGTGTAGAGGGAAATTTATAGCACTAAATGCCCACAAGAGAAAGGAGGAAAGACCTAAAATTGACTCCCTAACACCACAATTAAAAGAACTAGAGAAGCAAGAGCAAACAAATTCAAAACCTAGCAGAAGGCAAGAAATAACTAAGATCAGAGCAGAACTGAAGGAGATAGAGACACAAAAAAACCCTTCAAAAAATCAATGAATCCAGGAGCTGGTTTTTTGAAAAGATCAACAAAATAGATAGATTGCTAGCAAGACTAATAAAGAAAAAAAGATGAATCAAAGAGACACAAAAAAAATGATAAAGGGGATATCACCACTGATCCCACAGAAATACAAACTACCATCAGAGAATACTATAAACACTCCTACACAAATAAACTAGAACATCTAGAAGAAATGGATAAATTCCTGGACATGTACACACTCCCAAAACTAAACCAGGAAGAAGCTGAATCTCTGAATAGACCAATAACAGGTTCTGAAATTGAGGCAGTAATTAATAGCCTGCCAGCCAAAAAAGTCCAGGACCAGACAGATTCACAGCCAAATTCTACCAGAGGTACAAAGAGGAGCTGGTACCATTCCTTCTGAAACTATTCCAGTCAATAGAAAAAGAGGGAATCCTCCTCAACTCATTTTATGAGGCCAGCATTATCCTGATACCAAAGCCTGGCAGAGACACAACAAAAAAAGAGAATTTTAGACTAATATCCCTGATGAACATCGATGCAAAATCCTCAATAAAATACTGGCCAACCGAATCCAGCAGCACATCAAAAAGCTTATCTAACACAATCAAGCCAGCTTCATGCCTGCGATGCAAGGCTGGTTCAACATATGCAAATCAATTATCTATCACATAAACAGAACCAACGACAAAAACTACATGATTATCTCAATAGATGCAGAAAAGGCCTTTGACAAAATTCAACAGCCCTTCGTTCTAAAACTCTCAAGAAACTAGGTATTGATGGACTGTAACTCAAAACAATAAGAGCTATTTATGACAAACCCACAGTCAATATCATACTGAAACGGCAAAAACTGGAAGCATTCCCTTTGAAAACTGGAACAAGACAAGGATGCCCTCTCTCACCACTCCTATTCAACATAGTGTTGGAAGTTCTGGCCAGGGCAGTCAGGCAAGAGAACGAAATAAAGGGTACTCAATTAGGAAAAGAGGAAGTCAAATTGTCCCTGTTTGCAGATGACATGATTGTGTATTTAGAAAGCCCCATTGTCTCAGCCCAAAATCTCCTTAAGCTGATAAGCAACTTCAGCAAAGTCTCAGGATACAAAATCAATGTGCAAAAATCACAAGCATTCCTATACACCAATAAAAGACAAACAGAGAGCCAAATCATGAGTAAACTCCCATTCACAATTGCTACAAAGAGAATAAAATACCTAGGAATCCAACTTACCAGGGATGTGAAGGACCTCTTCAAGGAGAACTACAAACCACTGCAATGAAATAAAAGAGGACACAAACAAATGGAAGAACATTCCATGCTCATGGATAGGAAGAATCAATATCGTGAAAATGGCCATACTGCCCAAGGTAATTTATAGATTCAATGCTATCCCCATCAAGCTACCAATGACTTTCTTCACAGAAGTTGAAAAAACTACTTTAAAGTTCATATGGAACCAAAAAAGAGCCCACATTGTCAAGACAATCCTAAGCAAAAAGAACAAAGCTGGAGGCATCACGCTACCTGACTTCAAACTATACTACAAGGTTACAGTAACCAAAACAGCATGGTACTGGTACCAAAACAGAGATATAGACCAATGGTACAGAACAGAGGCCTCGGAAATAACAGCAGACATCTATAACCATCTGATCTTTGACAAACCTAACAAAAACAAGAAATGGGGAAAGGATTCCCTATTTAATAAATGGTGCTGGGAAAACTGGCTGGCCATCTGTAGAAAGCTGAAATGGGATCCCTTCCTTACACCTTATACAAAAATTAACTCAGGATGGATTAAAGACTTAAATGTAAGACCTAAAACCATAAAAACCCTAGAATAAACCCTAAGCAATACCATTCAGGACATAGGCATGGGCAAAGACTTCATGACTAAAACACCAAAGCAATGGTAACAAAAGCCAAAATAGACAAATGGGATCTAATTAAACTAAAGAGCTTCTGCACAGCAAAAGAAACTACTATGAGAGTGAACAGGCAACCTATAAAATGGGAGAAAATTTTTGCAATCTATCCATCTGACAAGGGCTAATATCCAGAATCTACAAAGAACTTAAACAAATTTACAAGAAAAAAACAAACAACCCCATCAAGAAGTGGACAAAGGATATCAACAGACACTTCTCAAAAGAAGACATTTATACAGCCAACAGACACATGAAAAAGTGCTCATCATCACTGGTCATCACAGAAATGCAAATCCAAACCACAATGAGATACCATCTCACACCAGTTAGAAGGGCAATCATTAAAAAGTCAGGAAACAGCAGATACTGGAGAGGGTGTGGAGAAATAGGAACACTTTTACACTGTTGGTGAGAGTATAAATTAGTTCAACCATTGTGGAAGACAGTGTGGTGATTCCTCAAGGATCTAGAACTAGAAATACCATTTGACCCAGTGATCCCATTACTGGGTATATACCCAAAGGATTATAAGTCATGCTACTATAAAGACACATGCACATGTATGTTTATTGTGGCACTATTCACAATAGCAAAGACTTCGAACCAACCCAAATGTCCATCAGTCATAGGCTGGATTAAGGAAATGTAGCACATATACACCATGGAATACTATGCAGCTATAAAAAAGGATGAGTTCATGTCCTTTGTAGGGACATAGATGAAGCTGGAAACCATCGTTCTCAGCAAACTATCACAAGGAGAGAAAACCAAACACCACATGTTCTCACTCATAGGTGGGAAATGAACAATGAGAACACATGGACACAGGGCAGGGAACGTCACACACTGGGGCCCGTCAGGGGGTAGGGCACTGGGGGAGGGATAGCACTGGGAGAAATACCAAATGTAAATGACGAGTTCATGGGTGCAGCACACCAACGTGGCACATGTATACCTATGTAACAAACCTGCATGTTGTGCACATGAACCCTACAACTTAAAAGTATAATAATAATAATAAAGAGAAAGACACATGCATGTGTATGTTTATTGCAGCACTATTCACAATACTAAAGACATGGAATCAACCTAGCTGCCCATCAGTGCTGGATTGGATAAAGGAAATACGGTACATATACATCATGGAATACTATGCAACCATTCAAAAAAAAAAACAAAATCATGTCGTTTGTAGCAACATGGATAAAGCTGGAGGTCATTATCCTAAGCGAACTAACACAGGAACAGAAAACCAAATACCACATTCTCACTGGTAAGTGGGAACTAAACACTGAGTACACATGAACACAAATTGGGAAACAATAGACACCAGGGCCTACTTAATGGGGGCTGGAGGGTGGGAGGAGAGTGAGGGTCAAAAAACTACCTATTGGGTATTATGCTCATTACTTGGGTGACAAAATCATTTATACATCAAACCCAGGTGACATACAATTTACCCATGTAACAAACCTGTACATGTATTCCCTGAACCTAAAATAAAAGTTGAGACAATTAAAAAAATTTTCAAAAATGAAACCAGGTTCAATGAACAAAAAAAAATAAAATACATACTATATTTTCAAAGCATTTCTCACAGGTATATTTTAAAGAGTAGGTGGTTATTTTTGAAAAGTAATGCTGTAAATAGTTTTTGTTTCATTCTAGTGCACAAATATTCACAATAATTTTAGTATAATAAGTTTAATACATAGAAAGTTTTAGGTAATAGTAAGTAGAAAATATGAACATTTTTCCTCCTAATGCAGGATTGGTGTGAATTTTATTTTATTTCTTCTTATTATTTTTTGACACAGAGTTTCTCTCTTGTCACTCAGGCTGGAATGCAATGACACGATCTCGGCTCACTGCAACCTCTGCCTCCCAAGTTCGAGTCATTCTCCTGCCTCAGCCTCCTGAGTGGCTGGGATTACAGGCACCCGCCACCATGCCCAGCTAATTTAGGGTGAATTTTAAAGAGAATATTTATGAAAGTGCTTTGAAAAACCAAAATTGTACCTTTAAAACAGATGATAGGTAATAATACCTATAATAAAAGGTATTAATTACTTAGTCATAGGTAATGGTAATAATCTTTGTAATTATTACAATGACAATGATAGGTAACAGTGAAGTAGATGTGTAAAACACAGCTATGCTTTACAGTGTCATTTTATATACTTTTTGTAACAATCTTATGGAATATAAATTATTATCCTCTCTTTACAAATGAGAAAACCAAAGTTCAAAGAACTGTAATAACTTAAGCTAGTAAGTGGCAGAGCTAGGAGGCAGACTCAGCTCCAAAGTCTCTGCTCTCTTTTTTTCACAAATTATTATTGATTTTCAAACATTCAGTATCGCTTCTCAGCCTTTTGGCTAAGATCAAGTGATTTCAAACATTCACAAAAGTTGAAAAAAAATAACACAATGAACACCTATTTACTCATCACAGAGATTAACAACTTTTAACATTTTTTTTTTTGTCATTTCCCTTCCTTTCTTCATTGCCCTCTTTTCCTCACTGTTTTCCTCTCCGTAGCTGGATTGTTTCGAAGTAAATTGCAGGCAGCGCATGCTTCACCAAGAAAACCTTCAGCTTGCATCTCCTAAGAATAAGGATATCTTCAATTTCCTTGTGTCATCTAACACCCAGTTTCTATTAAAACTGAATTTCCTGAATTCTTCCCAAAATGCTTTTTATGGCTGTTTTTCAAACACGAATCAAGGTTCATGCTTTGTGTTTGAGTGTTATATCTTCATTCTAGGCCAGTTTCTTCCACCCGTTTTTAAAATGACATTGACCTTCTGAAGAAACCAAATGAGTTGTTTTGTTGAAGGTCTCACATTCTGTATATGAGAGATTATTTCCTTATAGCTTCATTAATCTTTACTTCGATCCCCTAAATTTTCAGTAAAGCAACCTTTGTTGTTAAATGGCAGATTCTTAACTGAAAAGCACAGGTTGTAAATAAATAAATAAATAAATAAATAACAAAGCAATCCTCGTATTAATTTCTACTGCTAAATAACATTATTTGCTCTGCTAGTAGAAAAATTACTAGGGTGTCTGTCTACAGGAAAGATAGAAGGATGAAGACAATTCACACTTGAATCCCTTTGGTGTAAAAAGCTTATGTCTAATGTTTTCAGGTTTGGCTATGATTTTATTCACATGCACGATTTCTGGGAAAGTTTAAGCACTTGCCTTTTTGGGAACTTTGCCAAAGACACTTAAAAATCTTACAGCTTCTGCCAGTTATGGCAAGTCTGTCTAGAAAATAGAGTGTTTTCTCTGCTATTTAAATGAAATTCAGCCAGATCTTGGAGTTCATCCATACTCAAAAGAGTCCCAGAAGCATCTATGAGCAGTTCTTCACTACTACTCTGCTATTTTTTTTTTTTTTTTTACAAAGCTTCTATTCAAACTTTATTCCATAGGCAACATTTAATTAACTTCCATATTCTGGCCACATTATGTCTAGAAATTTCATGAAATAATAAAAAAAAGTTAATACCAACTCACTTTGTAAAATGTTGCAAAGGTAAATAATAACTGTGTATTCTAAATCTGACACTTGGATCGCATTACAAAGTAAGAAAGGAACGCGAAATGATAAGAAAATTAGGAACGCTGAGGTTTTCTAAGATTCAAGCCATTGTCTAGTTGCTGAATATGCTGTTCATAATGCATGTGCACAAAAGAGTAAGATACATATTGATCTGTACCATTTTTTAAGCTACTATTTATTTTAATTTTTGTGGGAACATAGTAGGTGTATATATTTATGGGGTACATTAGATGTTTTGATATAAGCATGCAATGCACAATAATCACATCACGAAAAATGGGGTATCCATTTCCTCAAGTGCACTTATTCTTTTTTTTTTTTTTTTTTTTTTTTTTTTTTTTTTTTTTTGAGACGGAGTCTCGCTCTGTCGCCCAGGCCGGACTGCGGACTGCAGTGGCGCAATCTCGGCTCACTGCAAGCTCCGCTTCCCGGGTTCACGCCATTCTCCTGCCTCAGCCTCCCGAGTAGCTGGGACTACAGGCGCCTGCCACCGCGCCCGGCTAATTTTTTGTATTTTTAGTAGAGACGGGGTTTCACCTTGTTAGCCAGGATGGTCTCGATCTCCTGACCTCATGATCCACCCGCCTCGGCCTCCCAAAGTGCTGGGATTACAGGCGTGAGCCACCGCGCCCGGCCGCACTTATTCTTTTGGTTAAAAACTATCCGATTATACTCTTAGTTATCTAAAAATGTACAATTAATTATTATTGACTGTGATTACCCTGTTGTGCTATCAAATACCATGTATTATTCATTATTTTCTATTTTTTATACCTATTAACGATCCCCACTCCCGCCACTCCGCACTACCCTTCCCAGCTGCTGGGAAAAGCCTCTACTCTCTGTCTCCTTGAGTTCAATTGTTTTGATTTTTAGATTCCACAAATAAGTGAGAGCACGCGATATTTGTCTTTCCGTGCTTGGCTTATTTCAGTTAGCATAATGACCTCCAGTTCCATCCATGCCGTTGCAAATGGCAGGATCTCATTCTTTTTTATGGCTGAATAGCACCATTGTGACAACTACCACATTTTCTTTTTCCATTTATTTGTTGATGACACTTAAGTTACTTCCAAATTTTGGCTACTGTGAAGAGTGCTGCAACAAACATGAGAGTGCAGATATCTCTTTGATCTACTAATTTGTTTTCTTTTGGGTATATACCTAGCAGTAGCATTGCTGAATCATATAGTAGCTCTATTTTACTTCTTTGAGGAACCTCTAAACCATTCTCCATAGTGATTGTACTAATTTATATTCCCACCCAGCGTGTATAAAGGTTTCCTTTTCTGCACATCCTCACCAGTATTTGTTATTGCCTGTCTTTTGGATATAAGCCATTTTAACTGGGGTGAGATGATGTCTCACTGTAGTTTTGATTTGCATTTCTCTGATGATCAGTGATGTTGAGCACCTTTTCATATGCCTGTCTGCCATTTATGTCTTCTTTTGTGAAATGTCTATTCAGATCTTCTGTCCATTTTTAAATTGGATTATTAGATTTTTTTTCCTATAGAGTTGTTTGAGTTCTTTATATATTCTGGTTATTAATTCCTTGCCGAATGGGTAGTTTGCAAGTACTTCCTTTCATTTTGTGGGTTGTCTCTTCACTTTGTTGATTGTATCCTTTGCCATACGAAAGCTTTTTAACTTGATGTCATCCCAATTGTCCATTTTTGCTTTGGTTACCTGTGCTTGTGGACTGTTATTCAAGAAATTTTGAGTAACCAATGTTTTAGAGAGGTTCCTCAATGTTTTCTTTTAGTAGTTTCGTAGTTTGAGGTGTTAGAGTTAAGTCTTTAATTCATTTTGATTTGATTTTTGGATATAGCAAGACATAGGAGTCCAGTTTTATTTTTCTCTGTGTAGATATGCAGTTTTCCCAGGATCATTTATCAAAGAGACTGTCTTTTTCCCAGTGTATGTTCTTGGTACCTTTGTCACAAATGAGTTCACGAGGTGTGTGGATTAGTTTCTGGGTTCTCTATTCTGTTCCATTAGTCAACATGTCTGTTTTTATGCCAGTACCATGCTGTTTTAGTTACTATAGCTCTGTAGTATAATTTGAAGTCAGGTAATGTGATTCCTCTAGTTTTGTTCTTTTTACTTAGAATAGCTTTGGCTATTCTGGGTATTTTGTTCCATTTAAATTTTAGGATATTTTTTTCTATTTCTGTGAAGAATGTCATTGGTATTTTGATAGGGATTGCATTGATTCTGTAGATTGCTTTGGGTAGTATGGACATTTTAACAATTGGATTCATTTAATTCATTGACATGAAATATCCTTCCATTTTTCAGTGTCCTCTTAAATTTCTTTCATCAGTGCTTTATACTTTATATTATAGAGATCTTTCACTTCTTTGCTTAAGTTAATTCCTATGTATTTAATTTTATTTTTGGCTGTTGTGAATGGGATTACTTTTTAAATTTCTTTTTCAGATTGTTCACTGTTGGCATATATAAATGCTGCTGATTTTTGTATGTTGATTTTGTATCCTGCAACTTTACTGAATTTGTTTATCAGGTCTAATATTTTTCTTGTGGAGTCTTTAGGTTTTGTCAAATGATAATATCACCTGCAAACAAGAATAATTTGACTTCTTCCTTTCCAATTTAGATGCCCTTTACATCTTTCTCTTGTCTGATTGCTCTAGCTAGGACTTCCAGTACTATGCTGAGTAATAGTAATGACCATGGACATCCTTGTCACATTCCAGATCTTAGAGCAAAGGGTTTCAGGTTTTTCCCTTTTCAGTATGATACTAGCTATGGGTCTGTCACATATGGCCTTTATTATTTTGAGATATGTTCCTTCTATACCCAGTTTTTTGAGGGTTTTTATCATGAAGTGATGTTGAATTTTATCAAATGCTTTTTCTGCATCAATTGAAATAATCATATAGTTTTTGTTCTTCATTCTGTTGACATGATGTATCACATTGATTGATTTGCATAGGTTGAACCATCCTTGCATCCCAGGGTTAAATCCCACTTGGTCATAATGAATGATCTTTTTAATATTAGGCTTCCTAGAATGAGTTTGGAAGTTTTTCCTTCTTCCCTATTTTTTGGAATAGTTTGAGTAGGATTGGTATTTGTTCCTGTTCAAATGTTTGGTAGAATTCAGCAGTGAAGCCGTTGGCTCTTGGGCTTTTCTTTAGTGGGAAACTTTTGTTACGTCTTAAATCTCATTACTTATTATTGGTCTGTTCAGGTTTTGGATCTCCTCATGATTCAATTTTGGTAGGTTGTATGTGTCTAGAAGTTTATCCATTTCTTCTAGATTTTCCAGCTTATTGGTATATAGTTGTTCATTGTAGCCACTAATGATCCTTGGAAATTCTGTAGTATCACTTGTAATGTCTCCTTTTTCATCTCTGATTTTATTTTCTTGGATCTCCTCTCTTTATTTCTTAGTCTGACTAAAGGTTTGTCAATTTTGTTTAACTTTTTGAAAAACCAACTTTTTGTTTTATTGATTTGATGTATTGTTTTCTTTGTTGCAATTTCATTTATTTCTGCTCTGATTTTTATTATTTTTCTTCTACTAATTTTGGGTTTGGTTTGCTCTTGCTTTTCTAGTTTTTAAGATACATCTTTAGGTTGTTTATTTGAGGTTTTTCTTCTTTTTTGATGTAGGCACTTAATAGCTATAAACTTTCCTCTTAGTACTGCTTTTGCTATATCCCATAGGTTTTGGTATGTTGTATTTCCATTATCAGTTGTTTCCAGAAATTGCACAATTTCCTTCTTAATTTCTTCATTGATGCACTGGTTGTTCAGGAGCGTATTGTTTAATCTTCGTGTATTTGTGTAGTTTCCAAAATTCCTCTTGTTATTGCTTTCTAGTTTTCTTCCATTGTGGTCAGAGAAGATGCTTAATATTATTTCAATTTTTTTGAATGTTTTAAGGCTTATTTTGTAACCTCATATATGTTCTATCCTTGAGAATGATTCATGTGCTGAGGAAAGGAATGTGTATTCTATAGCCATTGAATAAAATGTTCTGCAAATATCTATTAGATGTATTTAATCTATAGTGCAGATTAGGTTCAATTTTTCTTTGTTGATTTTCTGTCTGGGAGATCTGTCCAATGCTGAAAGTGAGATGTTGAAATCTCTACCTATTATTGTTTGGGACGCATCTCTCTCTTTAGCTCTAATCATATTTGCTTTATATAGCTGGGTGCTCCAGTGTTGGGTGCATATATACTTAAAATAGTTATATCGTCTTCCTGAATTGACCCCTTTATTATTATGTAGTGACCTCCTTTGTCTTTTCTTATAGTTTTTGTCTATTTATTTTGCCTGATAAAAGTATAGCTATTCCTGCTCATTTTTTGTTTCAACTGGCATGGAATATCTTTTTTCCTCCCTTTATTTTCAGTCTATCTGTCTTTATGGGTGAAGTATGTTTCTTATGGGCAACAGATCCCTAGGTCTTGATTTTTTTATTTATTCAGCCACTCTCTGTCTTTTGATTGGAGAGTTTAGGCCGTTTGCATTAAATGTTATTATTGATGAGTAAGGACTTACTGCTGCCATTTCATTTGTTTTCTGGTTGTTTTGTGATCTCCTCCTCCTTCTTTCCTTCTTGTCTTCCTTTTAGTAAATATGATTTTCTCTGGTGATATAATTTAGTTTCTTGCTTTCTATTTTTTATGTATCCATTGTATATTTTTTAGTTTGAGGTTACCATGAGGCTTACAAATACTATTTTATAGACCATAATTTTAAGCTTATAACAACTAAATACTGTTTGCATGAACAAACAAACAAGCAAAAAGAAAACTAAAGAAGACTCTACACCTTAACCTTGTTTCTCTGTTTCTAACTTTGTGTTGTTACTATTTATATCTTATTATAGTGTCCATATCTTGAAAAATTGTAATTATTTTTGATTGGTTCATCATTTAGTCTTCATCTTAAGAGTAGTTTACATGTCACAGTTACAGAGTTATAACATTCTGTGTTTGTCTCTGTACTTACTATAACAGAGTTTTGTACCTTCAGCTGATTTATTGCTCATTAAAATACTTTTCTTTCTCATTGAAGTTTTCTTTTTAGTATTTCTTGTAGGACAGGTCTGATATTGATGAAATTCCTCAGTCTTTGTTTGTCTTGGAAAGTCTCTATTTTTCCTTCATGTTTGAAGGATGTTTTTGCCAGATATTCTATTTTAGGGCAAAAGTTTTTTTCCTTCAGTACTTTAAATATATAATGTCACTCTCTCCTGGCCTCTAATGTTTCCACTGAAAAATCTGCCGCCAGACATATTGGAGCTCCATTGTATGTTACTTATTTCTTTTCTCTTGCTGCTTTTTTAAATAACCCTTTCTTTATCTTTGACCTTTGGGAGTTTGATTATTAAATACCTTTAGGTAATCTTCTTTGAGTTTAATCCGCTTGGTGTTCTATAACCTTCTTGTACTTGGATATTTATATCTTTCTCCAGATTTGGGAAGTTCTGTGTTATTAGCCCTTTGAATAAACTTTCTACTCCTATCTCTTTCTCTACCCCTCTTTAAGGCCAATTGTTCTTAGATTTCCCTTTTTGAGGCTATTTTTTAGATCCTGTAGACATGTTCATTGCTTTTTATTCTTTTTTTCCTTTGTACTTCTGACTATGTGTTTTCAAATAGTCTGTCTTAAAGCTCACCTATTTATTCTGCTTGATAAATACTCCTATTAAAATACTCTGATGCATTTCTTCAGTATTCCACTTGCATTTTCAGCTCCAGAATTTCTGCTTGAGTCTCTTTATTATTTCAATTTTCTTGTTAAATTTATCTGATAGAATTCTTAATTATTTCTCTGTGTTTTCTTGAATTTCTTTAAGTGTACTCAACACAGCTATTTTGAATTCTCTGTCTGAAAGATCACATATCTCTGTTTCTCCAGGATTAGTCCCTGGTGCCTTATTTAGTTTATTTGGTGAGGTTATGTTTCTCTGGATGGTGTTGATGCTAGTAGATGTTCTTCGGTGTCTGGGTGTCTGGGCATTGAAGAGTTAGGTATCCATTGCAGTCTTCTCAGTCTGGTCTTTGTACTTGTTCTTCTTGGGAAGACTTCCCAGATATTTGAAAGAACTCGAGTGCTGTGATCTAAGCTGTATCTGCTTTAGGAAGTACCCCAAGCCTAGTAACACTGTGGTTCCTGCAGATTCATAGAAGTGCTGCCTTGATGGTCTTGGACAAGATCTGGAAGAATTCTCTGTATTAACAGGAAAAGACTCTTGTTCTCTTCCCTTAATTTCTCCCAATCCAATGAAGTCTCTGTTCTAAGCCACCTGGAGCTGGGGGATGGAGTGACACAAGCACCCCTGTGGCCACCACGACCACCACTAGGATTGCGTTGGGTCAACCTGAAGCCAACACAACACTGGGTCTTGCCAAAGCCTACTGTAACTACTCCCTGGCTACAGCCTATGTTTGCTGAAAAACCTGGGTCTCTACAATTAGCAGGTAGCAAAGCCAACCAGGCCTTTGTCTTTCCTTTTCCTACCTGAGGTCCCCCAGGCCCTGGGCAGGTCCAGGAGCCAGGGACTAGAGTCAAAAACCTTAGAAGCCTACCTTGTGTTCTATTGTACTGTGGCTGAGCTGGCACACAAATCACAAGACACAGTCCTTTCCACTCTTCTCTCCCCTTTCCAAAGGCAGAGGAGCTTCACTCCATGGCTACCACCATCATAGGCCCATGGGAAATACTGCCAGACTACTGCCAATGTTTCCATAGGGCCCAAGCACTCTTCAGTCAGCTTGTGGTGAACGCTGCCTTCCCTGAGACTCACCCTTCAGGGAAATGGGCTCCCCTCTACCCCAGGGCAGGTCCAGAAATGCCATCCAAGAGCCAAGTCCTGGAATTGGGGACCCAAGAGCCCACTTCATGCTCTCTCCCACTGTGGCTGAGCTGGTACCTAATGTGCACAACAAAGTCCCTTTTACTTTTCCCTCTGCTTTTCTTAAGTGGAAGGAGTCTCACCCCATAGACAGCACAGCTGGGAA
Source organism: Homo sapiens (assembly GCF_000001405.40). Lineage (NCBI taxonomy): Eukaryota > Metazoa > Chordata > Mammalia > Primates > Hominidae > Homo > Homo sapiens. Next base: position 69,621,811 of record NC_000003.12, on the reverse strand, counting down.
TGTGCTGAGTCTCATCTGAAGCCAGCAAGTTTCAGAGTCTCATCCAAGGCCCTTGGTGTAGTACCTGGATATCACTGCTGGCTATTCAAGGCCCAAGGGCTCTTAAATTAGCAGGTGATGATACCTGCCAAAATTGGGTTCTTTCCTCCAAAGGAGCAGGTTTCCTTCTGGCCCAGGGTGTGTCCAGAAATGTCATCCAGGAGCTAGGACCTGGAAAGGGGGCCTCACAACTCTGACTGCTGCCCTATCCTGCTGTAGCTGAGCTGGTATCCAAGATGCAAGACAAAGTCCTCTCCATTCTTCCCTCTCCTCTCCTCAAGCAGTGGGAAGAGGTCTCTTTTGGAGCCACAAGCTGTGTAGCCTAGGGTTAGGGGAAAGGAGATGCCAGCATTCCCTTAGCCATCCTGGCCTGTGTCTCAGTAGTTCATCTGTCACCATCCCCTGTCAGTCCACTGTCTCTGGGCTCAGTTCAGCACTAGGACTCACCTAGGAGTTGCAGTCTTTGTGGTTTATATTGTCTTTCAAGTTTATTTAGGGCCCCAGAGCCCTTTACCTTGTAGTGGCAGTTCTCCTGATGAATTCCTGATGAAAATATAGGGAAATCACTAAGGAATTTTAATTAGGGGAGTAAATGGTCATATATGTATTTTATATAGTTTACTCTGAAACTTGCATGGGAAGTCAGTTTGTGGCATTTAAGGCCAGAGCAGACAGACCAATTAGAAATCATCTAGGCAAGAGGTACTAAAGGCTTTTTTGAAACTAGGATAGTAGAAGGAAAACAAAGAGAGGAGGAAAGGTTTATTAAACGTAGTAATTAGATCAAAACAAGCAATCAATGAATCCAATCGATGGTTCTCAAACTTCAACTTACCTCAGAATCACCTGGAGGTGTTTGAAACACCTTGTTGAAACGCAGATTTCTGGACACAACCCTAGACTTCCTGATTCTATAGGTATGAGATGGGGACCAAGAATAGACATTTCTTGCAAGTTCCCAGGTGGTACTGGTGCTGACGGTTGTTGGAACCACACTTAAGAACGAAGTATAGCAGATATCTGCTGGTTTTTTTCCTTGTCTGTTCTTCCAGATACAACATCTGATTCTGGCTCCAGTGAAATCCTTTTCGTCATTGGATACAGTCACACAGGAATTGTGGATCAAGGTGTCTCACCCTCCCTTTATCACAGATAGACCATGCCGATATGCTGTCTTATTTTGGATTTTGATTCCTGAGCAAAATGAACCAGAGACTGAGAGCAGCTGAGTTGATACACTGTGTTGGCCACTTCCCACACAGATTGCCCATTTGTTTCTTCCCTGATTCCTTTTCCAAGACTAAATCTTCAGTATTTCCTTCAAAATCATCCCATATATTTCCATTTTGCTTGTTTGTTTGTTTAACAAGTTGTTTGTTTGCTTAGGTTAGCCAGAGTTTTTCTGTTCCTTGCAACCAAAGTCTCCAACTGAAATCTAGGGAGCAAGGGAAACTTGGTAGGGTAACTGTATTCATTTCCTATGGCTGCTATGAGAAACTAGCAGAAACTTTATGGTTTAAAATGACAGAAGTGTATTCTCTCACAGTTCTGTAGATCACAAATCCAAAATCAATATCACTGGGCTAAAATCAAGTTTTCAGCAGGATCATGCTTCTTTTGGAGACTCTCAGGGAGAATCTTTTCCTTGTCTCTTGCTGCTTTTGGTGGCCACTCACATTCCTTGATTTGTGGACACATAAATCTAATCTTTGCCTTCACAGTAATGTTGTCTCCTCCTCTTTTGTGTGCATAATTTTTTTCTGCCTGCCTCTCTGTTGTAAGGAAATTTTTGAGGGTCTACCTGTATAAACCAGGATAACCTCCTCACTTTTTGACCCTAATTTGGTCACATCTGGGAAGTCCCTTTTTCCAAATAAGGTTAACACAAGTTCCAGGATTAGGGTGTAGATATTTTGGGGACCATTATTTTTCAGCCTAACAGAGTTACCAAGGATTATGCTGGTGAAAGTCACCACGGAAGCAAGCATTAAAAGTCATAAACGCTGAAGAAACACTATTGAAGCAAGCACTGAAAGTCATAAACAAACTCGAGCTTGTTTGCTTTCACCTTAAATTCTTCTTTTTGCTACAAACAACGGAAGTGTGACCCATTGTCTCAGTATACCTGGGCTTTCTGAGTTTTAGCACTAGAAAGTCCTATATCCCTAAGAATCCCTCAGTTCTTGGCAAGGAAGGTTGGTTGGCTACTCTAATTTATCTCTCCATTAGCTTTAGAACACTAGCCTAGAAAGAATTGTCAAATTTAAACATTTTTCCTAGAGCAGAAAATACTAGCAGATATATGGGATGCAGGTCTCAGGCAAAATGAGCCTGGAGAGATATCAACAGAGCAAGTAACTGAGTAGATTGGCATTAATTGCCAACGGTCAAACTTGAAAGCAAGGTTTATTTCCCAAGAAAGACAAAGGCAAAGATTTAGTGGGATGATTTTTAATAAATAGTAATCAGCTTCTTTGAAACTCCCTGCTGTAAGAAGGCAAAATAAATGGGTAAATTGCTTTCGGTGCAATGGGACAAGTTTATGGCCTTGTTTTTCTACATGTGGCTCCTCCTGTCTACTAGGAGCATAATTATCCATGAGTACTTATTAGAAATGCTGGCTCTTGGGCCCACCATACAATTCATGACTCAGAATTTCTGGGATTGAGGGCCAGAAATCTGGATCTTAAACAATTATTATAAGAATGATCTTTTAATGCACATTAGTATGAGTAGGCCCTACAGTAACTCCCAGTAATTTCCTACCTTGTGGTGTCCACTTTTGTGTAATTCCATCCCCTTAGTGTGGGCAGGACCTGTGAGTTGCTTCCAACCAACAGAATAGTACAAAGGGATGGGATAGTACTCTCATGAATACATTACATTATATAGGACTGTTTCAGCAGACTAGAGGAAGAGACTCTCCCTTTTGAGGGGCTTGGAGAAGTCTACAAGGCAAGGAAAGGTGGGCATTCCCTAGACTGATAATCAGCAAGAAAATCAGCATCTCAGACCTACAGGAGATGAATACTGACAACAATGTGAGGGAGGTTGGAAGAGGATCTTTCCCCAGTTGAGCCTCCAGATGAGAACGCTTTCCAAGGTGACACCTGGATTGCAAGCTGCTGAGACCCTAAATCAGAGAGTGCAATGAAACTGCCTGAATTACTGACCTACAGAAACTGTAAAATAATAAATATGTATTGTTTTAATCTGCTAAATGTGTTGTCATTTGTTACTCTGCATTAGATAACTAATACAACACCTAAAACTAGAGAACTATCACACTGTGTTGGAAGGCATGGGCTCAGGAAAACAGACCTGCTTCAACTCCTAGGTCTGCCTTTTTTCAGCTTTGTAACCTTAGAAAATAACAAAATCTCTTTAAGCTTCAGTTTCCTCATGGTCATTGTGAGAGTTGAATGTGATAGCACCTGTCAAACTTGAGCACAGAGCCAGTCACCTAGTAAGAGCTCAACACATTTAATTTCCCACTTGATAAGAAGTAGTTTAAAGTCTAACATAGTCTAACAATGCAGACTATCAAATAATTGTTTATCAAAGTGGTGTTGGGAGCTCCTTCACTGTGTATTTTTTAGGATTAAACAAAGAGACACAGCAGAAAGATCACTGAAGAACCATAATTTTTGATAGATCCAAACAGCTACCATCTGTATACACAAGTGAGTGATTAGTAGTTACCCACCACTATCACTTCTTAGATCAGTCTCTAGGGTAAAAATATGGTGGATGATTCCACTGATTGGAAGCTGGGAAGATTGAAATCAATTCGAAAGGCAAGTTTGTAAGCAGGCTACAAACAAGCAGTTTTGGAATGCTTGGCTGTGGTTCTTCCCAAAGGGAAGAGAACCAACTCCTGAATATTTTCAGAACCCAAAATAACTCATGCATAGGCTATTGGGCACTGCATGGCCTCAAAGAATGCCTCTCAAACATGCTTCTGATGGCTTGCCTAAAAATTACCTGGGGGACTCTTGCAAACACACAGCTCTAGAGCACACTCCCAGATATTCTGCTACAGTAGGTCTTGGGTGGGCCCAAGAATTTGCATTTCTAGCAAGATTGCTGGTGATGCTAATACCACTGGTCCAGGGACCACACTTTGAGTAGCACTGTCCTAGACTGGAGGCAAGCATAAATGAACCATGATTTTCTTGAAATATTTGGGGAATTTTATTGCATCATGCAAAAATGCAGGAGCTACAACAATGGGCAGGAGTTAAAGAAAGACAGAATTTGTCTTATTCTGACAAAAACAAAAATGTCCTAATCGTTAGATCTGACTAACAATGAAATCTACTTTTATTAAATAGTGAGTTTCGGCCGGGCGCGGTGGCTCACGCCTGTAATCCCAGCACTTTGGGAGGCCGAGGCGGGCGGATCACGAGGTCAGGAGATCGAGACCATCCCAGCTAAAATGGTGAAACCCCGTCTCTACTAAAAATACAAAAAACTAGCCGGGCACCTGTAGTCCCAGCTACTTGGGAGGCTGAGGCAGGAGAATGGCGTGAACCCGGGAGGCGGAGCTTGCAGTGAGCCGAGATCCCGCCACTGCACTCCAGCCTGGGCGACAGAGCGAGACTCCGTCTCAAAAAAAAAAAAAAAAAAAAAAAAAAAAAAAAAAAAAAAATAGTGAGTTTCTTGTTCCTAGAAATAGTCAAACAAAAGCAAAAGCATAACATTATTGCCAAAGGCTAAAGATAGTATCAAATCGCAACCGCAGTGGGCATCATTAGATACCCTTCCAGTACAGTAACCATGTTGCCTGTGTGCAATTGAACCCACACCCAGCTCCATAATATCTCAGTTTCTTCATTTGTGAAACAGGGTAATAATTTGAGAGTTACATGAGAATTATCCATCTTAGGTTGTGTTCCTGGAGAGATAGGTTCTGAAAAGGTTAGAGGCAGGAAGTTTATTAGGGTGTGTTCACAGGATCAGCTCTTCTAGGGAGGGAGGGCAGCAAGATTAGGCAAAAAAGAAATGGAGCTGTGATATAATTACAAGAGTACTTCAGTTCTGGAACTCTAATGGCCCTTTCAATTTGTCCCAAGTTATGATGGGTACCACAACGTTATACTGTTTTATGCACCAGTCTTTGGACACAGGCTGTCCCTGTAAGGCACTCAACCTTCAGCAAGGCAGCTTCCTCTCACCAAGGGAAATTCCTGGTGAGAGCTGACCACTAAGAGCTATCAGAATGTACCAATCCTGGAGAGGGAGTCAGAAAATACAGCACACCAACTACTAACACCTGTGACATGTTTAAAACAAGGTCTAGTACGTGGCTCTTGGTAGGAATGTAAATTAGTACAACTACTATGGAAAACAGTATGGAGGTTCTTCAAAAATCTAAAAACAGAACTACCATATGATCCAGCAATTCCACTACTATGTATATATCTAAAGGAAATGAAATAAGTATGTTAAAGAGATAGCTGCAGTCCCATGTTTATTGTAGCACTATTCACAATAGCCAAGATATAGAATTAACTTAAGTTGATTCATTCATTAACAAATGAATGAATAATGAAAATGTGGTATATACACAATTGAATACTATTTAGCCATAAAAATGAATGAAATTCTGTAATTCACAGCAACATGAGCTTGAAAGACATTATGTTAAGTGAAATAAACCAGACACAGAAAGATCAATACTACATGTTTTCATCCATATGTGAAAGCTAAAAAGTTGATCTCAGAAGTAGAGAGTGGACTAGTGATTACTAAAGATGGAAGGGGTAGCCAAATTTTGGTTAACAGATACAAAAATATAGCTAAATAGGAGGAATCAGTTCTAGTGTTTATAGCACTGGAGAATGATAATTATATCATTAACAACAATTTGTTGTATATTTTCAAATATCTAGAAGAGCAGATTTTGAATATTCTCAACATAAAGAAATAATAAAGTTTGAGGTGATGAGTATGCTCATTACCCTATTTTAATCATCACACATTGTATACATGTATCAAAATATCACACTGATGTACCATTAGTATGTGTCGATTAAAAATAACAATAAAATCAAAAAGCAAAAATAAGTACATGGTAAGTGTGGTGACTACTAGTTATTATTACTTATTTTTATTGTAATCTATAATGTATGTCAAATTTCCAAGATACCGTTTTGTCCTTAAATGAAAACTACTGCTATAGCCTTAATGGAAAAACGTATCTTTGGTTATGTGGTCATTAATTCATTTTTTCAGGGAAAAAACCCTTAAAACTATTCATTTACAAGTGTACATAAAACACACATGATGGGACAGTATAAAATGCAGATGAAAGAAGAGAAATAAGGACAGTGGCATAAAGTGACAACCCTATTTAAGTTAACATGCTGAGTTTTTTCTTTAGAGTACTTAGCATCATTCAGAATTATACGTTTATTTGCATGATCACTTATTCAATGCTTCATTTTACTAGTCCAAAATTATCAGGGGATAGGAAGCATTTTATTTTTTTATTTTTTATTTTTTTTCAGCTTCTAACTGATTTCTTTTTTTTTTTATTATACTTTAAGTTTTAGGGTACATGTGCACATTGTGCAGGTTAGTTACTTATGTATACCTGTGCCATGCTGGTGCGCTGCACCCACTAACTCGTCGTCTAGCATTTTAAAGAGCATCTCAAGTCTGTAGGGTGGAATCTGACACATACATACTCAAATCTTTATTGAATGAATGAATGCCTGAAATAAGAAGTAACAGTGAAGTTAAGAAAGGATGCCATAATGACCTGACACATTTATTAAGAGTAGACTAAAAATTTGAGGCCTTATTTCCTGGCTGCCATTGAAAAAAAACAGAACCTGATCAATTAAAAAAATCAGGATTAATAGCATTTAAAAAAGAAATTCTCAGTAGCATAACCATTCCGGATATTGAGAACAGATGAAAATCTCCTTGCCTGATCTTCATGAGGAGAGTAGATACTTCCTCATTCCAGGAACAACCACCTCAACAGCATTCATACAATTCATGCAGTCATGTTTCATCAGACTGTTTTGGAGAGCTTTCCCACCGTATAAACTGTTGGCCTCATGGAGTAAGACTATTAGCAACAGCAGGTAACCTGGTGTCTGCCATTAAGGCTTGATCCAAAGAAGATTTTAGAATATTTGGAAGAGCAATTGGTTATATTCCCTGGCAACTGCCTAGGGCCATGACTCTCAGCCAGTGTATCACACCACACGCATGTGCCGAAAAAAACTTTCATAGATGTGCGGTGAAATTGTCTCCAGTACTAGAACAGGAATGTCCAATCTTTTGGCTTCCCTGGGCCACATTGGAAGGAGCAGAATTGTCTTGGGCCACACATAAAATACACTAACGCTAACAATAGCTGATGAGCTAAAAAAAAAAACGAACCACAAAAAAATCTCATAATGTTTTAAGAAAGTTTACAAATTTGTGTTGGGACACATTCAAAGCTGTCCTGGGCTGCATGTAGCCCATGCGCCGCAGGTTGGACAAGCTTGATCTAGAATGTATATTATATGCAGTTATAGCAATTGAATACTGAGCCTAATGGATCATAGGGCACTCTGTAGAGGCAAGTCCTATCTACTGCAAGACCAGATGAAAGGAGCCAGCTCGAGAGTGGATTCTGCTGTTTCTAAGTTCATGTTCTGTAGCTTCATATTGGCAGCATAAAATCAGCCTTGAAAGAATTTACACTGTGCGAATCAGCAAACTCTACAAATAAGTGTTTTATGTTTTCCTCAAAGGGCCTATTTACCAGTACCACTGGTAAATGAAGGCTGGGCTGGATAAAAACTAAGTGAGAAATTTGTTTCTTGAGCATATAAGAGAGCACGGTTAGGGCTGATGATAGTCCCATCCGAACTGCAATATGACAGAGGGATGATAAAGTAAGAAGGGTGCTAACTGGAGACTTGTTTAGACACTGTAAGATGAGGTTGTGCTGTAGAGGTGACAGTGTTGTAACTGTCTGTGACTTGTTTCGTGCTGTTTTGAGTTTTCTAATTCCCTTTAAGTAGGCTGCCAAAATTTCTATGCCAGTGGAGTCTTGTGGCTCCACTGGACCAGAGAAAGATGAGAAAGTAAACAATGTTAAAGCAGTGAGCAATTCACTAAATGGATATGCAAGTCACAATAATAAGCCTGAGGTAGGTGGACATAAAGCTGTGTCCTTCGGTTGCTTTCATTTCCCTCGTTCCCCTCAGAGAGTGAGAATCTTGTTGTCCCGAGGTGTGATTCGGTTGTATAAAATGATGTATTTCTCAAACAACATGGCCCTTCAATGCAAGCCAACTACTTCATCTGGTGTCAACCACAGAACCAGCCATCTGTTTCAGGGCTGGAAGAAAAACTGTTGGCCTTAATAATGGATATAAAGACAATGTATTTTATGATCAACTTCAGGGATTTTTCAAGGGGATTTTGACTTTACATAACTTTTCTTAACCCCTGCACGAAACACAATTCCACTTTTTAGAAAGCAGAAAGACAATACTAAATGAGATTCTAACTGCTGGATTAGAAAGCAACTGTTCCACTTCTGGGTGGATTCAGAGTCAAAGGACTCAGGGGAAACCCAACTGGGGGTAGAGTCCTTTCAGCATCCTCTTGTGAAAGTTGAGAAACCAATAGAAGATGTGCACTGGAATGGAAGACAATCTCATCACCACACAGAGGAGAGCAGGAGGAATAATCCTCTTAGGTAATCACAACTGAAGTGCCTGCAGAGCTGGGTACCGCCTGGATCATCACCAAAACACCAGGGTTTCATTATGTAACTGTCAGTGTAAATGTCAAAACACTTTCTCATAGGAGGAAGGGCAATTTCCTTTAATTTAGCTTCCTGATTGCTTTCCACATGAAGATGCCATACGCAGACATCATCCTGACAATATTCTACATTTTCTATCATATATGCATTATACTGGTCTAAATGGAACTTAAAAATATAGTTATCAAATAGGCCCAGCTACACAAGAAGATTCAGTATCAACAAAACAAAAAGTGCTGGCTATAGGGTCCAGGGAATAGCAGACACCAAGATTGTAGACAATTATTTATGTTATAATTCTTCTACCTTTCACATCTTTTCCTATCCTTTCTGCTTGGTTGGCACTATTTAACAGAGAGTAAACGGACAAAATCAAGTGCAGAAATGGCTCTTCATTTCTATCAATCACAACACTGATTTTAATGACCCCCTCAGTGTGTGGACAACTTTATATAAATTTTAGTTACAGAGATTCCTGACTGATTATCATGTTTAAGCCACCAGAGTCCTCTCGAGGGTAAATACAACCAAAAAACTTCAATTCAATTTAAAAGTCCAAATCCCCAGCTCATATCTGGTCTTTGTGGGGTGGAGTTACCCTGCCTGGCTTATGTTTGTGGATCTGACTGGGTGTATTGGAGAATATTCATTCAGTGCAAAGGAATCTCCTGGGATCAAAAAAAGACAAGATTTCCTGTCTCTTCAAAGGAGAAAAGGCAGGTTCCATTGACCGTATATATCTGAAATATGATAACTCCAACAAGACAGTGAGAACATCACCATCTCTGTTGTAGTGAGATCAGGAAATCATTCTTTAATTACTGGAGGAAGAACTAGTGGTGAGTAGGTGAGGAATGGGAGAGAAATTAATTTGCCATAGACAAAATTTAGCTAATTAAAAGCATTTAGATATAACAGCAGGAATAGCTAATTTTTTGTAGTGGCTTTACAGCTTGTTCACCATGATTCACAGTGAGGAATACATTTTACGTTGTAACTAAGGAATCCCCCTCTGCTTTAACCCTTAACAAAAAATAACCTCGAGTAACCTGATGTCACTCAATCAGGTTTCTTTCTATTGTTTTGTTTCCTTGTCCCCACCTTACAAAAACCATTGTTCTGCCACAGCCCATTGAGAGCTCTCCTTCTGCCATCTGGATTCATGAATCTCAAATAAAAGCCAACTAGATCTATAACTAAATTTGTTGTCATTTTGTCTTTTGACAGTGGCATTCTGCTTACTGTTGGCTGATCGGCCCTGCTCTGTGGGTTTCAGTAGCCAACAGACTAGCCTAGGCACATCCTTCTCACGGTGATGGAAGATGGAGTGAGTCGGAGCAGGTTCAGTCTCCCAAGCATCATGTTTGCTAATATCCCATTACACAAAAGAAACAAGTCAGAGTAGAAAATCACTACAATGTATCCATGCAGTACAGGGCATGGATACAGGGAGGCATGAGGCATGACAATTTGAGACCACCTTTGCCATTAACCAGAGCTATGATGATGATCTTGGAGCTTCTGCTAGATGCTTTGCATAAAGCAGGTTAAATCTTGACAATAACCCAATACTGTGATAATAAGGATTCTTGACTGCAAGTGACAGAGTGCCCATACAAACAATGTCAAGCAAAAGTCTATTTAACTGGAAAGTAAACCAGTAAAGGTTACTTAACATGTCTGAGCTACAGCATGGCTGGATATACGAACCCAGATGGGATCTTTGATGTTCTATGTCTCTCCATGTCTCAATTTTGCTTCCCCTGTGTGACAGATCCATTCTGGAGACAACATTTTCCACAAAGCCCCTAAAAGCAACTCCAGGTTTAAATTATCCCCACAGCTTGAAATGAAGGTGACTGTATTAGTCTGTTTTCACACTGCTGATAAAGACATACCCAAGACTGGGGAAAAAAAAAAGAGGCTTAATGGATTGTGGGGAGGCCTCACAATCTTGGCAGAAGGCAAGGAGGAGAAAATCATGTCTTACATGGATGGTGGTGGGCAAAGAACTTGTGCAGGGAAACTTCTCTTTTTAGAACCATCAGATCTCATGAGACTTATTCACTATTGCAAGAACAGCGTGAGAAAGACCCGTCCGCATGATTCAATTACCTCCCACTGGTTCCCTCCCAGGACACATAGGAATTGTGGGAGTTACAATTCAAGATGAGATTTGGGTGGGGACACAGCCAAACTGTATCATTCCATTCCTGGCCCCTCCCAAATCTCATGTGCTCACATTTCAAAACCAGTCATGACTGCCCAACAGTTCCCCAAAGTCTTAACTCATTTCAGCATTAACTCAAAAGTCCACAGTCCAAAGTCTCAGCTGAGACAAGGCAAGTCCCTTCCACCTATGAATCTCTAAAATAAAAAACAAGTTAGTTACTTCCTAGATACAATGGGAGTACAGGCATTGGGTAAATACAGCCATTCCAAATGGGAACAATTGGCCAAAACAAAGGGGCTACAGGGCCCATGCAAATCCAAAATCCAGTGGGGCAGTCAAATTTTAAAGCTTCAAAATGATCTACTTTGACTCCATGTCTCAAATCCAGGTCATGCTGATGCAAGAGGTGGCTTCCTATGGTCTTGGGCAACTCCACCCTTGTGGCTTTGCAGGGTACAGCCTCCCTTTCAGCTGCCTTCAAAGGCTGGCATTGAATGTCTGAGGCTTTTCCAAGCACACAGTGCGAGGTGTCAGTGGATCTACCGTTCTGCGGTCTGGAGTACAGTGATCCTCTTCTAACAGCTCCACTAGGCAGTGCCCCAGTGGGGACTCTGTGTGGGGGCTCCAACTCCACATTTCCCTTCCACACTGCCCTAGCAGATATTATCCATGAGGGCCCTGCCCCTGCAGCAAACATCTGCCTGGGCATCCTGGCATTTCCATGCATCTTCTGAAATCTAGGTGGAGGTTCCCAAACCCTAGTTCTTGACTTCTGTGCACTCACATGCTCAATACCATGTGGAAGCTGTCAAAGCTTAGGGCTTCCACCCTCTGAAGCCATGGCCCAAGCTCTACATTGGTCCCTTTCAGCTGGAGTGGCTGGGATGCAGAGCACCAAGTCCCTTGGCTGCACACAGCACAGGGACCAAGTCCCTTGGCTGCACACAGCACAGCCAACACAATAACTTTTTGTTCCTAGACCTCCAGGCCTGTGATGGGAGGGGCTGCTGTGAAGACCTCTGACATGCCCTGGAGACATTTTCCCCATTGTCTTGGGGATTAACATTGGCTCCTTGTTACTTATGCCAATTTCTGCAGACAGCTTGAATTTCTCCTCAGAAAAAGGAATTTTCTTTTCTATCATGTTGTCAGGCTGCAAATATTCTGAACTTTTATCCTCTGTTTCCCTTTTAAAACTGAATGCCTTTAACAGCACCAAAGTCACCTCTTGAATGCTTTGCTGCTTACGAATTTCTTCTGCCAGATACCCTAAATCAACTCTCTCAAGTTCAAATTCCACAACTCTCTAGGGCAGGGGCAAAATGCTGCCAGTCTCTTTGCTAAAACATGAGTCTCCTTTGCTCCAGTTCCCAACAAGTTCCTCGTGTCCATTTGAGACCACCTCAGCCTGGATTTCATTGTCCATATCATTATCAGCATTTTGGTCAAAGTCATTCAACAAGTCTCTAGGGCGTTCCAAACTTTCCCGCATTTTCCTGTCTTTTGAGCTCTCCAAACTGTTCCAACCTCTGCCTGTTACCCATTTCCAAAGTCGCTTCCACATTTTTGGATATCTTTTCAGCAGCGCCCCACTCTACTAGTCCCAATTTACTGTATTAGTCTGTTTTCACACTGCTGATAAAGACATACCCAAGACTGGGAAGAAAAAGAGGTTTAATGGACTTACACTTCCACATGGCTGGGAGCCCCACAATCATGGCAGATGGCAAGGAGGAGCAAGTCATGTTTTACATGGGTGGTGGCAGGAAAAGAGAGAGAGAGCTTGTGCAGGGGAATTCCTCTTTTTAAAACCATCAGATCTTGTGAGACTTACTCATTATTTCAAGAACAGCACAAGAACGATCTGCCCCCATGATTCAATGACCTCTTATTGGATCCCTCCCAGGACACATGGGAATTGTGGGAGTTAAAATTGAAGAGGAGATTTGGGTGGGGACACAGCCAAACCATATCAGTGACCAACCATCCTAAGATTGAGAAGTTTCCTGAGATGGGGGGACAGTCAATGCTAAAACCAAGAAAACCCCAGGCAGATGTGAATGAGTTCATCATCCTACTTGCCATATCAGAACAGCAGGCATTTTACCCATGCATTTTGCAGAAAAGTCACTTGACAGACTCTCATTGGCCTGGCCTAGATCATATGTCTATTCCTGAACTAATGTCCGTGGCCAGGAAGATGAGGACTCTGGTCAAGATCAGGTAATCTTCTGACCAATCATGGGGTTAACTCTTCCCAAGTTTTATGAAAAGTGTGTGGAGTTGATACTCAAAGGAAAGGACCCTGGATAAGATATGCAAATGATGTAAATCACTTGAGTACTGTTGTCCCCATTTTGTAGATGAAGAAATAGAATCTTAAGAAATAGGATCTGAGAGGTGGAAGGATTTGCCAAGGCAACAAGCAACAAAGTAAATGGCCAAGAACCACAATTTGAATCATAATCTTTCTGGCTTTAAAGTCTTCACTCTTTCTACTACACAGGGCTGCTTGCCTATAGCAGTAATAATACACATTTTCTGAAGCCCAATGAGCACTTGAAAAACAAAATTATGCTTATTAAAATGTAAAGAAACTTTAAATACCCTACTTTCCAATTCAGTAAGGGGAGAGAAATAAAATTCCCTGGGAACAGCTTTTTTTCCCATGGATTCCTTTTGCCAAAATATAAACAACTAATTGCACAACTTAAGAATTTTTTTTGCTGAAACATGACCAACTGATTAGACAATTTAAGGAGTTTTAGGTTATGTTCCTATGTGCCAGGAGTACCAGGAAAATCCCCCTCCCCACCTCATACTCACTGAAGGAGACCAAGAAGAATTGCTATTGAATGCATCTGAGCTACCCTCATGTTCCCAATGGCTGCTGAGACATTTTACAAGCCATCCTCTTTCCCCTCCCTCTCCTCCCCAGAGTGGCCATTGGTCACATCCAGCCACAGTAATCTCTCTTGAGTCTGAGATACTTTGGAGCTTAGCTTATTTGGGGAAAACAGAGGACGAAATTTCTGTTGCTTAGGCTAAGGAGAAACTTGGACACGCAATGTCCATGAAGAATAGACATCCCCAGTGCCTTTGCCCGAAATGACTCTTTTGGCCTTTCTGAGAGATGAGCACCAGCCAGAGCTGACAGTTGGTGGACCCCTGTCAGAGAAACACCACATGGCCCATCCCAGCAACACCACGTTCTGCCAGAGTAAAATTGGACATGGCTATGTGAAAGAACTAGAAGAAAAAAATGAATGGTCTTCATGTCCTCTGTGGGTTCTAAAACCTCTGCCACTCTGTCCAGCAATGGCTCATAGCAGCAGCTGGAGTCAATGACCAGAAGACAGATGAGTCTTATAAACTGGGTAGAAGGAAGGAACAAATATTCGTTCTTTTCTGTCTCAATTGAGCACAGAATAAGTCACCCCACTGGCAGAAAAGGTGAGAAATAAATAGCTACTTCTTGAGTGCTTGTCTATTTAAAAGAGCAGAGGGGCAAAAGAGAGGAAAAACAATCATCATGGATATAATGTTAAACATAACAGAGTTAAAAATGATAGCTGGGCGCAGTGGCTCACACCTGTAATCCTAGCACTTTGGGAGGCTGAGGCGGGCAGATCACGAGGTCAGGAGATCGAGACCATCCTGGCTAACAGGGTGAAACCCTGTCTTTACTAAAAATACAAAAAATTAGGTGGGCGTGGTGGCTGGCGCCTGTAGTCCCAGCTACTCGGGAAGCTGAAGCAGGAGAATGGTGTGAAGCCGGGAGGCGGAGCTTGCAGTGAGCCGAGATCGTGCCACTGCACTCCAGCCTGGGTGACAGAGTGAGACTCCGTCTCAAAAAAAAAAAAAAAAGAAAGAAAAGAAATGTTCCGTTTCAGTGTTACATCCTGCACTTGTGTTAATAAAAATAACTAGCCTTTGGTTATTTAAGATATTGAAAGAACAATAAAAGGTTAGTGAACTGATAAAAATGTCCCTTAATATGGAAGTTCTACAAGATGGTTTAGATCCAAGAGGAAGGAAAAAACATCAAATGAGCACCAGCTTGATGCTAAGCACAGAATATTTAGTATTTTATTAAACCTTTATGACTAAGAGGTAAGCATCAGTATCACAATTTTATAGATGAGGGACTAGCCTTATGCAGGTTAATAATCCTGCCTGAGAGCACATAGTAAATGAGGAACCAGGATTTGAATCCACATCTGCTTAATTGCAAAGCCCATGATCTTTCCTCTAAGCACATAGCATCCCAGACACAAAGACCACTGGGGAAGTTTTAGCAGAAAATACAATTCAAGAGTCAAGTTCTTTGTTATTCCAATGGATTGTTATCTTTCCTGCTGCTTACTTATATACCTGTCCCTGTGATAGCTGAGCAGTGCTACAAAGTTAAACACAGCTGGCTCAATGGAGAACATTCTGGAAATCTTTTATTGTGCATTTTTAGGATTTTGCAATGAGGTTCTGCAAGACCACTCCAAGGTGAGATAATGCATGCCATATAACAACCATGACTTGGGAAGTAAAGACTTCATCATGAACAATGTCACCAGTTATTCCCTTCCAGCACAATTAGGTTGGCTAGTCAGATCGCAACTGTCAAATATGGGTTACTATTTTTTCTTTGCCACATTAATGAGTGAGGATCCAACATATTAATTACAGTGTAGAAACCATCCATCACATACTGCATGAGTGGTGTGAAGACTACCACGGGTATTCCTTCTGTTTGTAACGTGCAGGCGTGAGACATGTCAAAACAGAAGAATAAAAGCTGTCAGAGCTTAAGAGCTAATGTTAACCCATCCAGCCACATGTTTACTATAGACTACAATGGGTCTCATTTTAGGCAAGGAAACATAAGTCATATTCTCATTAGAGAAAGCAGCAAATGATAATTTGTACCTATAAAGGTAATTGAAAGTATACACACAATTTCCTTCAGAGCCTATGCCAAAAATATGCACAGAGTCTTGGAACAGAAAGCTACTGTGGGTGTTAAAATGTTGCTTTTGGGTTAGACAATTCTATAATATTGATTCTGTTGGGTCAGGTTCATTGCTTAGTAGCAATAACCTACAACATGCCCTTAAAACCTTACGTAACACCAGGGTTGTCTCTTTTACAAAAAAACAAAAAAACAAAAAAACCCAGAACGTTTTAGGCTGTTTGAGCTTAGGCTGTATGGTGTCAGGGGACAATGGAGCAAATTTTAGAAATCTTGGTTTCCCAAGAACCTGGCTATAGTACCTGACTAAAGGAGGCTTCTAATAAATGTCTATTGAATGGATGAACAAGGTATTTGTGGCTTTTTGGTTTACTTTAAAAAGTTAGTTCAATAAGTGCTGCTTATTTCTGCTTAAACTGTCAAATTATCTTTTGTGTAGTTCCTTCTACGTGACTCATAAAATCCTTAGACCCCCTTCCAATGATGTTTCTTATAGGCATATAAAAGACGTCTGTTTTTTTAGTTAGATCTTGAAGGCGAAGGCAAGCTAAATTAAGCATGGCACACGTCTCTGATCAACACACATTTCTCTCTGTCCTCAAGATCCTTCACAGTCTGGCAATTCTGGCAGCTGCTCCAGTTGGCTGAATTTGGCCCAAAAATTGAACCTGTGTATTTATCCTCCTTAAGCTAGATTTCCTTTTGGGACAGATAAATTAGAGAGATACATAAAAAATCAATTGGCGAATTAAGGATTTCTACGCAAAATGTAATCCTATTGGCAATACAGTTCTATCGGAAGATAAATTTTTTGGTTTTGCTATTTCTTCTTTATGAACATGTTAAGGTTAGAAGAAATCTCTGCTGTGTTATCTCCTCCTGCAGCCTGCTTCCAAGAGTACGTAGCACCTTGTGTGGGAGCATTTTATGCAACATAATAAATAAAATATGCTGTAATGATTCAGATTCTACTATTTCCAAATATAAAATCTACTACAATTCAACCAGGAGATAACAAATGATACTAGAATAATTTTAGAATTTTTAGAACTGGAAGGAATGTTAGTGATGATCTAGTTCTGCAGTTCTCCAACCTCTTGGCTTTAGGACTCCTTTACAAACATCAACTTATAACCATTTCCAGGTCATGGAGAGCCACCAATGGACTTTGTGAACAAATCCATTGGGAAAGATGCCCCATCTTTCTCTGGGATTGCAAACTGAGAGGACTATGTAAACCTTGAATTGCTGAGAGCAACTCTCAGGGCTTCAGAGAACATGTCATCTGCAGAAAAGATCCAACATACAGGCAAAATCAAAGCTGAATGCTATGGAGAGAGAGCATCAAAAACTTCATGTCAGCCCCTAGATTCAGCCATCCCATAACTTAGACATGCTAAGCAACCTTAACTGGTTCACCTCCCAATTAAGTAACCCATAAATTCACTTCTGCTTCAACTAGTTTGTGTGAGGATTCTGGTCACTTGCAATCAAGAACTTTTAGTTACACAAATAACCACATTTTAGGGCTATTTTCAGGATTTGGCCTAATTGATGTAAACCACCTAGCACAGAATGAGAGATTCCATAGTCATCTTTATAGCTCTGGTTGATTGCAAAAATGGCCTAGGTTCATCACCCTACCCTGTTTCTATGCCCTTTGCTGTGTAACTCTGTAGCACTCACTCCCACCCTCTGACTTGAGGCTCTGCTGTGTGATTTATTGTGTCAATAGAGTTTTAGGAGGCATGATGCAAACATGGTGGTTGTGGGCTACTGGGCTTGCTCTCACTCTGCCATCATCATAGGAAGACAAGTGATAGTTTATTAAAGGCTAGGTTCAATGTGGAATCTTATCAATGAACTTTTTGTATTCTGTGTCACTAAAATCCATTGGTCTAACTTTTACTTTAAATGGATCTTTCAGCCACATATGATATTGTAACACCATCTAGCCAATCATTTGGAAAATATTGGTTTATTGAATTGTGCTGATCTCCTAAATACTGCACATTTCATTAAAATACCAAAAACACATATGTTAATATTACCACCAATCTCATTGGAAAAACTCACGGAGTCAAACTCATGGTGTCAAGCTAACAGTAGTACTTATAAAAATTTCCAACATTCACATTTTCACTGGAAAGCTTGATTTTTATCATTGGCAATAAATCCTGTCCGTTGTTTTCTTTGTAGTAACCGTTTCACTTTACTCATTTTCAAGAAAATGGTCCAACAAATGTCCTAGATTGAATAACAATCCCATGAAAAGTAGTTTTATGAAACAGAGATCATGTCCCATGAAAAAAAGCAGTTAGTTTAGCTCACAACTCAAACAATTGCACAAGTGCTTTTCCTCAAGACAACTATAGTACTTCAAAAGTTAGCAAAAACGCTTCGTACGTACTTCTCGTTTTGTCACACAGAAAATTGAGGGTTGGTACTTAATAAGGCTAATAACTTGCTGCATCAAACACACTTCAGTGGAATCATCATTTATTATTTTTATTTTGTATTACTATTATTTGTACCTGTAAATGTGTGGCAGTGAAGAATATCATGGGTACTAGGACAGTTGGGTATCTCTGTCTTGTTTCCCACCAAGACCCAGCAGTTTGGCCCATCGTTGCTTTTGCGCCGGTGTGCAAACATGAAATAATAAGAAATGAAATGATAGGAAATGTTGTAAAAGATGCTACTTTTAAATTTAATATACATTAAACCATTTTTCTTGCATCCTAGTATAGTTTTCTACAACCTAATTGCAATGACTTGTTCAAAGAGCAGTCTTTGTGAGCATCTGCTCACAAACCTCCCTTTCCCATAAAAGTAATATCAATCTTCTAGTAGGTGAAGCTACAATTTTCTATGCAGTATTTGTAGGTGCTTAGTTAAGGCTACAGGGTAGAACCTGGGCATCCCATGAAAAGAGTTTACTTTCCTATGTACAAAATTATGTCCATATTAAAATATTGAATCTGGAGAAAGATTACAGTCACATCCGCAAGCACCTGGGGTGGCAGAGGTTTGAAAGACAGCTTGGTCGGCGGCGTCTCTGCATCTTGCATTTGCTGAACAGGCTGAGGGGTCAGAACTCATGTGTACATGAATGCTGGAAGGGATGAGCATGTTGCCAATCTAACTTGCCCTTTCTGATTCTTCTTTCTTTTTGCTAAACAATGCAATAGAAGAAGTCTATACCAGATGTCCTTGAAGGTACGTGCCTAAGAGAAAAACTCCTTGAAAATTTCTTCCTCTCTTTGCACAAATATAGACAGAGGCTAAGACCTTCCATGAAAGTCATAATCATGGAGCTATGGAAATGGATACATTGTGTTATCTTGCATTGTTAAATAGGATTCACTTAGTGGTATACCGATAAATGTTTCACAACTGAGTTCTTCAAATAGAGAAGCTCCTATTTGTAATGTTCGCTGATTTCTGTGGTATAAATACTCTCATAACGGCTAATTTTAAACTACCAACCTGATATCACTGAACATAGAGTTAGAAAGAGAATTGCATAACTGGCTTTCATGAGCTGGTACAAGCTGGTTCTGGCACACCACTTATTTAGTCATTCCTTCAACCAGATATTTAGTGAGCTTGTACTCTTGGATTTGTAATCTAGTGAGGATGATAGACATTAATCAAATTGTCACAGAAATAAGAGTTAAACTAAAGCAATTGGGTGCTATGAAAGCAGACAGTAGGAGGTTCTCGGGGTTTTTTGTTTTGTTTGTTTTTACCTTGTCTGGGGGTCAGAAAATACTTCCCTGAGTGTTATTTGTCTATTTGTTCTCCAATGTAGGCTACTGGTTTCCAGCCAGAGGGAAAAATAGCTTCTGAAATCTAGGTATCATTCCTTCTCTCTTGGTAACCAGTTCCTTGTATTAAATCTCCTGTATTTGAAATACCTAAGTGGATTCTCTTTTCCTAACTAGGTTCTGACTGATGTACTGAGGAAGTGACTTTGGACTGAAATCTGTGAGTATCTTAATTTGAGTTTCTCCCAGAGCAAACCCTTTGTCTCACAAAGATTTGAAGGCAAGTAGGGGCAGGGAAGTAAGACAATGGAGTAAATGAAGCAAATAAAGGGGAAATTATCGAGCAAGTTACTACTGTAAGCATCTGGAGCTTCATTCTGTCTGGGATTCTGGAAGACTGTGTTGAACATGCACCTCAGAGTTATTCCATCCAGGGAGAGAGGGAGCTGATGTATGTGTCCATCAATTCCTAACCATCATTTGTTGATGGCTACTTCTGAGAGTTATAATTCCCTAGCATTTCTGACCTGCTCTGCACGCGGAAAGTGTGCATTCTTGTGATAAAGGGAAAAAACAGACAAGGAAACTCAGCCATTGGCATTTAGAAGTTGAGGGGCCAACAGGCCCAGAAATGTTCAACACCAAGGGGATATGGTCAATGAGTGCCACAGGTAAGTAAAAATTAAGTTGCTATGTATTTAGCGGCATGAAAAGTAAATGAATACCTGTGTAAAAAATATGTTCAAGGTTATCTAGAGTCGGTTCAAAGACTACAATGAGAGATTCATAAGCAAACATCTTTATATATTGGAGTTCAGCAGTTAAATATATTTGGACACCACTGTAATAATAAGTATCCTAAGCCAACATGAATTTTTGTTGCTATCCAAAAAGAGCTCTAGAAATTTCCAATCTTTGGCCTATGGAAATGTGCAATTGATAAATATGTGTTAAATTAATATCAGTCTTTAACCTCATCCCTAACACTACCCTCTTTTCCACTAAAGCCCTATATTCCATTGTCACCAAACTGCCTTCACTTCCTCTGTTTTGAGCCCATGAATTTTCACAAGCTGTTTTACCTATCTAGAATCCCCACCTCTCTCTCTCTCTCTCTCTCTCACACACACACACACACACACACACACACAAAATCTGTCTGGTCGACCCCTACGCATTCTTCCATACCCAGCTCATGTATCAGCTCCTCTGTAAAGCTATTCCTCACCCTCAGGATTGGATAAGATTTGGTTTACTTCTCTGTATTGTATATAGCAGTACAGTGGGTGGTTAAAAGCAAAAACTCAGTAAGAAAACCAAACCCCCTTTTTTATTGAGGAAAAAAATCATATAACATAAAACTAACTATTTTAAGGTGTACAATTCAGTGACACTTAGCACATTCACAATGTTAGGCAATCATCAGCTCGATCAAGTTCCAAAACATTTTCAATACTCCCAAAGGAAATTCTATACCCATTAACAAGTCAGTTCCCATTCCCTCCTCCCCTTATTCCCTGACAATCATTAAACTGTCTTTTGTTTTCATGAATTTACCTCTTCTAGATATTTGATAGAAATGGAACTATATGTGACTGGTTTTTGTGTCTGGCTCTTCCACTTGGCATGTTTTCAAGTTTCACATATGCTGTAGCATGTATGAGTACTACATTACTTTTGCTGAAGGTTGCTGTAAAACCTTCCATTGTGTGGGTGTTCTATATTATGTTTATGTATTTATCGATCGATGGACATTTGAGTTGTTTCCACCTTTTGACTATTGTGAATAATTCTGCTATGAATATTTGTGTACAAGTATCTGAATGCATATTTTCAGTACTTTTGGGTACATACCTAGGAGTGAAATTTCTGGGTCATATGGTAATTCTATCTTTAACTTTTTGAGGACCTGTCAAAATGTCTCCCATAGCCGTTGCACTATTTTTCATTCCCACTAGCAAAGTAAGAGGGTTTCAATTTTTTAAAATACCCAGTTTCGAATCTGGGCTCTCCTGCTAACTAGCTGTTCAGCCTTGGGCAAGTTACCCTTTGTGTCCAATTTTCGACATAAATAAAGAAGAATAGAATAGAACCTAGCTCAGATAATTTTTTTGAGGATTAAATGTGTTAATATATGTAAAACACTTAAATAGTGCCTGGCCCATGGGAAGCACTAAGTGTTAGCTATTTTAGTTATTTTCTGCTGCTATGGCATTCATACATTTCTAAACAAAACATTAAAGGCTGTCTGCCCTTCCAGATTTTTATCTCCACTTCTTAGCACAGTACCTGGCAAACAGAACAAAGTCAATAAGCGTTTGGAGAATTAAGTGGATGATAAAAGCCAAAAAACTCTCAAAAATAAGTGGATAGAAATAGAAGTCACATTAAATATTAAAATATGACCTGTAATGCCGTGCTTTGGGAGACCAAGGCAAGAACAATGCTTGAGGCCAAGAGTTTGAGACTAGCCTGGCAACATAGCAAGACTTGTCTCCTTTTTTTTTTTTTTTTTTTTTGATACAGAGTCTCACTCTGTCTCCCAGGCTGGAGTGCAATGCCGTAATCTTGGCTCACTGCAACCTCTTCCTACCTGGTTCTAGCAATTCTCCTGCCTCAGCCTCCCAAGTAGCTGGGATTATAGGCACCCACCACCATGCCTGGCTAATTTTTGTGTTTTTAGTAGAGACGGGATTTCACCATGTTGGCCAGGGTGGTCTCAAACTCCTGACCTCAAGTGATCCGCCCACCTCGGCCTCCCCAAGTGCTGGGATTACAGGCATGACCCACTGCGCCCAGCCTACTTTGTCTCTTAAAAAAAAAAAAATTAGCTGGGCATGGTGGTGCACTCCTGTGGTCCCAGTTACTTGAGTGACTGAGGCTGGAGGATCACTTGAGGCCAGCAATTAGAGGCTACAGTGAGTTAGGATTTTGCCACTGCACTCCAGCCTGGGTGACAGAGCAAGATAGTATTAGACAAGAAAAAGAAAAAGAAAAAACAAAGTGTTGTGAAATTGTTGACATACAAAAAAGAATGAGGAAAATTCAGACCTGACACCAAATACCAGAGTAAATCCAGATTAATGTAAACTTTTATATAAAATAAAATTATAAAAAATGGCAAGAAAATTTGAGCAAATATTGTTGTATTTCTGCCTATGGAGATAAAAGCATGAACTAAATGTTGAAGAAAGAGAACAATAAATTTGACCATTATAACAAAACAGAAAAAGACTCTGCTCTTCAAAACGTAAATAAAAAGGCAAACAAACTGAGAAAAAATACCATAAATATGACGAAGTATTTATATACTTAATCTATACAGAACTCTTATAAGTCAATAAGGAAAAAAAATGGCAGCAATAGAAAATTAGAAAAAGGTAGCTGAACAGTAATTTCCAAGAAAAAAGTTAATAAAAAGCAAAAATAAACAAAACTTATGAAAATGAAAAAGACTCAATTTTACTGTGAAACAAAGGCATGCATGTTTTAAAACAAGGAGAAGCCATTTTTACCCTAGAAACTGATAATTCTCAATGATGATGTGGGTACCAAGATGGGGACTTCCAAACATTGCTGATAGCTGTGCAAATTGTTGCATATTTTATATTTTCTGAAAATTCTAGAATTTCTTTCTTTCTTTCTTTTTTTTTTTTTTTTTTTTTTTTTTTTGAGATAGAGTCTCACTTTGTTGCCCAGGCTAGAGTGCAATGCAGCAGTCTCAGCTCACTGCAACCTCCACCTCCTGGGTTCAAGCAATTCCCTTGCCTCATCCTCCCGAGTAGCTGAGACTGCAGATGCGCACCACCATGCCTGGCTAAGTTTCGTATTTTCAGTAGAGACAGGGTTTCACCATTTTGGCCAGGCTGGTCTCAAACTTCTGACCTCAAGTGATCCACCTGCCTTGGCCTCCCAAAGTTCTGGGATTACAGGTGTGAGCCACTGCGCTTGGCCTAGAATTTCTTTTAATGAAACCATATTGTATATTCTCTTCTGTATTTGGCTTCTTTCACTAAGATAATGCCTTTGAGATTCATCTAAGTTACGGTATTTATCAGTAATCTTCTCTTTTAATTGCCAAGTAATGGCAATTGTTGGCATTGTATGAATATGCCACGAATGATTTATTTTGGGCATTTAGTTTGTTTTCAGTTTTGTGCTATTACAGATAAAGCTGTTATGAACATTTGTGAATAGATCTTTGAACATGTTTCTTTTCTTTTCTAATGAAATTACTAGATTGTATGGTAAGTATGCATTACATTTTATAACAAACTGCCAAACTGTTCTCCAACATGTTTGATTCACTTACATTCCCACCAACAAGGTATGAGACTTGTAGTTCCTCCACATCCCCATCCTCACCAACATTTTGTAATGTCAGTCATTTTAATTTTGGCCAGTCTAGTGGTTGTGGATTTCCTTATTTATTTATTTATTTATTTGAGACAGAGTCTCGCTCTGTCGCCCAGGCTGGAGTGCAGTGGTGCGATCCCAGCTCTCTGCAACCTCTGCCTCCTGAGTAGCTGGGATTACAGACATGCATCCCCATGCCCAGCTAATTTTTGTATTTTTAGTAGAGACAGGGTTTTGTCATCTTGCCCAAACTGGTCTTGAACCCCTGGCCTCAAATGATCCACCTGGCTTGGCCTCCCAAAGTGCTGGTATTACAGGTGTGAGCTATCACACCCGGCAAGGATTTCCCTTTGTAAAACAAGAACATTTCAAGGGTGGTGTTGTGTTTTTCATATTGCATCACATCTTGGCACATGTCTGGTTGTTCCATTCTTAGTAGGCTAACAGTGATCAGTAGGTTCAGGTGGGCAAAAGCCTGATCCATCCAAACTTCTATCTAAGTGTTTTATCTCCTGATGGTATTGTTTCATTAGGGAGCACAAAATGGTAATTTAAAAAATCATATTATTCTTTCGACATTTTTGCTAGAATTCTTCTATAAACAATTTTCACAAATTGATCAAGGCTATTTGATTATACTGAAATATAGTTTATACAGGAAACAGGATAAATCCTTTATTCTCTCCCTTATATTGTCAAGTTTTAGTACAAGGACTTGGTGACCTAATTACTTGCATTAATTTTTTAAGTGTTTTCTATTGAATTCATAAAATCTTAACAATATAATGTTACATGAACAAAGCGCACTAAACAATGTCTAGTAAGATCAATGGTCATTTCTACTGTGTAGAATTATGGGTAGGTCTTATTTAAACTGTACAATATTTTCCAAATTTCTATCATGAAAAGAAATACTTATAACATTGGTCCCAAAACAGTTATAGGACAGGCACTGTGGCTCAAGCCTGTGATTCCAGCACTTTGGGAGGCTGAGGTGGGCGGATAACTTGAGGCCAGAAGTTTGAGACCAGCCTGGCCAACATGGTGAAACCCCGTCTCTACTAAAAATACAAAAAAATAAATAAATTAGCCAGGCATGGTGGCACATGCCTGTGATCCCAGCTACTCAGGAGGCTGAGGCAGGAGAATCACCTGAACCTGGGAGACAGAGGTTGCAGTGAGTCAAGATCGCACCACTGCACTCCAGCAGCCTGGGCAACAGAGCAAGCCTCTGTCTCAAAAAAAAAAAAAAGAAAGGAAAACTTGCAATAAGTTAACGCTGACCCAATCAATGGATGGCTGGATTAATTCTTTTTAGATTTTCTAATTTAATAGTTGTGTGCAGCTGTCTATGGAATCGTGTATATTGTAAAGGATAGTGGGAGTGGGAGCCATTAAACAAGAAGGCAGAGTTTTCACCCAGCCAACTTTTGAGTCTCTTGTTAAAGGCATTTTCTTTCTTCTCTTAAAAAGAAGTGAAACAGAATGTGCCAGACTTTGAATAAAACTGCTGGCAAGAAGAAAATGTCAAGGGTTACCAATAAAAATTCCTAAAATAAACTTGAAAAGAGAAACACAGCAGGTAAAAGGCCTCACACTCCTCTTTATGTTTGTGGATAAATAATAATATTTAGAAACATCATATTAACTCTGATATTTCTAATGTTTTGTAATTCATGGTGATATTCATGTGACGTGTCAAAATAATGCCATTTACTAGTGTGCACCTTTTAAGGGTTGAAATCTTCAGACCAAAATGAATGCTGCTTTAAAGAAAAGCAACTCAGTTAGTAATTTTTCTAAAGAGTGATACTGATTGGAAAATATGGCCTCCTTTGACTCAGGAGCCCAGGTCTTCCCTGGAGCCATGGCTTATTTATGGAAGTTGAACTCTAGCATTTTCATCTTCAGCATTTAATTGTCAGAATCTCAGCCTGGCATACAGAAACATCTGAACTCACATTTCCCCCCTCCACCGACAGGCTATTTGTTCTTTAGTGCAGCTTTCATTTCCCTTTAGAGTCATTCTCTTTGGCCGTTTCAGCACTATTAGACTACAAAATGCCTCACAGCATAAAATTATGTTTATTGAGATGGACAGTCTATGCAGCCAGGCTTGATTTGATTGAGTCAAGTATCTCCCCCACGCCAGTCAACCCTCATAATTATATGGTCAGAGAGGTTTCATGCTGTTCACTAGGGAAGTGATCCCAGAAGTGAGGGCCATGAAAGGATTTCTCAGATTGAGGGAGAAAGGTATCTTCATTTCTGCACAGCTATTATATGCTAGATTCTTTACATACTATTGTGGCCGTTTGTCTTCTCCTAGACTCTATCTCTCTTTTCTAGCACCCAATCCATCCAGTTTTCCTTTGGGGGAATCAGCACTCCATATTGGCAGTCACAAGGTTTGGGTAAGATTGACTTCACCCTTAGTTCTGGGGATGAGTTTCAAATGCCCTCAAATAAATGCGTTTCTTCCTCCCTCCTGCCAACACACATGGTGATTGATATGGAAATAAATATGTGAATTAAACATGTTCATTTGGAAATGAGCATGGATCCAGATACTGGGAAAAGAAGCTGCCTCTCTCTTTCATGGAAACCACTAAAAGAGATAAGTTCCTTTCAGCTGGAGGGTGTGGTATGAGGATGGGTGGCCTGGAAATTCTGCAGCCATTGTTGTGTGATGAGGGAAGTCATTGTGGGGACAAAGCCAAGACTCAGAGGAGGACGAGACACAGAGCTAGATCCCTCATGACCCCACAAAGTCTAGATCAAACAGTAGCTCCTCTTGCCTTTTTAAGAAGAGGGAGCCATGAAATGTGCTCCTTTTTATTAAGCTAAGTTTGGTTGGGTTTTCTGTAGTGTGTAATCCAAAGACTCATAGTTGATGTACTGTCCATAATTTACCGTATTTCCCTCATCATAAACAAGTGAGGTAACTATTATTGTGACCATTTAACAGCTAAAGATATCACTTTCAAAGAATTCCAGTAATGATGCAGCTGGGCGATAAACTTCATTTGCTAAAGCTCATATTATCCACCTCTATGTCAGCAATTCTCAGTGTGTGATATGGGAACCCTTCAGGGTCCCCCAAGACTCTTTCTAAGGATTTGAAAAATCAAAGCCCTTTTCATTATTTGCCTCTTCTATTCTCATGCTCTTATGGAGTACAGTGGAGTTTTCCAGAGGCTTCATGAAGCGTGATGATGTCATTTCTCTGATGTCTAATGGACTGTGAGCTTCTGTATGACTAATGGAATATGAGATCGTAATTTCTGAATTTTATTTTATTTTTTTTTGAGAAAGTCTTGCTCTGTCACCCAGGCTGGAGTGCAGTGGTGCAATCTCAACTCACTGCAGCCTCCACCTCCCAGGTTCATGGAATTCTCATGCCTCTCCAGTAGCTGAGACTACAGATGTGTGCCACCATGCCCAGCTAATTTTTTATTTTTAGTAAAGATGGGAGTTGCTATGTTGCTCAGGCTGGTCTTGCACTTCTGGCCTCTAGCGATCCACCCAGCTTGGCCTTCCAAAGTGCTGGGATTACAAGCGTAAGCCACTGCACCTGGCCAATTTCCAGAATTTTCTATGGCAAGCCCTTTGGAGGGGGTTCTCAATATTAGAGTGTAAAGGAGTCCTGAGACCAAAAAGTTTGAGAACCGCTGCTCTAAGCAATACCATATGGTTCAAAACACCATAGTACTAGCAGTGAAACTTTTTATCTAGCACAATTAATTTTTATAAATATTTTACACCAACATTATACCACCTCATTACCATCTCATGAGAAGTGGAATGAGTATTCAATTTGATTTTAGTGAGAATTTATAATTTTCCTTTATATTTAATTATATATTTTACCATGAAATTCCAGAATTTGTGAATTTGGGATAATAAAGCGTTCTTTCTCCTCAGCCTCTAAATTTTAAACTACTTTCATGGCTAAAATAACAATTTCCCAAAATCAATGTTTCAGAAGATAGATGTATCAAAGTAAGTACATGAAGCCTGGATATACGCAATAAAGGGTGCATTTTCTGCAGAGAATTTTGAAACAATAGTAAAATCAACCCAAGTCTTTCTACCTTTTTTTTTTTTTTTTTTTTTTTTTTTAGGACCATGCTCTGACAATTCCAAACAAGGTCAGTAATAAAATACTTGTCTGGCCACTACTTCAAAATAAAAAGTACTTGGACCTAAATTGATATCCTAGAGTTTGAATTGGTATCAGAATTCCTAAATTCCATCCCAGTGTGATGGCCCTGACTTGGGTCTGAAATCATTTTTCTTCAATTCTTCTCTTAGATACCTCAAAATAAGAGTCATAATACTCAATTTTGGAACTAGGCATAGTGGCTCTTGCCTGCAATCTCAACACTTTGGGAGTGGAAGGATCACTTGAACCCAGGAGTTTGAGACCAGCCTGGGCATCATAGTGAGACCCCCATCTCTACAAAAAATAAAAAAAAAAACGAGCCAAGAATGGTGGCACATGCCTGTAGTCCCAGCTACTTGAGAGGTTAAGGCAGGAGAGCTGCATGAGCCCAGGAGATGGAGGCTGCAGTGAGCTATGATTGCACCACTGTACTCAAGCCTGGACAACAGAATGAGATCCCGTCTCTATACATACATACTCACTATGTGTATAGCATCTCTGTGTGCTCATTTAAGGCCCACCCCAGTAACGGCCTCAAGGTACTCTTGATGCACTGACTCATTATAACCAAAAATCCAATGGGAACTCCAGATCACAAGACGTTCAGGATTGAAATCAATGTGAAGTTTTCAAGTACAAACTGTGGGCAGTCCTTTAGGTTACTGCCTTTCCCCATTCTCCAATTTCATCTCACACCTTCTTCTCCCTCCTTCACTATCCAGTGGGCACATCAGCCTTTTGGGTTTCTCCATGCGGGTGCTCTTCAGCCTCAGGCGTGCCCACGCTGTTCCTTTGGCTTTGATTGTTCTTCTCCCAACTCTCCACCTACCCATCATCTTCTCACCCTCCAGGCTTCCACTGAAATATCACTTCCTCAGAGGCCCTCCCTGAACAACCTGTCTGAAATATAACTTCTGTTACTGTCTTTCATCACATCCATCTCCTTTACTTTTACTTGAAGTCACTGACCACCACTTCTACATTTGCTTGGTGTTTTGTCGGTCTCCCTCATTGGACTGTAAACCCCTGGGGTTGGTTACCATGTGCATTTTTTTCTTCATCTTCCTGGTTACACCAGCACTTCCCATGGCACGTGGTAGATGCTTAATACATATTCTGTAAATGAACGAATAAATAAATAAGTGAATGAATGTTCCTTCTCCAAAGAGGACAAAACTCCACCCAAAACCTTATGAGGAAAAGGCAATTGTTATTTCTAAAATGACACTGCTATTGGACCTCTAAAAAACCAGAGAAACTAGCAATTTAGCCTAATCCAAAGAATAATTGAGTGAAATCATTCTTATGACTGGCTTCTATGGGAAGGTAGACATAAGAGTTCATATTGTAAATTCCATTTATAAGTTCAGATATAAGAAAGATGATTATTTAGTGAAAGTAATTAAAGTATTGGTCACATCTTGGGCAGAGGTGTGAAGGAGCCTTCTGAGTGGCTGGAAATGCTTGTATCTTGATCTGGTTAGTTGTTACAATGGCCATAGATATATGTAAACATTCACCAAGCTATCTGCTTAGAATTTGTGCATGTTGCTGTATGCATATTATACCTCAATTTAAAAAACCTTCCTTGGCTTAGTTGACAAAAGATTCAACCAAAAAAGTTAACTAGACAACACTGATGCTGTAGCTTCTAAAAGTACCCAGAAGCAAATTGCTTTATAAAACATTAAATAAAAACCATGTCATCAGTGTCATCAGTTGTGCCACTGGCATCACATAATTTTAGACATATACACTTTGGACAAATGTATATATACCTTTTTAGAAACATTATAAAGCCAAACCAACATACTGTGGCCAAAAACAACTGTGCTTTGCCATAAATAACTTAGTGTTCACTCTTGAAACCATTTGCTCTTTTTTGTCAAAGAGCAGGAGTGGATGTCAACAGTTTGAGCTTGTATTGTTTCCAAAAGAAAGAAACAATGCAATTCACTGGCATACTCATTGCTTCCAAATGATGCTCACCTCTGATAGACAAGTGGCTCATAAATTGATCTTTTTACATGGAAATTATGTGGCACTTAATTTTTCCCAGGACAAGAGCTGTAAATAGAAAACAGATCATTGTATCATGACAATACATCATTATTATTTACGCATATTGAACATGAGATAGTGACTTGCCTTTATAAATTATCTTTTCTTCATGATTCATTGAATTCCTCCCGACCCACGAATAATGTGTCCTCTAATCTCCTACAAAGAATTGGAGAAATAAAGACAAAGCAAGGGTGGGAGGAGCTTGGAGGAAAATTATTGAATTAAGAATTTACATTTTAACATAGCAGGTTTATGAAGAATGTTCGGTGGCAGTCTACACTAAATCAATCCTGCATAATTTGAAAAATAGCAGCCTGATGCCTCTTTATTTCCCTTGACAAGTGTAAAGGCTGTTATTTTCACAATGGTACTGTGTACTTTTTTGAGACTCCTTCTTACATAAAAAAGAGCCTCCTTTAAAAACCTCATATGTTAATAGCATGTGCAACCCAGTCACTTTCACATAATCCCAGAAAAAAAGTGTCTTTTTGCCTGTCACAGGACCTGTTTATGTCTGCTGACTTTAAAATAAGCATTTAAAAATGGTGTTTCTGTTAAAATCATGAAAGGTTCAAAGAAAATTGGACACTAATCTGTGAAATGCAACATTTGACTATAAAAAAGACACTATGTGATTAAGAACAGTTTATGACTTTATTATATGCTTTCATAGGGAAAAGAAAGAAATGTTGACCATCTTAAAAATATATGTACCATAAATTCATTAAAGTGTGAGGTGCTAGAGTCAGGCTTTTTCTCCTCTAGAGAATCAGAATTATTGAAGATAAGCATTTATAGAGGAGAACTGAGTAACACTATTATAAAATAATCTCACCATATTTATGGTGTTAATAAATTCTCACAGTGTCATGATCATTTCTAATTTATAGGAGAGCTGCAGCATAGTAAAATACAAATCAAAAATGAGGTTTCTTTCATTTTAAAAGCACCATCATAGATCGAATTTTAGTTTTTCTCTAACAATAAACACTGTGAAGCTGAGACCCTTGTTTAATTAGAAAAGATCATTTTTCTGCTTTTATACAATAAATAAGATCTCCTGCTTTCAGACTCCACTAACTTGACATTCATCATCATTTGGGTGAGTGCTCATTTACAGTTTTCCCCTGTGGCTTCTGGTTTAGAATAGCATCTGATTAGCAGCTTTTGATGCACACTCTCACACTTTCCATTAGAATACATAGGAAGCCATGATACATGGTGAAACCCCAGAGCTATAAGCCAAACTAGGGCTGATGGTCAACCTAGAGCTAATATGTTGCATACCTTTCTGCTGACTGTAATGCCTAATTAATAGGAAGTGGAAGAGCCTTTATCTGTCAGACCCCTCCAAAATACCAGATTAGACTTACTTGTAAATCACACATATGTCCCCTATACTACAGGTGTTTATTTTTGAAGTCGTCATGGTGCTGTCTTCCTTCCATTCATTTTCACTCCCTCCCACCCCAGGCCGTTCTCTCTTTTGTTACATCTAATAAGAGACCAAAGCTCCCAGAAATCAAATGGACAGGAAGCTGAGAGGAATAACAAGAGAAGACAAAGGACATGCCTCTGGTACTTGCTGGAAATTGTAGATTTTTCATGTATTTCATAAAATACTACCTAGTGGTAATAGAGTAAGATCACAACAGATCAACAGAGCTGCACTCAATGAATTTATGCAAGATCTTGAGAATAAAGATGGGAACTATACACCCGACATTATTTTCCAAGGTTATCTCTTAGGTTAGTTGTTTTTTTTTTTGACTGCTTCACACATAAAAATAGCCTCCTTTAAAACACTCATTAATGAATAGCACATGCAACCAAGAGGACAAAGTATGAATTAATTGTCAATTCTTGCACCATGTTGGTGCAAACATGGTTAACAAACAAGAGATTAGATGGACTCTCATTCTTCTATATGAATGAATGGGGTGGGGGGAATCCAACAGGAATCTGTGAAGAAATATGGCATAAAAAGGAAAAAAAGTATTACCCTAAAGATTCAGAGCTATCTTCCAAAAATGATTATGCACAAAAACAGGGGAAAATCAGAAAAACGCTTGATGTCCATAATTGAATACAAAAAGATATGACCTCTATATGACAAAAAAGGCTGCCATAAGGGAATCAAAGTGAAATGAAAATAAAATGGAATGAAAATGAGATTGATGGGCTAAGGAGTGATAATAGGAAAATCAAAATTGCAATGGCAGGATTAAAATTTTTATATAGGATAAAAAAGAGACAAATAGTCACTATTGAGAATTAAATCACTGATGTAGAAGATGAAGTTGAGATGTTCTTTCAGTCTCAGCAGTAAAGGACAAAGACAATAAGACAATTCAATAGATTTGGAATGGAAATTGTACCTAATCATTAATAGGTACTCCAAAGGAAAGAGCCAGAATATTTTAAATGGAAGTAATCCTGGAAAAGATAATTGAGTAAACTTTCTATAGCTGAAACAAAACAAACTGTACAAAACACTCTGTGTATAGCTGTGAAAGGGGTCACCACCATTCAGGGTTATCAGTGAAAAATTTAATCATCCTAGAAGACTTTCTGTTTCAATAATGTATAAATCCTAAAAGGATCTGGGTGTGGGGAGAGTGGGAAAGTGGAAAAAGACTAAGTATAAAATAGCAAAAATTGAATTCAGCACCATACTTCTCTTCAGCAGTAAAGCAGTAAACATTAATGTCTCAAGAACTTATGTGGTGAGTATTGTCATACAAAACTAGCCCCAAAGGAGTAGAGTACATCTTTGTAAACCATTTTGTTTAAATTGTCTTTGTGACCCTAGAAATATATAGGTGAAATGCTATTTCACAGAATTGCTCAATCTTCCCTGGAAGGAAGAAGGTGAGGGAAGGGCACAGAGTGTAATGCTTTCAACTTTTTAAATAAAATGGCCGTTATTTTCCTAATAATTCCAATAGCCTGTTTGGTGTATAAGTGGGGGAAGATGCTTCTTTCTTTTGCATTTTTCAAACTTGAAAGCATGGCTTCTGTTGCCTCAATGTTTTTAGCTCAAAGTCTTGAGAATTTCTGTCTTCACACTCTTCAATGGCTTCACACTGCTGCAATGGCTGGAGCAAAGTCCATTGACCTAATCGCAACCAGTCAACAGCTCCCTCTCTGGCATTTGACTCAGGAGCCAGTAATGTGACAGTTAATACTGACTCTTACGAAAGCAGCAGCAGAATTTAGGCACTTGGGGATCTAAGTCAGTTTTAACATCAGTAGAGGCACAAGCAGCAGGCTACTCAAATTGATCCTGTAGCCTAATTTTGACTGCAGTTCTGGCCACACATCCCCTTGAGGGTTTTTTTGTTTTTTTTTTTTTTTTTTTTTTTGAGATGGAGTCTTGCTCAGTCACCAGGCTGCAATGCAGTGGTGCGGTCTCAGCTCACTGTAACGTCCATCTCCTGGGTTCAAGCCATTCTCCTACCTCGACCTCCCAAGTAGCTGGGACAACAGATGTGCACCACCATGCCCAGCTAATTTTTGTATTTTTAGTAGAGACAGGGTTTCACCAAGTTGGCCAGGATGGTCTCCATCTCTTGACCTCATGATCCACCTGCCTCAGCCTCCCAAAGTGCTGGGATTTCAGGCATGAGCCACCACGCCTGGCCTCCCTGGGGTTTTGAGCCTGTTTCCTGTATCTGATTCTGCCCTATTAATTCAGTGAGTTACCTATCTCTCCAGTGATTTTCTTCTTTGCCTAAGTACATCAGAACTGGTTACTCTTGCTTGCCATCAAGAACACTGATAGCTAATGTTTTCATCAAGCTGAATCAAGCTGGTGGCAGACCCCATACTGCACTCTAATGTTAAACCAACCTTGCATTCCTATAGTAAATTCCACTTGATCATGGAGTGTAATTATTTTTATTTGTGGCTAGATTCTATTCTCTTATCTACACTCTTGGCAATTTTCAAGTATATGATACATTATTATTAATTATAGTCACCACATTGTACAATAGATCTCCTGAACTTATTGTTTTGTCTAACTGAAACTATGTAACCTTTAATCAACATCTTCAGAATAGCACATCCTCTCACTGCTCCCTGCCTCTGGTAACCACTATTCTACTCTCTGCTTCTAAGAGTTTGACTTTATTTTCCACCTATAAGTGAGATCATACTCATACATATATACATACTTCCAGAATTCCACTGTGTATATATAACACATTTTCTTCATTCATCTGTTGATGGACTCTTAGGTTGATTCTATGTCTTGGCTATTGTGAATAAAGCTATAATGGGCATGGGGGTGCAGATATCTCTTTGACATATTGATTTCATTACCTTTGGACATATACTCAGAAGTGGAATTGCTAGTTCATATGGTAGTACTGTTTTTAATTTTTTCTCTAATGTTTTTTTCTTTGTATCCTTCATATTGAATCAGTTTCATTGATCTATCTTCAAGTTCACTGATTCTTTTGTCATCTCAGTTCTACTAATAACTAGCCCATCTAGTGAAATATTCATTTTGATTCTTGTATTTTTCAACTTTAGTATTTTCATTTGGCTCTTTTTAATAAATTCTATTTCTTTATTAATATTCCCTATTTGTTCAGTCATGGCCATCATGTTTTGTTGTTATTGTTCTTTAAACATGTTTTTTTTCCCAATTACTTGAATATATTTATAATAGCTTCTTTGAAGTCTTTTCTGTTAAATCCAACATGTGGGTCCACACAGAAGCAGTTTCTACTGACTAGTTTTTTTCCTTGAATATAGATCCCACTCTCCTGGTTTTCCAGCTCTTATAATTTTTTATTGAAAACTGGATATTTTAGATAACATTTTATAGCATTTTTTCCTCAAGTGATATTTATTTGTTTTTTTATTTATTGTTGTTTTAAGTAACTTAACTGTACTTAATCTACAGAACCAGACTGTCACCCCAATTTGCAGCCTGTGATGTCTTTTCTCAGTTTTTCTTTAACTTTTATGTTTTAGTGTGTATCTATATAGACTAGTGGTCAACCAATGATTGGTTGGTGCTTGTGCTCAAACACCTTGAGCCCATAAGGCTCCCACTCTCAGCTGGTGGTAATGTGATAGTTTCAGGAAAGCATTCAAAATTTGGGCATTTTTCAAGTCTGCTCAAGTATTTCCTTTCTACTGAGCTCTCTTGGTTATCAATTTTACAAATACATAGGCTACCACAAAATCAGGGACTTGTGGAATGCTTATTAAGCTTTTCAATAGCTAACTCATCTCCCTATAAAGTTCTTATTAATCTTTTGATCTACCACTCATCCCAATCAGGACCACAATCAGCCTCAGAGAGCTGTAAGCTTATCTCCTTTGCCATTGGGAACAGGTTTTCCATTCTCTGTTCTAAATCAAGTTAGCATCCTCCACCAACAAAGCTACTAGTTTTCATGGTTAATTCTGTCTGATAAAACTACTGTACTGAGCAACTTAGGGTGTGGTGTGGGGGTGGCTATAGGCAAGAAAACCATAGACTCCTACAGTTCTTACCTGAAATTGTGCAGTCTTTCACGAATATATGATTCTCCATTTGTTTTTTCTATTTGGTTGATTTCTAGAGCCCCAAAATGATTGTTTTTGACAATTTTGTCCAACTTTATAGTTGTTTTTTGGAAAAAGGATTTAATTGACCTCCTTATTCTTTTATACCATCTCCATTTTTGTATGCATCTTGTCTGTTGATTGCAGGTTCCTCAAAACAGAATTGTCAGAGCAAGTCCTTGGACACTAACAACTTTTTCTATTGCAGATTCTTACTTGAAAACATTTTATTGTCTCTTGTTGGTTCCCAAGAAATTGGTTGCGTAACCCTATGAGAGTTGCATCTTGTCCACCTCTTTTACTCTATCCTTCCTTGCTTTCCCTGCACAAATAAATGGCTACTGACTCCAAGCAGAAAAGCATGGTGGGACACTTATAGAAGCTTTTCTAGGAAAGACTGTGGAGGGAAATTTAATCACATACCACTCAGCAAAAACACAGAATAAATCTCCATTCATTAATTATTCCTTTTCCTCAGTTTTATTAAGGTATATGAAATATAACAATTGTATATGTTTAAGGTGTATGTATGTATGACATGATGCTTTGATATCAGTAAACATTGTGCAGTTATTACCACAATCAAGCCAATTAACACATTCATGACCTCACATAGTTACTTTTTTGTGTGGCAAGAATACTCAAGATCTACCCTTGTAGCAAATTTGAAGTACACAACAAATTATTAACCAGTCACCATGCTGTACATTAGAATCCAGAACCTATTCATCTTTAACTGCATATTTGTACTCTCAGACCAGTATTTCCCCATTTCCCTCACTCCTGCAACACTTGGTATTCCCTAGCTGTTTCAAAACTTATCAAATTCTCTCTTTGGTTGGGCTACTGCAGGGGGGCCTTCTGCCCTCACCTTTTCTCCAGATAATGCTTAGCTCTGTTACCACACTGTTTAAGATTGTCTCTACCCATTCCCTGACACACATAAGATCCAACTTCTTCCTTCTTCTAACCCTAAATTCCAGTGACTAGCAATTAGTTTAGTCAAACACCTTCTTAACAGTGTCAGATCACGCACTACATAGATTCTGTACCATAAGCTAAGAAGATTAAAATGTCTTCAAATGTTAAACACTTTTTATAATCACATTCCACCACCTTATGCTTGGCAGACAATCCAACTTCTTACTTTGTTGAGAAGCTTGAGGTCATTTAATCTGAACCCCTTCATCTGCCTGTCTATCTGTGACTAACACTTATCCTTTATGCTTCCCTTAGTGCCCCCAACCCAAAAAGTGTGGGTCTTTATATCAACATGTACAGCCCCCTTCTTATGTATCAGTTAATGCTCTTTTGGTTGCATTTAATGTGATTCTGGCTAAGCTAGGCAAAGACTGATTTACCCAAAAGAGTTGAAAAATCAAGACCTGGTAAAGACCTTGGCAGTAGAAGCTGTGGTTCTTTCCTCTGGGATGGCACCATAAGATGACAATGTCAGATTCCTTTTAATACTGGTTCACTGCTCCAGTTTCAAAATCTCAGGAGAAACAACCTGATTGGCTAAACTAAGCTCATAGACCCCTCTGTAGACCAATCACAGTGAAGAAGGTGGAGTAGGGTAGAAGGAGTTTGTCAAGGGAGGAAAGAGAAGGAGAAGGGGCAGGATAGATGAGAAGATCAGCACTACAGTGATACTGACACACTCTCCCCTCCTGGCTTTTCCTCAGTTGTTTCCTTCTTTGTATCTTTAAACAAGCACAGATATCCCCTAGTTTGTAAGAAATTTTCTTAACTTTGCAACTTTCACTTATCTTAATTTTTTCCTTCCTTTCATCAAAATTATCTAACAAACCACCTACTCAGGTTGCCAGGCAGCCAACTTACTTCCTAAGGAGAACTTGCACATATTATTCCTCTTCACCTTTGCTATCTTAAATTCCACCTTTACCAGAAAGCCCTGTCTGACACCTGCTACCTCCCCACCTCCCAAACCAAAAATCTCTAAAACACCATTTGGTTTCAGGAAACAACATTATTAAAAATGTTAAATAAATGCTGTATATTTGAATTTTAATGATTTTGTAGCTTGTATTTAATTTCTTTATTTTCTTTTGTTTCATAGGTACCTTAGAGCAAGAAGGAGTTTATAACATGCATTTGTCTTTGTGCATACTATATGTAAATAGCATTACAGTAAAAATAATTTAAGTTAACCCTGAGTGCCTGATATAACACTTTTCTTTAAACAAAGTCTAAAATCAAGAAACACAGGTCTATGACATCAGTTTATCATTAATCCCCTATTTCCTCATAGGGTATTTAACCTCACTTAGTCTTATTCCCTACAAAAGCACTATAAATTTTCAAAGGTAGGGACAATAACATTTGTATTTCTTTGTGTATCTACCTCCAAATATCTAGTGGTATTTCAAAACTATATTTTATTGAGTGAACACTTGGAAGCTGTGTTTCCGAAGGTTTGTAGTAAAATTCTACTATAGATAATAACTACTTTTTATTGAGTACTGACTTATATTAAGTGCTAGGAATTATGCTAAGTGCTTTAGATAAAGTATCTCAATTAATCTTCAAAACAAGTTTATAGAATCTGT
Organism: Homo sapiens; assembly: GCF_000001405.40. Classification (NCBI taxonomy): domain Eukaryota; kingdom Metazoa; phylum Chordata; class Mammalia; order Primates; family Hominidae; genus Homo; species Homo sapiens. The sequence continues at coordinate 69,583,361 of NC_000003.12, read as the reverse complement.
CCTAATTAAGATATACACTTTACAGATGACAAAACTGAGGCTCAGAAAGATTAAATAAATTACCTAAGGTCATATACCTAGTAAACACTACAGTTAGGATTTCACATAAAAAATTATTGTCAGAGAGCAAAGAGCAAGACTATTACAACATAATTTTCATGATAATTTAAAGCTCTTTTATTTTGTAAGATATTTATAGTTAATTCAGTTCCCGTCTGTAAAATATTGATAATTATGTCTATTTTTCTTATTGCATACTTGCCCAAATAGTCTAAAAGTTAGTTAGGGTTTATTTAGTCCTGGATAGCATTTCACTTTAGTTTTGTACTAAGTCTGTACTATTTCTATCAGTATGAAGAAATTGACACTCATGTAGTAGAACAATTTTTTTAAATTTAACTTTGCACTTGATAAGAGGATATTTTAATATTTCAGGCTATGTTTCATAATTTCAGAAATGCCATGCCAACGCATCATTAACAACACATTTCTGCCCACTGACTTTCCATCCACAATAAATAAATATGAGTTGTAGTGATTGTTGCACAGAGATTCAATGCCACTAATGTTTCAACCAATGAGGAGCTAGCTATATAAAACACACTATAAACTAAATCTTAGCATCCTTTTAATAGGCATGTTTCAGCTCAATCTTTGCCTGATAATTGCTGCATTTATCAATTTTCCGGCAATTATACATGATAAAAAAATTTCCAGACTTTTAACTCTAAGTGACTTCATTTAACATTCCTGATGGCATGGATAAGCTAATCTGAAGAAGAGGGGGCTATGTGGTTATCATACATTATCACATAGCCTGGTCATGACCAGGTTTTCCAATTCCTATGACTATAGCCAAACAGGTATAGTCCAATCCCTATGACTACAGTAGCCAAAACCACTCTGCCCCATCAATTATGCTACCCTAGCAATTTTTTTAAGAAAAAGCCTAAGAGCTAGAGTGGTCCCTATTCTAAAAAATAAATATTTAAAGAAAAGAGATTAATTTTCCTTGTCATGAGGGAAAGAACAGAAAATTCTCATGATGGTCAACAAGTTTCTGTTTGCCGTAGACCCCATCACATACTGCCTGGGTGACACCATTTACCTCTCCTTGGCAACCAGTGTAAAGAATTCTGTTTCCTCTGCCTGGGGTTCTCCATCATTCGCCTGTCTCGCCCCACCCTGACCCCTCCCCTTTCTCCCACCTCATTCATCAGATTTCAGCTTAAGTGTTACTCCTCAAAGAAGCGTTCCCCCACCAAGTCCAAATCCCTAACAGGCTCTCATTGCAAACTGAACCCTTAGGTGGTGTCAGAAGTACTAAAATTAGATAATTATTTTGAGAGTAGACACTGTCTGGCAGACAAACCGCAGACATTCTCTTAAGTGTACCTGGAGAGGTAGAGGAAGAGAAAGAGGGGAGGGGAGAGAAGAATGATGTATTTAGTTGTTCAGGGAGAAGCAAAGACACATGATGCAGTACCAGAGAGAGAGGATGAGAGAAGGCCCAGTTGCTGGGGTTGTTAAGCATTGGCCGTGTGTTTGTTTAGGCCAGCCCACACTTCCTGCTTATGATGGGCTTCTGGAACTTGCCAGTACCCAAGCTCTCCTCTTCTCCCTGGGCACATTGCTATACCACATTGCCAGCCTCCCCTGCAGTTGAGTAATGCCATGTGACTGAGTCCCAGCTGATGGACTATGGACAGAAGTGATGTGCTGCTTCCAGACGGGGTACCTTAATTCTTCCACAAGCCCTACCCAGCTCATTCTCTCTCTGTGTTCATTGACTGGCCAGGGAACAGGATCCAGCAGAAGATTCAAGGCTCAGTGGAGCCATTAGCTAGAATAAGTCTAAGTTCCTGAATCACTTTGTGGAAGGTCACCTGGCAAAGACTCAACTAACCTGTGAAATGAGTGACAAACAAACATTTCCTTTGTCAGGTCATTGTGAATTTGGTGTTTATTTTAGCAGCTAACTTTAACTTCCATGAGACATCTCAGTATTCTCAAATAAAATACCTTTCTTTGGCTTGTATTAGTTTGAAACAATGTAAACTATTTACTATTTATATATATATATATACACACACACACACACTCACATACATATACATAAACACACATATATATGTAAAGAGAGATAAATATATTATATATATATGAAAATATATTTATCCTGTTATGCATTACTATGGAAAGGGCAAATTTAGAATCAGCGATAAGACTCAGCAAGAATCAAACCTAAAATTGATTACTGTGTAACCAAAAGAAGTAAAAAAAAAAAAAAAGACCAGCAAACAACATACAACTATATATTGATCATACATAATGTATATACTTATACGCAAACACACATTACACATTCTCACACACAAATTTCAGTACACAGCCAGGTTGAGAACCATTGATTTAGAAGGATATACACCAAACTATTGCTAAGGAGGGGGCTGGAAGAGGAGGAATCCTAGATTATTACTGCCAAAAGCATGTTTTTAAAATGAACTTTCTTTTTTGCTTAGGTAATGTATGCATATGATACAAAATTGAACATATACAAAAGAGTTTGTAATACAAAAATGAGCCTCTTTTAAGTTTTATCTGTAGGGGACCCATTTTCTGACTTTGACATCAGAGGAAACCACAGACACCAACTCCTTGTTATCTTTTCACACTTAAGCAGAAATATATATTGTAGCATTATTTTCATATATTATATATATTTTATATTTACATATTTGTTTTATATTTTATGTATGTTTCTGTGTAAGCAAAAAAGTATGGCTAATTTTGAAACAAAGGGGAGATAAAACAGGATGACATAAAAATTAAGTCTGTGTTGAACTGTACATCATTCTAATTAATCTAATCTGATAAGTAGAAGATTTATATTACAGTGGATCTTTAGCCTGAATTCATTCATTCTGTTTTGCTCTATCCCAACTTTAATTTCAACTCTGTTGATATCAATTATGGAGATCTTTTCCCTCCTCTATGCCACCTCCTCTCCCCTACCTCCTTCCAAGCAGAATCTGTCAAGCATCATCTGCTTCCAAACCGTGCCATTCAGTGTGTGTGTGTGTGTGTGTGTGTGTGTGTGTGTGTGTGTGTGTGTAAGTGATTTATGTGGGAAGTGATCCTAGGGAGTGAGAGACGGGAGAGAGACATAGTAGGAGACAGGGACACTGTAAAGCCCAGTGGGGGTCACCTGCTGCTGCTCTGGGTGACCATTGCAGGTCCCCTGGGACCTTTTGAAGAACCTCATGAAATGCTTCTCAGAATTGTGTCTTGAGGTGGGGGGTGCATATCTCCTGCAGAAACCATTGCTGACTGTGTACCATTCACTTTTGGATTTGCTTCTTAATGGTCCCGAGGCAAAGCTGTCTGGTTGCACAGATGTTAATTATTCAAGACTACTCTTAATTAGTTGTGTGCGTTATTCATTCTGGAACCGTGACAGAAAGCCTCAGCCAGTTTGGTCCCTGAAGACAAAACCTGGAGGGCTTTCCAAAAGCTTGGATTCTGATCCCTCCCCATTGTCTCTCTTCCTTGTTGAACCAAAACATTTCAGTTTAGTCAAGCTCACAGAGGCCACCCTCCCATGGGGACCTTTAAAATTAAATGCTTAGGATGTACATGACTTTTTAAAGCCCTTTGCACATACAAGCTAAAAGCTTCAGTGCTGCTGCCTAGTGAAATGATCCAGCTGGAAATCGAGTCTTGTTGTGGAGGACTTGGTCAGCTCTGACTGGGAGCTGACCATTTTCCTCTGACTTGCAATTTCCCTTACTCGGGTGATTTGCACGTTTCCCTGTGCAGTGTATTAAGTACATTGGCTGCCTTCAAGACCTTCTAAATAATTAAAGCTCTATCAAGGAGAGCATTGTACAGATTAGGGCATTAAATACTAATCGGCTTCTTCATTACAGTCTCCTACACACACAAAACTGGAAGGAGGGGAGGTCCCAACGCATATTAAATTCTCCATTCCCCTTATAATTCTCTTATTGACAAATGTGGTTGCAGACAGGATCATTTTGAAGGAGTTTGTTAGAAGACATTGCTGGTCTATCCTTTTGGGAAACCCAATTGTTTTTTTTGTTGTTGTTGTTTGTTTGTTTTTAAATGGAATAATGGGTGGCAAAAAAGCTTCCTTTACACTGAAGATTAGCTCCAGGCAGGAACAAATGAAACACTCCAGAGAATGAAATATAAGCAAGAGAAAAATCACTTTCCAACAGTTATATCAGAAGGGGAAATAGACTAGTGCTCATTTTAAAGAACTTCAGACCCAGCATTCTTTTTATGAGCCTGGTGTGAGTGCTTAGCCAGCAGGGGAAAAGGAGAATATGATATATTATAATGACCATTTAAATTCTGCTTTGCAAAATAACCTGGGTTGTTAAAAAGAATGAGATGGCTGTATATATACCACCGTGGAAAGATATCCATGATGAGATAAAAGAACAAGTGAAGGAACAGAGCAGTAGGCATACTATAATTCCATCTGTATAAATCAAATGATTAAAAACTCTATATAGAATGTACATCTGTTTATAAATGTATCAATGTCTAGAGATAAACATACCTAGCTATTTTGGTGTTTCCTGTGGGAGAAGCAATTGATGTTAGGAGAGGAAATGAAGGCTTTTATTTGTTGTATTACACCAACATTTAAAACATAAATTAAGAAAATTTCATTAAAAACAGCTGGCAGGGTGCGGTGGGTCATGCCTGTAATCCCAACAATTTGGGAGGCCAAGGCTGGTGGATCACCTGAAATCAGGAGTTTGAGACCAGGCTGGTCAACATGATGAAACTCTATCTCTACCGAAAATGCAAAAATAGCCAGCCGTGGTGGCGGGCATCTGTAGTCCCAACTACTCGGGAGGCTGAGTCAGGAGAATCACTTGAACCCAGGAGGTGGAGGCAGCAGTGAGCCGAGATAGTGCCACTGCACTCCAGCCTGGGTGACAGAGCGAGACTCTGTCTCAAAAAATAAAATAAAAAATTAGCTGAAGCAATTTTATTACTACAAAGCTTTGTTGTGACAGTTAAGTGAGAATCCTAAAACAATTTGCAACAAAGGAATTGTAGGGAAAAGTGAGTTGGGTCTCAGAATTTTGAAAAAAAATTCATAGGAAGATGGAACTATTCAATTGTAAGTGTTAAACTACCGACTTGAAGAAAAGTATGTTTGGGGTTTTTTTGTTTGTTTTTTGTCCTTGGGTCTATTTTGGGGCAGAAATCTAGTTTATTTCTCCCACCTCTCTCAGGAAGATTCTGCATATTAAAAGCAGTGAAATAGTTTGAACAGAACCACGCATGGGGTTTGGAGCCAAAGAGAATTACACTCAAATCCTGCCACCACTCTTTATTAACTACGTGACCCAGTGCAACACACTAGATTTTATTAAGCTGCAGTTTTCTTACCTATAAAATAAAGAGAAAAACAAAACTGAATCATTATAAAACTTAATTAAGATAATATACACAGAGGGCTTAGCCTATTGGCTAGTGTAAAATAAGCATACTAGAAATTTTAGCTACTTGTAGCTATTGTAGAACATACTCCTGGGGGCGGTTCCAAGATGGCCAAATAGGAACAGATCCAGTCTACAGCTCCCAGCGTGAGGGACGCAGAAGATGGGTGATTTCTGCATTTCCAACTGGGGTACCGGGTTAATCTCACTGGGGCTTGTTGGACAGTGGGTGCAGTACAGTGGGTGCAGCCCACTGAGCGTGAGCCGAAGCAGGGCGAAATGAAGGCAGAAATAAAGATGTTCTTTGAAACCAACGAGAACAAAGACACAACATACCAGAACCTCTGGGACACATTTAAAGCAGTGGGTAGACGGAAATTTATAGCACTAAATGCCCACAAGAGAAAGCAGGAAAGATCTAAAATTGACACCCTAACATCACAATTAAAAGAACTAGAGAAGCAAGAGCAAACACATTCAAAAGCTAGCAGAAGGCAAGAAATAACTAAGATCAGAGCAGAACTGAAGGAGATAGAGACACAAAAAAACCCTTCAAAAAATCAATGAATCCTGGAGCTGGTTTTTTGAAAAGATCAACAAAATTGATAGACCACTAGCAAGACTAATAAAGAAGAAAAGAGAGAAAATCAAATAGATGCAATAAAAAATGATAAAGGGGATATCACCACCGATCCCTCTGAAATACAAACTACCATCAGAGAATACTATAAACACTACTACACACATAAACTAGAACATCTAGAAGAAATGGATAAATTCCTGGACGCATACACCCTCCCAAGACTAAACCAGGTAGAAGTTGAATCTCTGAATAGACCAATAACAGGCTCTGAAATTGTGGCAATAATCAATAGCTTACTAACCAAAAAGAGTCCAGGACCAGAGGGATTCACAGCCGAATTCTAACAGAGGTACAAGGAGGAACTGGTACCATTCCTTCTGAAACTATTCCAATCAATAGAAAAAGAGGGAATCCTCCCTCACTCATTTTATGAGGCCAGCATCATCCTGATACCAAAGCCGGGCAGAGACACAACCAAAAAAGAGAATTTTAGACCAATATCCTTGATGAACATTGATGCAAAAATCCTCAGTAAAATACTGGCAAACCAAATCCAGCAGAACATCAAGAAGCTTATCCACCGTGATCAAGTGGGCTTCATCCCTGGGATGCAAGGCTGGTTCAATATATGCAAATCAATAAACATAATCCAGCATATAAACAGAACCAAAGACAAAAACCACATGATTATCTCAATAGATGCAGAAAAGGCCTTTGACAAAATTCAACAACCCTTCATGCTAAAAACTCTCTATAAATTAGGTATTGATGGGACATATCTCAAAATAATAAGAGCTATCTATGACAAACCCACAGCCAATATCATACTGAATGGGCAAAAACTGGAAGCATTCCCTTTGACAACTGGCACAAGACAGGGATGCCCTCTCTCACCACTCCTATTCAACATAGTGTTGGAAGTTCTGGCCAGAGAAATCAGGCAGGAGAAGGAAATAAAGGGTATTCAATTAGGAAAAGAGGAAGTCAAATTGTCCCTGTTTGCAGACGACATGATTGTATATCTAGAAAACCCCATCGTCTCAGCCCAAAATCTCCTTAAGCTGATAAGCAACTTCAGCAAAGTCTCAGGATACAAAATCAATGTACAAAAATCACAAGCATTCTTACACAACAATAACAGACAGACAGCCAAATCATGAGTGAACTCCCATTCACAATTGCCTCAAAGAGAATAAAATATCTAGGAATCCAACTTACAAGGGACGTGAAGGACCTCTTCAAGGAGAACTACAAACCACTGCTCAGTGAAATAAAAGAGGATACAAAGAAATGGAAGAACATTCCATGCTCATGGGTAGGAAGAATCAATATCGTGAAAATGGCCATACTGCCCAAGGTAATTTATAGATTCAAAGCCATCCCCATCAAGCTACCAATGACTTTCTTCACAGAATTGGAAAAAACTACTTTAAAGTTCATATGGAACCAAAAAAGATCCCGCATTGCCAAGTCAATCCTAAGCCAAAAGAACACAGCTGGAGGCATCATGCTACCTGACTTCAAACTATACTACAAGGCTACAGTAACCAAAACAGCATGGTACTGGTACCAAAACAGAGATATAGACCAATGGAACAGAACAGAGCCCTCAGAAATAATATCACACATCTAAAACCATCTGATCTTTGACAAACCTGACAAAAACAAGAAATGAGGAAAGGATTCCCTATTTAATAAATGGTGCTGGGAAAACTGGCTAGCCATATGTAGAAAGCTGAAACTGGATCTCTTCCTTACACTTTATACAAAAATTAATTCAAGATGGATTAAAGACTTATATGTTAGACCTAAAACCATAAAAACCCTAGAAGAAAACCTAGGCAATACCATTCAGGACATAGGCATGAGCAAGGACTTCATGTCTAAAACACCAAAAGCAATGGCAACAGAAGCCAAAATTGACAAATGGGATCTAATTAAACTAAAGAGCTTCTGCACAGCAAAAGAAACTACCATCAGAGTGAACAGGCAACCTACAGAATGGGAGAAAATTTTTGCGATCTACTCATCTGACAAAGGGCTAATAACCAGAATCTATAAAGAACTCAAACAAATTTACAAGAAACAAACAAACAACCCCATCAAAAAGTGGGCAAAGGATATGAACAGACACTTCTGAAAAGAGGACATTTATGCAGCCAACAGACACATGAAAAAATGCTCATCATCACTGGCCATCAGAGAAATGCAAATCAAAACCACTATGAGATATCATCTCACACCAGTTAGAATGGCGATCGTTAAAGTCAGGAAACAACAGGTGCTGGAGAGGATGTGGAGAAATAGGAACACTTTTACACTGTTGGTGGGAATGTAAACTAGTTCAACCATTGTGGAAGACAGTGTGGCGATTCCTCAAGGATCTAGAACTAGAAATACCATTTGACCCAGCCATCCTATTATTGGGTATATACCCAAAGGATTATAAATCATGCTCCTATAAAGACACATGCACACGTATGTTTATTGCGGCACTATTCACAATAGCAAAGACTTGGAACCAACTCAAATGTCCATCAATGATAGACTGGATTAAGAAAATGTGGCACATATACACCATGGAATACTATGCAGCCATAAAGAAGGATGGGTTCATGTCCTTTGTAGGGACATGGATGAAGCTGGAAACCATCACTCTCAGCAAACTATCACAAGGACAAAAAACCAAACACCGCATGTTCTCACTCATAGGTGGGAATTGAACAATGAGAACACTTGGACACAGGAAGGGGAACATCACACACTGTGGCCTGTTGTGGGGTGGGGGGAGGGGGGAGGGATAGCATTAGGAGATATACCTAATGTAAATGATGAGTTAATGGGTGCAGCACACCAACATGGCACATGTATACATATGTAACAAACCTGAACGTTGTGCACATGTACCCTAGAACTTAAAGTATAATAATAATAATAATAATAATAATAATAATAAAAGAACATACTCTTGTTGCCAGGTATGGTGGCTCAGGCCTGTAATCCCAGCTACTTGGCAGGCTGAGGTGGGAGGACTGTTCAAGGCCAGGAGCTGAAACCTAGGAAAGGTGTTCAAGCAAAAATGAATTGACAAATGTCCACAATGAAGCCCTATTAAGAAATGTACAGTTTGCTGTGGTAGAAAACTTCATGGTCCTAGAGAGTAGCTATTAGCCAGCCACATGTGTCTATTTACATTTAAATTAAATTAAAAATTCAGTTCCTCAGTCTCAGTAATATATTTCAAGTACTCAATTGCTACATGTGGCTATCAGCTAATGTATCAGACAGCATAATTATACATTTCTATCATTGCAGCAAGTGCTTTTGGATAGTGCTGATACAGAAAGTTGAGTCTGATCTTGTTCTGAACGAATTGGCATGGTAGAACTAGGGCTGTACAGTGCAGTGAGACGAGTACTGTTGAGTGAGACTCTGGTTTCCAGTGACAACGCCACTTCTTTGTGGCATTCGGCAGCTCTTTTAGCCTTTTTAGGACTTGATTTTCACATCTATCAAACAAGGTCACAGTAATCGTAATGGAAGAAGTCCCTTCAGGCAGCCCCCAAACAAGACTCCCATAATTGGCCTTCTCCTGCCACTTATATTGGGTAAATTATTGGATCACGGGGTGATGTAGTGATGAGCAAGGAGTGAGGGGCTGTATTTCCACCTACCGGTGAACCCTTGAGGATTGTAACCTCTGCTATAACCCCTTTCTCTTACAGGCAGGTACCTTCTTGTCCCATTTCCCCTGCAGATCCAAATTCACTATTCACACTAAGTGTGAGGGCATTTCCAGACTAGCAGTTCAGTATAGGCAAGGATTATTACCAGCCACAATGGCACATTGTACAGTTAACTTGGTGCAGATTTCAGGCCTCAGTGTCGTTTGCCTTCTGTTTCACTCCCTTTCTCAAAACTAGGTGCCTGCAGCCTCTAGCTCTGCTTTTTCTTGCTAATTCACCTGACCCTCTTTACAAGGCTAAGGTCTTCTCTTCCTTACCCACTTTTTCCAGTTCTGGAGGTTCAAGGTTTGTTTCTTTCTGCGTATCAGTTAGCAACAAGACTCTAGGTAAAACAAGAACCAGTTCTTTCAGCTCTAACTCTACAAGTGATCCTGAATCCCTCTTCTCTCTATCTTCACTGCTACCTGCAAGCCATCCTTGCCTCTCACTGGGTCAACTGCCAGTTTCCTCAGTGATTAATGAATTCAATAAAATCTTTAACAAGTGCTTTCTTTAAATATTTGTATGAGCATCAGGATTTTACCCTTTTTTGAAAATTATATGTTAATAATACAATTTAGTCATTGATTAAATCCATCCCCCACAGCAGTTTGATCTTCACCCAGCAGCCAAAGTGGACCTTGTCCAATGGGTGAAGAAGAGGGTGCCTCTCTTTGGCTTTAAAGTCCTCCTATGGTTTCCTGGAAACTTCAAACAAAATTGAAAGTTCTTAAGGGGGTCTGGAGCCCATGTAGGATCTGGGCCCTAACTACATCTATCTCATCTCCTATTATTATCCTTCTCAATCAGATTGGAGGGAATAATTTGTGCTTCCATGAGCACTATACAATATCTAGACTCTAGAAGACATTCATAGAATCTGAATCAGGTAGATTCAGATTATATGAAAGCTATTTTACAGCTCTGTAATTTGGCAATGCCAAATAACTCTTGCCTCTAGATATGCAAATGTATACTGTTCTTTAGAAATTCAATGGGCTTTCCACCACACCTGAAGAAACTAGTTTTGTCTCTGTTTACACATTCACTTGAATATTCCTTAACTCCATATAAATTTGTGCTGTTGTGACTTCTCTTTTGAAACATTTATAACATCTGCTATGATCTCTCACTGATGAATAAATTAAATTAAATTAATTCCTTAACAAGTGTTTATGTTAAATCTGCATGAGTCATGATTTTATCCTTTTTTGAAAATTATCATTTAGCACATTTCAGCCACTTGGTTCTTCTTTTTTTCTCAGATATTCTAGCTGATTCCCACCTTGGAATCTCTGCACTTGTTCCCTTTGTCTGAAATTTCCTGCTTTAAAATCTTCTCATGGCTCACTTGTCTTTATTGAGAGCTCAGCTCAAATGCCCCCTCTTCTGAGAGACCTTCCCTTACCACTTGTCTTAGTCCTGTTTGTTCTGCTATAGCAGAGTACCTAAGACTGGGTAATTTATAAAGAAGAGTAATTTATTTGGCTCACATTTGTGGAGGCCGGGAAGTCCAAAATCAAGTGACCACATCCTGTGAGGGTCTTCTTGCTGTGTCATCCCATGGTGAAGGCCAGAGAGAGAGAAAAGAAGATACAACCTCAAGCTCTTTTATAATCCGCATGAATCCATTTATGAGGCTGGAACCCTCACAACCTAAACACTACCCATTAGGCCCCACCTCCCAACACTATTTGCATTGGGCATTAAGTTTCCAAAATATGCTTTTGGAGGGGATACATGCAAGCCATAGCACCACCCAAACCTCAATCTCTATGCATTCTCTCTTTTGTTGTCCTCTCAGCACTTACTCATTATCTAAAATTTTCTCCTTCATTATATTTGTTCAACTATTTCTCATCTGATCCAGTCATCTTTCTACCCCAAGAAGACATGAAAGCAGAGATTCTGTACATCTGGTTCACTACTTTTCACTTGCCAGTGCCTGACACATAGATACACACATGTTTGTTTGAGTGAATGAATCAATGGAAATTACTGAGGACCTTAACTTTTCCAAAATTACTTGACCTTTCCAAACCTCAATGTCATCAATTATAAAGAAATAAATGACACATTAAACATAATTTGCACCAAAATGATAGAAGGGGATAAGTCAATGAAGATATAGATAAAACAAGATTGGCTGAGTTGGTAATTGTTGAAGCTGGGATATTGGTACACAGCAATTCAGGATACTAATCTACTTACTTTGAAATATGTTTGAAATTCCTGTAATAAAGTTTTAAATAAGAACGATGTATATCAGTTTCCTTTGCCTAGTTTTAGGACTCTTCTTCTCCTTCAGGTCATGTAAGCCAAGAACATGAGTGTTTAGGGGGATCTTTGGGTCATAGTGGTCCAAATGGGTTACCTTTGGGTCACAATGGCCCATGATGGGTTACCTAGAAGACACTGCTTGCAAAATTAACACTCAAGAAAAATGATCCCAAAGCAGCATTTCCCAAACAAAAGTGATGAATGGTAGATCTCTTCTTGGGAACTTGATACCTGATGGAGCAAATTGACCCTGCAATTGGCACTGAAGATCAGGAATTAAAAATCAAATGTAAGAACTTGGGGGGCAGGCAAAGCTACAGTTATTTATCGAGAGCAACCAGTGCTAAGTACTTCACTGGAGGTATAATAAAGAGCAGTAGAAAACAGGATCCATGTGGTTCCTGTCCTCAAGGAGCTTAAAGTCCATCAGAAGAGATGGATGAGGATGCAGACCTTTGTAAGGCAGGGATGTAGGTGCCATGTCAGAATGCCCCATAGAGTGCCACGTAGCTTCAGCTCAGCAGGATCAGGAAAGATTCCCAGATGAGGGTCAGCTAAGGTTTGGGGGATGAGGAACAATGATAGCTAATGCCCCATGAGCTCTGAACTCTGCTGGGCACTGTGCTGGGCACTTCACATGTTTGAACTCATTCCTCCTCACGACAGCCTTTTAGTTGAGGAAACAGAGAAGTTAAATCCTTTAGCCAAGGTCACACACACACAGCAAAAGTAGATTCGGAAACTGAATCCAGGCAACCTGGTTCTAGCATCTACACTTGTCCTGAGGATGCAACGTGGCATCCCAGGTGAAGTTAATCAGGCTAAGGGAGGAAGGACAAAGAAGATTCCAGTCAGAGAGAACAGTCCTGGTAAAAAGGGGAGAACACAGAGCATATTCAAGGAACCCAAAGCACAGGATGGTGGGAGTTAGTGTGGGAGAGCGAATGTGACATGAGACTGGAGAGAATCTAGACAGAGACGACAATGGAGGGATCGTTTAAGAATAGCAGGCACTCAGCATGAGTGAAGCCAATGTAAAGCCGGAGGGGCAGGGCCATTTGGAGATTATGTTCCTCAACCCACTCCACCCACACCAGCTCAGGCGACCACTTTCCACTTTCCCAGGTAATCTCTGCAGTTTCCTTTTGTCTCTTATTCCCACAAACTCTACTCTTTGTTTCAAGTTCCCACCTGGTTGCCATTTCTTGCCCCAGCATCATCCATGGACACTTTCCTAGGAAGACAGATTACGTTGTAGCTAAAGGCACAGGCTCTGAGATCCAATGACATCTGGATTTGAATTCTAGGTGTGTCACTTTCTACCTATGTGAATTTGGACAAGTGTTTTAATCACTCTGACCTTCAGTCTTCTAGTGTACAAGAAGACAATACTAATAGCTTTAACTCTAAGATTTTTATGAAGATCCGAGTGAGATAAAGAGTGTGAAAAATTTAGCAGTGAGTGGCATACAGGAAATGCTCAATAAATTAGGACTGCTGGCTTGGCTTTATCATAGCTTGATTCTTGAATGCTTCCTCCTCTCTCTGGCTCCCTTATGGGAAAATTACACAAGAGGTCATGGGAATTAAGGCTTCTGCACTTGCAAAGCTAAAGAATCCCTGTTATTTGGAATGAATAAATCGTGTCCTCCCTTCCTCAAAAGATGCTGATGGAAAGTGAGTGGAACACTTCTCTCTCTCTTTCGATGAAGCCTCCCTAGGACAACAGGACTGATGCTATCTTCCTTGGGAATTCTTCTGAGGCCTTCTGCTTGTAGGTCTAACCTCTGAGTAGACAGGTTTCTAAGAACTAAGAAAGTATTACTGTGGGGAACTCAGCAGGTAAGACAGAAAGAAGTTTATTTTAATCTAATTTGAGTAGAAAATATTTGTGAAGATAAAAGGACATTGACAGATGAGGTAGGAAGAGGTCTGATGAAAGACAGAAGAGTTTAACATTTGGAAAACAGCTTGATGGGGTAGGGGAAACTGACATCCATTTTCATTTCAAAGTCAAGGATAGAATTAAATATGCTGTAAAGCCATCTTTTGCTCCCTAGCTAGTGTATTAAATAGAAATGCTTATGCTCCTAGAAAGCGAAGCATATGGTCATGTTCCCCAGAAAAACCTGATGGCCAAGACAAATAAACATGAGCATTATGTTGGCAAGTAGTATATGGGAGTTGCTATTTTTTATTCTTCCTTCTATGCTTGTGATTCTCAAATAGGACTTGAATGCTACAATCCTGCATTCCGCTCACAAGTGCTCCAGCCTTCTCACTCATGCTATTCTCTGTCTAAAGATTCTTTTCAGAAAAGATCATTTAATGCATTTGTGAGTTTCACTCACTGTTAAAATATGACAAAATCTATGTACTAATGAGCTGGGTTTAATGGGAGTATTTCTGTTCCCATATATAAGTTGAATAAATAAGATATTTGCATACATGTTTATTTTCATCCATTTGTACAAAGAATATAATTTTTTTCCACTTGCTGGTTTGCTTCCAGAAGGGAATACAGGAGATACCATTGAACCCGCAGGGATGACCTTCTGCAATTAGAAATATAAAAAGCACATACTTGTCAGTGATATGCTGAAAAGGAAAGACAGTCACAATCTCCGTTGCTTCATTTCTCTCCCTGAGTCAGCATGGCCCTGAACCACAATTCTTGGAGAGAATTCTGAATTGTTTGTAGTAAAATTCTTGTCCTGGTAGTGGCCTCCAGGATAAGTCATAAATTCTCTGCATCTCAGTTTTCTCATCTACAAAACAAAAGGAGAAATGAAATTATCTCATTTGTTTCAGTCCAAATTCCAATTCTCCATGCTATCTTCCTTCTTTAGGTATGAAAAGAAATAAATTTGACTAACATTTGAACCTGAATTGGAGGGTTAGGACAAAGGGAGACTTTTACATTACGTTATTTTGTTCTAGATGCCACAAATCTTTCCAGCAAATGAGCAATGATGGTGTAAGTCACAGTTTAGCCATCTGATCAGCTATTAATAAGCAATAATTTAAAATAACACAAAGAATGATAGGAGCCTGGAGGAATGCTCTAGATATAATATTGAATAGGGAGAGAAATCTGGAAGCTAAGGTGCATAAATAGAATCATAGCAAGGATGAAAATTATAGAAAAAAGAGTAGTGTTCACATTTTAACAGTGGTTTCCTTCTGTTGGTGAAATGATGGCTGAATTATTTTCTCTACTTCTCTATTTATTGTTTTTTATACTATTCTGTATATTAAACATTCTCTTTATATGCTGTTCATTTTCCACAGGAGTGTGTTCTATTTTCTAATCAAAGGTGTGTGATTTGAACAATTTTTTTCCGGCCATGGGTGATGGATGTCTGTGTCTAGAGTCTACCGCTCTTTGTGACAAATGGCAGGAATCTGAAAAACAGCCAGCTGGGCTGGAGATATAGCCTGTGGTCACTCAGGAGAGCAAAGCACTCTCTACTAAATAGCTATTGAATCTGTGCCCTTGGTATTATTAGAGCCATCCACCACCCAAAGGATCTAGCTATCCACAAATGACTTTCAAACTATTAAAATTGAATAGATCTCCCTGAGTTAGAAATAGGCCATTGACACTGTAGGCGGTTAAGCTGCTGTACAGGTATTTCAAAGAACTTATTTATGACACAATACTCTTCCTCTACTAAAGAATAGATTGAGCCATAATCAAGTGCCAATAGGCATTTACTGGGTGTGTGCTTTGGGCCAATCCCTGTGCTAACCCCTGAGGATATAGGATGACTAAGATCCAGTTCTGCTCATCAAGGAATCACAGTTTGGTACTTGATGCAGACATTGAAACAGGTAGTTGCACTACCATGTGAGGATGATAGGAATAGGTGCAAGGAATTGTGGGAGCTCAGGAGGGAGCCTCCAGGTTACCCAGGAGAGAGTGGGAATTCTTCCAAAAGGAAAAGGTTCCTGAGCTGAGTAACAACAAACGGGTGCGAGTTAGTCTAGCAGGGGAGTTGGGGAAAGAGGAAGCACACCAGGCAGAGGAAGCAGCATAAGGAAGGCTGGGAGGCAGGAAACAGCATGGAGTATGACCCCATAAGCCATGCAGCTTTGCTGCCGTGTAAAGTGAGTGGTGAGAATGAGAATAGAGAAGAACAGAGCCTGGATCATGCAGGACTATATGCATCCTGTGAGGAGATGGCAAATTAGGGCCTACAGACCAAATCTGGCCCACAACTGGTTTCTGTACATGAGTTAAAAATGGCTTTTTCCTTTTTAAGTAGCTACTTTTTTTTTTTTTTTTGAGATGACGTTTTGCTCTTTCTCCCAGGCTGGAGTGCAGTGGCATGATCTCGGCTCACTGCAACCTCCACCTCCCAGGTTCAAGCAATTCTCCTGCCTCAGCTTCCCAAGTAACTGGGATTACAGGTGCATACCAACACGCCCAGCTAATTTTTTGTATTTTTAGTAGAGACACAGTTTTACCATGCTGGCCAGGCTGGTTTTGAGCTCCTGATTTTAAGTGATCCAGCCATCTTGGCCTCCCAAAATGTTGGGATTACAGGCGTGAGCCACCGCGCCCAACCTTAAGTAGCTGTCTTTTACATGTTTGCGTAAGTACCTCCATTATATCCTCTATTTTGCCTCTTGGCCTACAAAACCTGAACTATTTACTATCTGGTCCTTTAAGAAAATGTTTTCCCACCCCTGGACTAGAATATTTCCTGAAGGTGCTAGGGATCCATGGAGGGACATGAGCTTGGGAGTGAGCTTAGGAAATAGGACTGTAGCCAGGGAGACAGCTGGAGGAAGCTGTGGTGAAAGATAAAAAGTATCTGCGTTAAGGCAATGGTAGAGAGAAAGTGGAAGTGGATATCTGGGGAAGATCTCAAGGTCAATTATGGATGTGTTACCTTGGAAATGTGTGGGGACACGTGCATGACGTCTGTCAGCTATTGCGTCTATAAATCTGAAATGCTCTGAAGAAAGGTCAGGCTGAGTTCTAGTCTTAAGAGGCATCAGTAAGCAGATGTGGACTGGAAATATGCAAGTGGATGAGAACATCGGATTGAGTGAGTGTGTGGGCAAGGTGAGGAGGGCAGAAGGCCAAGGGCAGTGTCTGGAGGACCACAGTAATTAAAGTGTAAGAGGGCCAGGCGCGGTGGCTCACAACTGTAACCCCAGCACTTTGGGAGGCTGAGGTGGGTGGATCACCTGAGGTCAGGAGTTCGAGACAGCCTGACCAACGTGGTGAAACCCTGGCTCTACCAAAAATATGAAAATTAGCTGGGTGTGGTGGTGTGCACCTGTAATCTCAGCTACTCGGGAAGCTGAGGCAGGAGAATCACTTGAACCTGCGAGGCGGAGGTTTCAGTGAGCCAAGATCACACCATTGCACTCCAGCTTGGGTGACAAGAGCAAAATTCCATCTCAAAAAAAAAAAATAAATAAATAAAAGAAAGAAAAAGAAAGTGTAAGAGAAGGACAAAGAGATCACAAAAGAGACAGCAAATGAGTGAGCAGAGAGGTAGGAGAACCAGGCATACTTTTTTTAGGGAAGCGAAAGAATTAATGAATTTCTGTTTTTTAACTTTTAAAATTTGTATTATTTTATAGAGACAGGGTCTTGTTGTTGCCTAGGCTGAAGTGCAGTTGTGCAATCATAGCTCACTGCAGCCTCAAACTCCTGGGCGAGCAATCCTGCCACCTCAGCCTTACCTGGAACTACAGGCATGCACCACCAGGCCCAGCTAATTTTTTCTGTTTTTTAGAGACAGAGCCTTACTATGTTGTCCAGACTGGTCTCAAATTCCTGGCCTCAAGCAGTTCTCCTTCCTTGGCCTTCCAAAACGCTGGGATAACAGGTGTGAGCCACGGTGCCCAGCCAAGTGAAGAATTTCAAGAAGGAAAAGTGGATCAACAAATATTTCCAGAGCAGCAAAATCTTCCAAACGTCTTAAGGACTGAAAAAATGTCCTTTGGATTTGACAATTAGGATGATTTTACAAAGTTATAGAGTTTTCCATAGAGTTAAAAGAAAGAATGGATGAAATGTTCTCCCCCCACCCCAAATTTCTCTCTGGGTTCCTGAAATTACTTGTGAATCCGATGTTTATAGACTCATGGGATTCATGCATTGGTATTTGTAAGAAAAGTTTAAAGAGTACCACAAAGGATATTAGAACAATCTGGATTGGTGACTGAGTCAAGGGCTGGAATTATTATATTTGGATTCATGTTAGAATTATTTTCCCAGTGAATGTAATAACTACCTCATACAAAGATAGTATGACTTACTTAAAGCATAATTTTTAAAAAATATACCACTTTAAAATAAATAAGCAGGTGGAATAAACAAGAAGGCTAACAAAGAACCTGTATGATACCATCAGTTAATTCCTTAAGAAGAACAAAAAATAACAACAAAAATTAAGAATGTAGGCCAGTGTGGTGGCATGTGCCCGTCATCCCAGCACTTTGGGGGGCCAAGGCAGGAGAACCACTTGAGCCCAAGAGATCAAGGCTACAGTGAGCTCTGATTGATTGTGCCACTGCATCCTAGCCTGGGAGACAGTGTGAGACCCTCTCTGTCTATCTGTATAATAATAATATAGAATGTAATAATGAATTAGGTTTTAAAAATTATTTAGATAAGAAAGCAAACTGCTGAAAAAGGGAGGAGGTTGGAAAATTAACAAGTTAATGAACAGGCTCTCTTTTGCTTGCCCAGAATCCCCTCCAGGAATAAACCCCAAGCCTTCCTATTGGAAAACCACAATTCGCTCAGTCCTTGCCATTCAGAAGAAAGAGATGCCATTTCTAGCTCTAGGTGGAGACATGCCAAACTCCCAGCCAATGAGGAGCCTCATCTCTTGGACCATAATGATTGGTTCAGTGATGGGCCGAGATCTCAGTGTGAGTCAATGAAAATCATGCTTGGATCTTTCCCTGGCACTAATTGGAAAGAGGCCCCCTCTTTCTACTGGGATTGGTAAATCAATAGGATGCGTACAAGGAAACACTGGTGACCATATTTTCCCCTAGGTGGCTGCCTGCGAATGAAGCTCCCAGAGAGGAAAATGTTCTCGAGAGAGGGAGAGAAGCAGTTTCCTCATTTAGGTCACCAGATCTGGCTGTGCCTAAAGCAAGGCCTGGATATTTCAATTACAACAGCCAAATAAATTTCCCTTTTTCGCTTAAGCTGGTTTGATTTCAGTTTCTGTGACTGGCAGTCTAAATAGTCCAGTTTGATAGAGTAACTAGATTATTTGGGAGTAAAATGTAACTCACTCTAAGGGTGCCCAAAATGATAAACTTTATATGCGTTCTAAAACATGGTCATTAGTTTAGTCAAGGGTTGTTTGTTTTAAAGCATGGGAAACTTACTCAATTTGCTCAAATAAATAGGAGTTTGTTGTATCAAGTCAAAGGTTGCTCACAAAACCCAAGGGCATGAATTAAGATCAGGCATCACAATGAAGAATAAATGGTATGTATAGAGTCAGCAGAAGTCAAAGGAGCTACTCTTTGTGCTTGTCTCTCTTTTGGGGTTCACCAGATATCTCTATTGCTTCATGAACATCAGTTCCATTATCTGTTTTCCTGGCCCCTAAGAAACCATCCTCAGGTGAGTTCATCCGTTGCTGATATACATCGCCATACAGGCTCAACACCTTCAGGTAGAACTGACCAATCTTTTCAAGTGCTGATTCTAAATACCTGGGAGAGAGACCGGTGGGAAGTCAGAAAGAGAGAGAATGAATGTGATTGGGTCAACCTGGGACAGATGTCCATCTTTGAGCCAATCAGCTGTGGCCAAAGCATAGTGTTACCGGCTCTATTGCTCACTGAGAGGGCCAAGGCAGTCATTACCTCCCTAAACTTCTGAATCAGAACATGAAAAAGAAACAAAGAAGCATGGCACAGTAGAAAAAGCCCAGGATTTGTAACTCAAATTCTAGGCAGAACTAGCTGAGTGTTTTTCATTGCTTCACTCTCTTCTGTGGAACCCCA
Organism: Homo sapiens; assembly: GCF_000001405.40. Lineage (NCBI taxonomy): Eukaryota > Metazoa > Chordata > Mammalia > Primates > Hominidae > Homo > Homo sapiens. The sequence goes on along the minus strand of NC_000003.12, from coordinate 69,563,292 downwards.
GTGCCTCCACTCTGCCATGATTAACTTCTCTGTGTGAACAGCACTGTGGAATGAGGTCATGTGCCTAAGATGCTCTATGAAAAAAGTATTAGTTACGCTTATGAATATCGGATGTCAAAACCAAAGTTCTGAATGAGTGTGCAGAGTAGAAAGACCATAACTTGGAGTTAGAAATATGGACTTCAAACCCCAATAGTTAAACTACTTCTATCTGTGTCATGTTAAGTACATTTTCTGAATATTTTTTCCTCAACACAAAACAAAGATAAAAATATCTGGTTTACATGGCTGATGTAGAAATTACATAAAGTATTAAGTATGAAGTACCTAGCTCAGTACTTATGGCACTCAGTAAATGTTAATTGTTATCATTATTAGTTATCAAAGCATATTATTATCATTTATGCCAAGGCAGGTCAACTCTTAATACAAAAATCTGCCACTATAATGTTTCAAATAATCACTTCTGTTGGAAAAAATACTCTATGCCATGTTTCTTGTTAAACACTGGTTTATAACAGTAGAAATACCTAGAAATCTTTTTAAAAATACTGATTACTGGCTCCCATTGTAGACCAAACAAATCAGAATGTCTGAGCCTGGGGCCCTAGCATGTATATTTGTAAAAGCTTTACAGTGGAAGATTAAAAAACTCATTAAATGTTTGCAGAATGCATGAATATGTAAATGAATGAACTATGGATCCAATGAATAAGTGAGAGAACACTACAATGAATACATTTATAATAAATTGGGGCAAAAAATGTTAAATTCTATATTCTATGATGTTTTTATTTAAAAGCAGATTTACACACAAATAAAATGTTTAAAGCAATGACACAAAAGAAAGGGTTAGGTTGGATGTATCAAAATACAGCTGTTAGTTTTGTGATAGTGTTTGTGTGTTCTTCAGTGACTTACATCGTTGTTAGAGAGCCAGATGTTGTCGGTGAAAAGTGCATTCCACAGTAACGAATGGAACAATATAAAACCACCATGTGAGGACACAGACATTTGCTTCCAGGATGGAAATGCCTCCTCTTATCTACTGTGGTCTTTGCTTTGTGTTTATTTCTTGGATTCTCATGTCTTCATAGCGATGGAGCTGTTGACAGACTGGAATGCCCCAACAAATTATACTCCTTGAGTGTTTCCTCCTCCTCCCTGATCAAGTTTTTGAATGTTTCCTTCTTCTTCCTGAATTGGCAGGCAGACCACTTCTTTTCCAAGCACTTAATCTACCAAGTACCACAAGTCAAAATAAAGATACTTGCAAGGAAAGAATTCAAGAAGGAAAGAGCTTTATATAGACCCATAGGCTCTGTTTAACCCATAAAAGGTCAAGGGGAAAAAAAAGTCCTTACATAATCACTAATCAAAACTCTGATGTGAAGTAAAATTGATATGCCCTTGCAGTGTAGCTCAAAACTACAGGCTTGGAAAGACTGAATATTTTAAGGCTTAGCAGCATATGAATTTCAGAAATGGAGACCCTAAGGAAATAAGCAATGAATTAGAAGGATTTTCAGGTGAAATATAACATGGCTACTGAAAGAAGAAAAAGAAAATTGGTTTCATTTTATTAAATATCACTGATAAAGTTGCTCTGCTTGAGAGATCTAGAAAATCAGAAAGAATAAAGTAGTAAATTAAAGTGGACTCATAATTCACTTTAAAATTATTGCATGGATGAGTGAGAAGGAAAGATACTGAAGAGACACACAGGATTTAGAAAACATTGGAAGTCGAAGGAAACAGAAACACTACATTCTGGGAGTCATATATATAGGACGTTTGAATGAAGGGGTTTTGGGTGTAAGGCAGTAGGAAGGGGCAGGGACTTAGGCAAATTGGAGTGTGCAAACCCTGTTTTGAAAAGTATCCACTCCTTAGTTTCAGTCAATTGTTCCCATGTAGGATGGAAGCCCACAGCCCCTAAGCTTTCAAAGAAAAGTTGTAAATCTAGACTTGTTCCTGTAAAGATCTCTTAATTTTTAAGTATTGGCAGCAAATTTAAATATTTTAAGTACACTAAGTTAACAAAAACAAAACAACACATACACACACAAAAGTCATGTCTGTGGACTGTATCTGGCCCATGGAGCACCATTTTGAGAACTCTGGAATAGTGGATCAAATATGCATGGACTTTAGGCTGTTCCAGAACTGGATTTTAATCCCAAGTCCACACAAACCAGCTGCAAGATCATGAGGAAATGAATGTCTCAACCTTTCACAATGTTTGTTTCCTTATCTGTAAAAAGGAGAACCATAACATCTTCCTCCCCTAGTGGTTGTAGGAATTATCCATGAGCACAGCATCAGGGAGCATGAATTACATGGTAGGGAAGCAGAACTCCATACATGGTGGAATGTGCCCCAAATCTGTTGAAAATTCCTGTGGACCCAAGGAAGGAAATACTCTTTAAGAATTTCAAAACATGAAAGAACCTACACAAGAGTACATGAAATCAGCTATACAAATTGAAATTTTCGAGTCATGATTTACCTGGTAATCATCAAAATAGCTAAAAAATTTCTCACATTAGAAAGTAAATATTATGGCGGGGCGTGGTGGCTCAAGCGGTGGCAGCACTTTGGGAAGCCGAGGTGGGCGGATCATGAAGTCAGGAGATCGAGACCATTCTGGCTAACACAGTGAAACCCCGTCTCTACTAAAAATACACACACAAAAAAAATTAGCCGGGCGTGGTGGTGGGTGCCTGTAGTCCCAGCTACACGGGAGGCTGAGGCAGGAGAATGGTGTGAGCCCGGGAGGCGGAGTTTGCAGTGAGCCGAGATCACACCACTGCACTCAAGCCTGGGTGACAGAGCGAGACTCCATATCAAAAAAAAAAAAAAAAAAAAAAAAAAAAAGGAAGTAAATATTATAAAATTCAACAAAAAAATTAAGAGTTGACTATCTCTTAAAGCAGTGTTTCTCAACTTTTTTTTCGTTATCACCACACACTGAGCCTTCTTAGGCACTTTTTGCCTAATTACTTCCCCTCACCACATAAAACTTTAATACCACAAATATACCATGTGTCTGTTTGAGTTCTCTATGTATATCTGTGTTTTATACATAAAAAGAGTAAGTCCTCCCCCTCACTATCACCCTACACCAATTTTCACATCTTTGGAGATGATATTCCCATTGAAGATGCATGTCTTAAAGAGACTCACAACATGAATTGAGTTCCGTCAGTTGTGTCTCACCTTTTGATTAGTGATAATGGATATAAATCTCATTGTTCAGTGCCTGGCATAGAGTAGATGCCAATAAATTATAGCTATTATAATAAATGTTAATAAGATACACGGAGATTTAACAGGGTAATTCTATGGAGCACTGAGTGTCATCAGAAGCCCAGAGGCATGCCTACCTTCTATGTTTTACAGTCTTGCTTCCAGGTCTTTATGAAGACTGTTTTACAACAGACCAAAAACTTCAGCAATTCCTCTGGAGATATTACTTACCAGGGAACCATATTCTCCAAGGAATATAGCAGCATTGCTGTTCTTCCTTGCAATACTACCTTGCAAAGTATTTGTAAAAATCAAGAGAAGAAAATATTCTCAGCAAATATGCCAGATAGAAGGATAACTTTTGCTTACATTTATGTTTGGTCAGTGTAAATTTGGGGTACAGTAACAGAATATCATCGACTAGGCAGTTTATAAACAGCAGAAATTTATTTCTTATGGTTCTCAAGGCTGGGAAGTCTAAGATCAAGGTGCTGGCAAATTCAGTGCCTGGTGAGGGCTTGCTTCCTGGTTCATAGATGGTACCTCCTAGTTGTGTCCTCACATGGTGAGAAGGAGTGGCTAGTTCTCTGGGGTCTCTTTTATATGGGCATTAATCCCAATCATAAGGGCTCTACCCTCATGATCTAATTACCTCCCAAAGGCCCTGTCTCCAATACCATCACCTTGGTGGTTAGGATTTTGACATATTTGAGGAGACAAAAACATTCAGACCATAGCAGTTAGTAATAAATTCTTGTTTTGCAGCCAAACATCAATCTTCATCTTCTTAGCCTGGTATAATCTAAGCCTAATGCCCTGAAATGCATGGGAAGATGTCAGTGCTTAGCTTTATGCTTCTGTAGTGGCTTCGATGGTACATTCCTTCCAGGCTTGCTTCATTTTGTTGGGCCATTGGCTGGACTCCAAAGAGAAAGAAGAACCATTGTCCCTACAGCCTGTTGGTGTTTGACAATTGCCTAATGCTTGGCAGCCTTCTCTGTAACAAAAATATAAATCGCACTGTGAGGACATTAGGAAATCCTGCCCCAGGAGGAAATCTCTGTGGATGATGTCAGAACAATTAGATATTAAATGTTGCAGACTTCAAGATTATTAACAAGCTCAGGAAAACTAATTAAGAAGGGTGAGTAGATGCTATCTGACTTGGACAGAGGTATAGCTTGACAATGAAAAAATATATATATATGTGAATATATATATATAAGTGAATATATATATATATATATATATATATATATATATAATTTTTTTGAGACGAAATCGCCCAGGCTGGAGTGCAATGGCGTGATCTCAGCTCACTGCAACCTCTGCCTCCCAGGTTCAAGCAATTTTCCTGCCTCAGCCTCCTGAGTAGCTGGGACCACAGGAGCCTGCCACCACGCCTGGTTAATTTTTGTATTTTTAGTAGAGATGGGATTTCACCATGTTGGCCGCGCTTGTTTTGAACTCCTGACCTCAGGTGGTCCACCTGCCTCGGCCTCCCAAAGTGTTGGGATTATATGCGTGAGCCACTATGTCCAGCCACCAGTGAATGTTCTTTACTCAGAAATTTGCGGAGTTAACTGGGAGATTCCAACTGTTCTAATGGCTGAGGGCTGGAATTGACAACAATACACACAGAAAAGAAACTCAGAGCTCTTCTTCTGGGGATACCTCTATCATAGCTCTCATTTTGTACTTTAATCATTTATTTAGATCTCTGTTTTTTCAATCTGTCTGAAGACTCCGGTAGCAGGACTGTACCTCATCATGTGTTCATTGCCTGGCACACTGTTTTTAGTAAGGACTTCTTATAATTATTAAACTAGTAATGAATCCTCACCACCACTGGTAAGGGGATAAATCTCAATATTCCCACTAAAGAACATAAGCTTTTAAGTCAGATGAATTGAGTTTGAATCTTGACTCTGTCACTTAATAGCCATGGGACCTTAGACTGGTTATTATATGTGGGCCTGTGTCTCCTGATCTGTAAAATGGGAATAATTGTAGTGCCTGGAACTGTAGAATTGCTGGAAAGATTAAAGAAGCTAATATTTATGAGTGTTAAATACTAATCTGTTTAGCTCAGTGCTTGACACATAGAAGGCACTCAATAAATAATAGCTATTATGACTATACTTATTTCAATAATTATCAATAAATTTCATCTTCTAAGAAATCTGCTTTTACAGTCAGAAAAGAGGAAAAAACCCCACATGTATTCAAAATTTCCCTTTAAGATTCATTACCTTCCCTTAAATCAACAGAGCTCAGACTCCTGGAAGACCAAAAACCAAGGATTAATTTCTTTGTTTCTTTTTACAATTTGGCTGTGGGTTTTCTTGTCCTGAAGCAGTGGAGGCCAGAGTCTAGTTTGAAAGGTGGAAAGGAGAAGGAATAAATTAAAGGGTATTTCTCTTTTGGCCAAGGTCACGTAGTTGAGTTTGAGTACATTCAGCACACATGTGATGTGATTCCATTTTATTTCAATTCTTGTTTCTCTGAATGCCAACTTTGAAGCAAGTTGTGGTCCCCATACCTAGAGCAGAGATGACCTATCATTATTTCAGAGAGAAATATCTGATAGAGAAGGTTGATAAACCAAGGTAGGTAGCAAGCTAGATTGCTACTTATCAGTCACTTGGGGGTTTTTGTTTCTTTGTTTTTCTTTACCATTCCTGAGAACTTCAAACGTAAGTTTTCCAGTTTTGTGAAATAAACATGATTGACTGTCCTTGTCTTGAGCTTAGCTGTGAAACCTCCACCAACCTGACCATCCTTCTCAAGAATGTCAACATAAACAGATTTAATCATCTCCACCATTCAAATACACAGCTAAAATGTCTCCTGGCACCTGTGTCAGCTCTAACTATGACTGTAAGAAACAAAGGATGGTCTCAACTACAGGGAACTGGCTACTCCAGTCCACCAGCCCATGGGAATTCTAGGAATTGAAAGAACAGGTGGTGGGAGAGAGGGGGAATAGCAGTAAGACCGACACAAATTTAGCCTTTAGAGACCAAGAGCCTTGCAAACTGGTGGTCCATAAATCAAATCTGGCCCATAGATATATTTTGTTTGGTTCACATAGTGTTAAAAAAATTTTTTTGAATTGGCTGTCAACATTTCAAAATCCAGAGAAATCTTTTAAAAATTGGAGTTTCTGGCTCCCCTGGAAAAATCAGAACTGTTGGCAATAGTGGGCCTGCATTCCCACATGGTTCCCAGCTGGCTTCAGCTGAGTAGCAGTTGCACCCATTAGGTCAGGCACACTTCTCCAGTTTGCCACAGTTCCCACCAGTCCCTATTGTTCCTCTTTGTTACATTTATGTTATGTATGCAACTCTACTGCTACATGTACATGTTGTTGTTATGTATGTAACATGATTGTTACACTTATGACTTTTCTTATAATTCAGATAAAAATAAAATATTCACTGAAACCATGTCTATCCAAAGCAGGGAATGGAAAAGTCATACATAATTGTATGGATTAAATGACTACATAAATTAAAACTTAAAAACATATCCATCTCCCTTCATTCACATAATATTCAGCTGATACATGGAGCCTGCTCATTTTAAATATAGTGAAACACAGTTGGCCCTCCATATCTGTGGGTTCCACATGAACGAATTCAATCAACCAAGGATCAAAAATATTTGGGGAAGAAAATGGATGTTGTGTCCCTAATGAACATGCACAGACTTTTCTCCTTGTTATTATTCTCCCTAAACAACACAGTATTCAACTATTTGCATAGCATTTACATTGTATTAATTATTACAAGTAATCTAAAGATAATTTTAAATACTGTATATGGAAGGATGTGCATACATTATATGCAAATACTATACCATTTTATATCGGAGACTTGAGCATCTGTGGATTTTGGTATCCTCAGGGAGTCATGGAATCCTCCACGGATACTGAAGGATGACTGTACTTCTATACTAGTTGGTAAAAAGCCATTGTTCCTAACTCCTCTGTGTCTCCTGCTGCTCACAGCCACTCCATCCCCTTCCTTGGGACTCAGTGACTGAGAGTTACTGGCCAGCCATAGCAGAGAGTCCTTAGGACCTGGCTCCTGTGCTAGGTGCCCATAAACACCATTCATTTGGTAAGTTGAGAGTGGCAGGTTAGGTGGAATCTATTTGTCTTCTTATTTCTGCCTAAGACCTCTCACCTCTGGCAATATTCCACACTAATAATACTGAAACCCATGGTGCCAGCTAGTCCCAGCCCTTCAAGCTAACAGCTCTCAAAGAGCTTACTGGTCTTCATTGGTACACATGCTGGGACAAGTTCCAAAAAATGGTGCCCCCAGAAAATACTGCAATGATGTCTCTGGCTCCAGAGAGGAAAGAGCCTATGAGCATTTGCTTAAGGGCTCACAATTTGAACAACACTACAATTTTGCTTCTTATTCTTCCACTATCTTTAGTTCCCAAAGTGTCATCCAGGATGTTGTCCACCTTGGTCCATAGGAAGGAGTAGGAGAATCTTCATTGCCCTGCTACCTCTAGATATTTGTACTGGGCTAACTCTGGCTTATCTTTTGATTCTCAAACTTACTGTTGCCTCCTCCAGAATCATATCTCCCAGGCTGAGTAGGTGTCCCTCCTGTAGCAGGCTTCACTCCTGGCTCCAGCACTAGATTGCCATAGCTCGTTTGCTGTTCACACTTTGTGTGCACCATATATCTCCAGCTCATTGCACAGTTCATGGCGCACGGTGGAAATTCAACAAGTATTTGTTGAAGGAATGATCGACTGAATGAATGAATGTTTTACAGTCCACAAACTGCGTGCCCTGCCACATTTCAAGACTATGAAGCAGTAGAAACTGCAGATCCCCCTCAGATCCCTTTGACCACCAGTGTCCCTTGCTCTGCTGCTGATTCCTCCCCTGTGGGACCCTCTTCAGAGGATGGATTGAGCTCCTTCTCTGGATGGAAAGCCAAAAGTGCCTGAGAGTATCCTCCCATCACCCAGGGAAGCCGCTGACAGACTGGTGTGAAAGTATAAAAACCCAGCTCCTTTGCCTCCAGGTGAGTAAACTGAGGTGTAGTCTATGCTCCAGAGCTCCCCTGAAGGTCAGGCTGCTGCTGGGGGTTGACTCGAGGTGACATCCTTGCCTGACCTTGTTCCCCTTCCTGTCCTACTTACCCCATTCCCTCAGCAGTTTTTCATGGGAGAACCCAATTCTCCACTCAGAGTGTGCTTCTGGGAAAATCCAATCTAAAAAAAACTGACCTGTGTGCATTTATTGAACACATCCAGTAGGCAGAACATTATTAGGTAACCCCACAAGGTAGGCGCCTTGGGCTTCCTTCCCTTTGGCCCACACATTTAGGGACAGCACAGCTCTAAGAAGGTTGGGCCCTCAATGATACCTCTGAGACAGCACTTACTTATTTTGGCATTTTTATATAGAATAAAAACTTCCCACACCAATGTGTCACTCTTTTTTAAAAATAAAATGCTACAGAAAATCAATAGCCTTTTCTCTGAAGTCCCACAGAGGGTGCAAGCCCCGGATTTCCTTGGATAACTCTTCCGGTGGAACCTTCGCTAGCTAGAATTATATGGTTTTCCCAGGTCCCAAAATAGAAGAGTTAATTTGAAAGGTCAATAATGGAGTCTTGATGCTGGGAGGCTTAATTGAGGGAATCATTGATTTTCCCATTAATATTTTAACTTGCCTGAAAGATAAGAAAGTAAAGGCTAATTTTGTTCTAAAAATACTCTACTGAAAACTGTCTGTCAAGCACAAACACATCTGATTCCGTTAATGCTAGTGATAAAAATCATAGATCAGGGATTCTCAACCTTGGCATTTTTGAGATATTTGGCCAGATATTTTTTTTGTTTCGGATGTCTGCCCTATGCAGTGTACGATGTTTAGTAGCATCTCTGGCCTCCACTCACTAAATGTCAGTAGCACATGCACCACCCAGTCACTTGTGACAAGAAAAAAATATCTCTAGGCTTTGTCAAATGTCTTGTGGGGACAAACTTGTCCCTGGGTGAGAACCACTGATAAGAAATGGAATATCCCCGGGAAATTACAGCCAGAGGTTTGAGGTCCAGGGGTGGGAGAGTGAGTGTCAAAAGAAAACTCTTATTTCTGTTCCTTTAAGTGTAGTTATAAAGGATAAAAGATGTCATCTGGATTCTAGAGGTTATAAATAGAACCTTCTCTAGCAATTGGCACTAAAGTGAATAGTTGAAATCTACTTCAAGACTAGTACTGTGCATTTTTACAGGATGTCCTTCCTTTCAGAAGAGGGTCACATAGTAAAGATGACTGTTTAAAAGTGTATGTCATGATTTATTCTGAATGATTAAAAAATTATCTGGGAACTCAGTAGATCAAATCTTAACTACTGATTAAACAGATTTCTCCCTAGAATGTTGAGGTCAGCTTTTCTTTACTAGCTTGAAAAAAAATAAAAGCAGGTCACAAACATCTGTTTTAAGTCCTTGGAAACTTGAAAAGATTAAAATCAAAAATAAAAAGAAAATAAACAAAGTTTCTTTTACCATCTGTTTCCTTACGGTCTCTCACTTCACGTTATTGCATTTGTGAAGAAGGACAGAAATTTTAAGCCTTTTGAATCCCTAAAGGAAGCCAGTAAGGAGGTCTTTGTGGATAACTCTAAAGGCAGTGAGAATTCAACTAAATCTTTTTTTTCTTTAAATCCAATTCAAAACATGTATTACAATCTCTTGGTGATGTACATGTTTCAGTGAAGTACAAGAGCTGCCAGTCTATGCTACATCAGGCCTCCAGCAACTTAAGACAGAATCCTTTCATTAAAAGCATAGAATCAAGCAATGAATCCTTGGATATTTTGAATTCATATTGAAAATTTAGGAAGCAATCTTAAGGACACATGAATATTACTTACTTTGTTTTGATCCATTTAGTGGTATAACACATAAACAAGACCATCCTCTTTAGACCCATCAAATATTAGTTTAAGGGGAAGAAGATTTTGCCTCTCATTACCGGTATCAAAGAGCTGCCATTTTCTAATAAAGCTTTCTTATGACCAGTGCACAAATGTTTCTTCATCCTAGGTGGATATGAACATTCGATCTCCTTCCTTATTGAACTTTATTCTTCTCTCAGATGGAGGGGATGCCTCGTTGCTGTTTTTATATATATTTTGTCTCAGGTGTTTATAGAGTCAATTTACTTTCTCCTCCGCCATTACCCAAAGCCATAGGTCCTACTTATAAGGCCACAGCAAAATTCTTTCATGTGTTCCTATGGTTGAGCATTTTGTATATTAATACTTGAATATTCTCCAGTACTTCACTCTTTGCATTTTGGGGTTTGCTTCTTGGATTTCGTTATGCATGGTTAAATTGTTAAATATCCACTGTGCTTTGTTCCTACCAAACAGAACTAATATTTGGACTATTTCTAATGTAAGTCATTATTAACTCCATCTAGAAACTGGCAAAGCCAACAGCTAAGTGAGCTGCCTGGTGGTCCTAATAGTTGAGTGGCTGGATAAAGTTTCATGGATTTTAAATCCCAAGTTCTAGTCATTATTTTATAGTCTAGTAGGGGAGACAGACATTAAGCAAAGAATTACACAAATGAATATAAAATTGCCAATCTGTTTAGGGTAGGGTTTCTCAACTTCAGGAGTACTGACACGTGGGGCTGGATAATTCCTTGTTGTTGAGAGGCCCTTGTGTGCATGATCGTATGTATGACAGTATTTCTGGCCTCTACCCACTGGGTGACAGTAGTAACCACTGCACTCCTCCTCCCCAGTTGTGTCCACCAACATTTCTCCAGATATTGTCAAATGTTCCCTGGGGGACAAAGTCAGCCCTGAATGAGAACCAAGAAAGTGTCAAGAGGAGAAAGAGATTTATGCTATTATCCAGAGTGTATTGGGCGATTTAACAGGCCTTGGATCACCAGGAAAGATTTTCCTGAGGCCATGCTATCTGAACTGAGGTCCCAGTGATTAATAGGAGTTAGCTAAGCAAAGAGGGAAGGGGCAGCATTTAATTCCAAGAAGTACTTAGTGAATCTCTACTGGGTGTCAATTCTGTTCAGGTGCTGATGATACAGCAATGAACGATAGTCAAAAAAGCCCCTGATGTGTATGGAGCTTATTTTATGGTAAGGGAAGGCAGTCAATAAAAACCTAAACAATTAAGGTAGACAATGTGGACGGTTAGTTTCTTCAGGGTGGGCAGGGCAATACTCTCTGAAGAAGTGAACTTTGTGCTGGTCCCTAAATGAAAAGAAAGAGTCAGCCAAGCAAAGACCTGAGGGAAATGGCTTTCAGGCAGGGATAGCATGGCAGCATATACAATAAGTTACCACAGGGGAGAGTTTGAGAATGTTCAGTGCCAAATCTCCTTTCTGTCCGTTTGGAATCCTGATAAGATTAAGAACTAAAAGCCAGAGCTATTAAGCAGTTGCTTTAATGATTCCTGTTTCTGGTATTTATTTAGGCACAAATGAACTTGTGCCCATATCATCACTGACACAGCAGAAATCAAAGATATATTGTTAGTGGAACTGGCATTACTGTATTTTTCAGGACAATTCACCCAAGATCACATTGATTGAGTTGTCTAGAGAAGCTTTCGTTGGCCGTATGTGTTCTGTGGCTAAGAGAAAGAACTCTTAAAAAATGTCATTGATTATAAATCTGGCCCCATTTCTTGAAGACCAACTTTGCAAGAGAGATAAACAGCCAGCAATTCCTGTTAATAGAGTCTACAAGATTGCTTTATAATGAGGAAATCAATTGGCAAGATCATTTAAAAAGAAGCAATGTGGCAAATGTATCCAGAAGCTATGTTTTCTAATAAAAAGGTTGCTTTGGATGACATGGTATACTTAGCAGAGCACTTTTCTGTGTTTATTTTTCCCAAAATAGCAGCAGCTTCCAAATATTAGTCCCTCACACCCTTTCTGATAATTCACCAAGGACTCAGACGTCAAGGATACTGTAGAATTTTAGAGCTAGATGTATCCAACCATCCTGTTGTACAGAGATTGAATAACTTGACCAAGGTCATAAAATAATTTGTGGCATTGCCAAGACAAGAACATCCTTCTGTGAGTACTCCAATCAGTGTTTCCTCCCCTGCATGAACTTATGCCTCTGTTTTGCACAGACTGCTCATTCAAGGAAGCATTTTACAGACTGAAACCCATACTTCTCTTTGGCATTGCTCATCATATTAAGCTAGTGGTTCTGAGCCGGGTAGATTTGCCTCCTGGGAAACATTTGAGAGAGCTTGGAGATATTTTTGGTTGTCACGACTTGTGAGTAGAGGCTACTGCATCTAGTAGGCAGAGGCCAGGGGTGCTGTGAAACATCCCATCATGCATAGGACAGCCCCAACAGCAAAAATCGTTATCCAGGAAAAGTGTCAATAGAGCCACCCTTTTGAGAAACTCTACATTGGCTTTGACATTACCTTTCTCACCAGACTTTTGTGTTAGTGAAACACAGGGCTTTTCTTGACTTGTTCGTGTCCCTGCTACTGGCACTTGTCCCATGTACTGATATTCAGTGCATTTTCATTGCTTAACTGTTGAATTTAATTTAATTGTAAGCCAAAATAAAAGATGGCAATTCATTCAAAAATCGTGGAAAAAAAGCAGAACTGCAGAAGTAATCACTATGATTATTTCCCATGGTGAGTGGAAGACATTTAAAAATAGTTATTCTTTATTTTGGGGGTTGGCACAGATAGATTTTAATCTCATAAGAGCTATCAACCCTCTTTTCAGAAAATTATCATTCATAACAAATTTTCCATACAATGGGGCCAATGAACTGCCTGACATACTAGAGGGCCAGGAGTCCTGGGTCTAGAAGAAAGTATAGAATATCTTTCTCCTTACACTTTGGATAGTGTAATAAACTACTGGCTTAATACTGATTGTCAACCTTTTCTGGAAAATTAGTTCCTACTTTAAATATTTTAAAATCAAATGACTCATATATTGAAAATGGCCTAGCAGCCATCTACTGACATGAACAAATAAAATATAAAATATCATAAAGTGGCTAAAAGGAATGAACTAGGTCCATATTCATCAACTTGGATAGATTTTTAATTTTTATTTATTTATTTACTTATTTTTTTACTTGATCTGATTTAGGTCAGATGGATAGATTTTTGATAGGCTGTTATTAGATGAAACACACAGGCTCTGGTACGTTATATATAGTATGATACCATGTATGTACATTTAAAAATGTAAATAACAAAACTATATCATATTCATGGGTATGTATATCCATGCAAAAATTTGGAAGGATTGATACAAACTTCATGATAATGGTTACTTCTGGGGAGTTGGAAATAAGAATAAAGTTGGTAATAAGGAACAAAGGGAACTTCAGCTTTTCTGTAAAGTTTTTTATTTTGTCCGATGAAAAACAAAGGACAATGGACAATCCTGAATAGTAGCTGTAGGGAAGTTTGTTATCATCTATTCTGAACTATTCTGTTTTTAAATTTTTCTGAAAAAGAAAAAATAAAAACAATCTCAGACATATAATGGAAGTTTTCAGTTACCGAAACTCTTAGAAAAATTATCTCCACTTCTTTGCTGAAGTGTGCTCAGGTTCTTACAAGATTACTGTGTGTATTTTGTTTGCTTTGGCAAAATAAGCAAACTGCCCTGAAACATTTTAAATGCATGGCTTAGTTTTTACAGTCACTGGTTCACAAGTGTATTTTTCTTTTTCTCCCCACTTAGTTCTTATTCATGGTAGAGTAGTCAACCTGGTTCTTCTTAAATATTTTACTTTTTCTCCACATTTGGCCAGATTTAGTAACCAGTTGAAGGGAGAAGAAGTATAGGGAAGTAGAGATGAATAAAGTTTTCTTAGTAGATGAATGGAAGTAGAATTATGTTGGCCTTATAAATGTTAGAAGCAATTTAGACTATGTGATCATGTGGCTGAAAAACCACTTATTGTAAATTGTGTGCTCCAAAGCCAATGAATATTGTTATTTTTTAACAATGTACAATGTTTGAAATCATGTAATTAGGAACATCATTTAAATCTTAGCAAGCAAATAGAAGCAGATGTTTGTATTGGAAAAGCCCTAGGATAGAAGCCAAGTAGACAAGGTTCTACCTCCTGTACTATTACTTTTTACTCTTAGGCAAATCACATTCACTCTCTGGGCCTCAGTTTCCTGATCTGCGCAATGAAGAGGTTGGAATCTATCAGCAGCCACAAACTGGAGGCTCTTAAGTCATATGGGGCCAGTAGATATGGTTTTGCTTGTATTTATTTAAAAATGGCTTGTTCGTATGTATTTAAAAATGGCTTCAAATTAGCCGTCAACATTTTATAATCAAGAGATATTCATAAAAATCCACATTTCTGGCCTCTCTTGAAAAGCAATTCTGGCAACACTGTTGTCTCAACAATAGATTGTTACTGAGTGGGGGTGGGGGCACCTGTAGACAGGGCACGTGCTCTCCAATTGCCGTAGTCGCCACTATTCCCTATTGACATACATCTGACCCTCTGCACATGAGTTGTTGCCTGACCTAAGCATTTGAACTTGTAACCCTCAGACCAAAAGTTTTCTAAATTCCTTCAAGTTGTATAATTTCTTGATACTAAGAGAAAAAGGTGTTAGAGAAAGTCAACAGAATACCTAAACTGAAACAGGCATAAGAAAACTGTGTGAAGGCCACAATCAAACTGGAAGAGCTCTTCTATTCACGTCTGGAGTTGCCAGGAAAACCCTGATGAGTTCATGGGACTTTTGTTTCCCTGTTTTATTCATTTTTAAAGAAAATAATGCATTTTTGATGAAATAATCCTAGAATTATGAAAAGGGGGTCTAATTTTTAAAGGGACTTATGTTTATAGAAAATTGGCACTTTTTCTATAAATTTCTAAAAATTAAAATCTATTTTTAGAAATAATGGAATAACATCAAATGGTGTAGGTTGCATTTGGAATCTTCCCTCTAAATACACTCAGGCACACCCACACACAAATCCAGATGTTTATGTGGAAATCTCCAATTTTTAATCACTAGCAACTTAGAAAACACTATACAAACCAAAACCCATGGCAGTTTGCAACCTCTCCAGTGAAAAGGAGTCTTTCCCAATATAATTACCAAATTATTTACTCTAATCAGTTTGGGATCCTTGTGATTAGGTAACATGGCTACAAAAAAAAAAAAAAGAGCATTTGTTTTAGTTCCTGTGGAGTGTCCTTGCTTTTTGGAAGGAAATTTGATAGTCTCTGAATACTCTGATTTAAGATTCCACTGAACTGCCAGCCCTCAGGCTATCCACGATGGAGCTGGACTGTGGCACCGGCCTCTCGCCAAGGCATTTTAGCTGGCTAAGTGCCAAAAGAACATTATTAAAAAGCATTTTCACATATAAGAAGTGCTTAGTGGTGTGCCCTCGAAAGACAGTTATGTATGCATGATCACAAGGTTCTCATTCAATTATATTACTTCCATAATCGGGAAGCAAGTGCAACCACAGTTAGCCTCATGACACACGTTCATAGTCACAGCTAAATCAGCAACAGCTTCATGTTAGGTTGAACCCCATGAAGTTGCCAATATTTGACCTTTAATCCACAGAAACACAATTTCCTGTGATTTAACCAATGATCTTTCTGTCTATGTTTAAACATAATTATTCAAGTTTTCTTATTTTGTTTTAATTTCAGGGTATCATAATTAGTACACTTTGAAAAAGCCTTATTTTATGTTTATTTACATATTCAAAGATTGGAGATAATGACCTAATAATTTTGTGCTACATTTGAGCATAAAACACATCAGCCTTGGTTAGGTTAGTGAAAAAAAAGCTTTAATTTCATCTCAAGGCCCTGGGCTTAAATAGAAAGATGAGGCATCAGTGATGATGAACATCCCATGGAGGTATGAAATAATGGGCCTCCTTTTTGTTGATTACAGTGTGTTGTGTCGTCAAGGTGCAGAGTATATCTAGGGCTCACACAGAAATATATGCTGCAATGGTACGCTTTAAGAAGTAGCAAAATATCTTGAAGTATATCAATGGATGGCTGTTCTTAGTTATCTAAAGAGTGCTTTAGAAAGAAAACACAACAATTGACCCTGAGTAGCAACAAGTATGGTTTTTTTTACATGTTCAATATTATTGTGATTCAATTTTTTTTAGTCTGTTGAAAATCCAGAAATCACTGAGATCTACCCAAGTCATTATATTCACAACAAAAGTACCATGTGTCTCCTGGCATGGCGGGCTAGACCTTCATTCCCGCTGGGTCAAAGAGACCTGGGATCAAATTGTAGCTACTGACTTGCTAGTTATAGGACCATGAGCAAGTCATTTCACCTGTCTGGGTTAATTTTCTCATGTGTAGAATGGAGTGAAAAAGGGTGATTACTTCACAGGGTCACTAATAAAATGAGACCACATGTGCAAAACACTTAATGAACATGAGCACGGGTTCTTGTTACAAATTAATGAACGTCTGCCCACTCACAAGCCTTTAGCTATAAAATATGCAAGCGGTATATATGCTCTTATCCCATATTTGAATAACCAGCAGGAAATCTTTGAAAGGCAGAAACACTCTGAAGAAAATGATAGTGCTGTAGGAATGATATGACCTCCTTTTAACCTTGGTTTTAAAATTGTACATAAAAGAAAAATAAAAATCAAAGATAACTAATTGGCTTGGGTGAATAAATTATGGCATATCAATATAATAGATGACTTGTATGTTTTGTGTTTGCATGTACATTTTTAAAAGTCTGGACTATGTATGTCAAAGATGCTTATTCAGAGTAGTGAACTTGCAAATAATTTTTCATTTCTACTTTATGTATTTCTTATATTGTCAAAAACTTCTCGGCTGGGTGCAGTGGCTCATGCCTGTAATCCCAGCACTTTAGGAGGACAAGGTGGGAGGATCACCTGAGATCAGGAGTTCGAGACCAGTCTGGCCAACATGGTGAAACCCTGTCTGTACTAAAAATGCAAAAATTAGCTGGGCAAGGTGGCACACCCCTGTAATCCCAGCTGCTGGGGAGGCTGAGGTGAGAGAATTGCTTGAACCTGGAAGGTAGAGGCTGCAGTGAGCTGAGATGGCGCCACTGCACTCCAGCCTGGGTGACAGAGTGAGACCCCATCTTAAAAAACAAAAAAAAAAAAACAACTTCTCCAATAAGCATATATCTATACTTAGTACAGATATATAAATAAATAAATATAAAAATAACTTTAAATTTAGAAAATAAAATATTTATGATACATGTTCTTATTAATTCAATAGCTGAATCTCATGTCACACTCCTTCATACTGTATAAGACTGAGGGCTTGAAATGGGGGTCTGGGGAATTTCTAACACCCTCTTGCATCAAAACTATTTTATTATATATACAGCAGTGTGTGGGCCCTGATTTTTCACCTGGAAATTATATATTTCAAGACAGAATTGTTTCCTCTTCATCCTCCTTGCTGTCACTTTGTCCATGTATATTTGTCTCATCACAACAACTAAATTATGAGCTTCTGAATGACAAACCTCATTTCCTTTATCTTGTTTGTTGCAGTTTTTTGTGTGTTTGTTTGTTTGTTTTGGCATAGTACCTATCCTAGAGTTAGGTATTTACTAGTCACACAAAAAGTAAAGGATGTGTTGTTTTCCCTCTGGATGTGGTTCCTGCAGCCAAGTCTATAATACAGAATCCAAATACGTAGTCCATGAGTAGGTTTCAGGTAGTTCCTACGGACATCCTATGGACATTTCGGTGATTCCAATCCCTACTGTATAATGATTTCACCTACAAAGCTTTAAGAAAATCCTGATGCCCAAACTCCACCCCCAGAGATTCTAATATAATTGTTTCCAGTATTGAAAACAAACAAACAAATAAAGAAAAAACATCCCCAGAACTCTAATATGCAGCCAGGTTGATAATTCTATATTAGGATAAAATAAAGGAAAAAAAGTTTTTGCAGGTTCAATTGTGTTGTGGTTTTAATTTTGCTGTTTTCCATAAATATTCCATAAATATTTATTCTATAAATATTTATTCTATAAATATTTATTCTATAAATATTTATTTTTCAGAAGATGGAATTTGGAAAGAAATCAGCCTCTGTCCTTTAATAATAATAGCTAGTATTTATTAAGCATTTATCATGCATGAGGCACTATTCCAAATGCTTTCCACATATTAACTAATTTAATCCTTACAATACCCCTGTAAGTAATGCATTATTATTAACCCTGTTTAACAGAAAAAGAAAATGAAGCCTAGAAAGGCTGAGTATTTTGAAAAGCTGGGCTTCAAACCCACATAGAACAAACCTGGAGCCCCCATTTTTAAGCCAAAGCCCCTTTGCTCCAAGAAAATCCAGTAAATATCCCACATCTTCAAGGAAATTCTTCTGGACTACTCTCACCAATAAAGATAAACCTTTCTGACATCTCTTACATTGCATTTTCATGTAATAGTCTGTATCCAGTTTTTTCCCCAAACATAATAAATGCCACACACTTCTTAGATGCCCAGCCTTAAGCTGGGCATTTTACCTGCATTGTTCCATTTTGCCCTACACTCT
This sequence comes from Homo sapiens, assembly GCF_000001405.40. Taxonomy (NCBI): domain Eukaryota; kingdom Metazoa; phylum Chordata; class Mammalia; order Primates; family Hominidae; genus Homo; species Homo sapiens. Next base: position 69,544,426 of record NC_000003.12, on the reverse strand, counting down.
GTAGTGTTTTCTAATGACTATGCTACATGTATTTATTTTCTCTCTGGAGAAATTGTGGCATTTGTGAGCACTGGGCAAACCATTATTCATTGCATCACTCCCCTACCTGGGGTCCTTATGCTCCAATACCTGTTGAATAGATTGTATTGTGCAACGGGTAGCGAGTTACCAGACCTGCATTTATAGATAGGCACTGCCACTTTCTAGTTTCATACTATCAGGCAGGTCAACTAACCTCTCAGAGCCTCAGGTTCCTCCTTAGTAAAACAGGGCTCCCTTAACTCAACTGACACTGAATAGCCATTGCTATGTGCCTGATGCTGAACAAGGCGAACATAGACCCTGGCCACAGGGGGCTTTCAGTCCACTCCCATTCTCCCAGGAGAACGCAATAAGATGATGCCAAGAGAAGTGCTTATTTAGCTCAAGTCTTGGGGACAGGGTGGGGAGGCCGGGCGTGTAATTACCACTCAATAAATGTTAGCTATTCATTCAATATATTCTATTTAATTAAAAGCAAACAATCCATTCAACATCAGAAGCAAATGTAATTAAACCTCATTCTGCACACATACAATATTCCGCAACATGCTATCTTGAACCTTTACTACTTCAGATCTTGCTTGCTACTTGCTCCCTCATGTCAGTAGCAGCTACACCAGGGCCTGTGAAATCAAGATGCCCCGTGCCCCCATTCTTTTTCTAGGCTGGTGACCTGTCAAAAAGGAAGGGAGGAAGGGGGAGAAAGACGGGTAGGGGAAGTTGGAGGAGAAGGAGGAAGAAAGGCCAAAACCACGGTCACAGAAACTGTGGAGTCTTTAAAATATTGATATTGGATAAATCAATTTAATTTTCAACAAAAATCCAAAGCTATGTGATTGTGTAGTTGTGAGACAATTATTTTTAAAAATGGATTTGCTTTTTAAAATAAATTAATTCATAGTGTGTAGAGAAAAATTAATTCACGGTGTATGGAGAAGTGAAGTCTGGTCACGGGACATACATTTAAGGCTGTTTGGGAAATATTTTCTCCCAGCCCTGTCGGATCACCTTTGGTTCTCTCCTTGTCAGCTCATTTGAAGAGAATATAAAAACTCTCAATAGGAAGTCGTTCATGAAGAATCCTCCTTTCCTCTCCTTCCTCTCCCATTTGCTGTGTTACACTCAGCACCAGATCAAGTTGGAATCTCTGCCCTGTCACTCATCAGCTATTTTGAGCTAACCTCTCTGAGCCTCCCGAGTTTCATGTAAAGAACGCATAATAAAACAAAAATTGTTCTTAGGGATAAATGCCTGATATGGGATAGACTCGCCTTTTTTTTTTTTTCTTTCTGTCTTCAAGTGCAATGGTTTCAGATTTGCAGGGATCTCAGGAGTCATTTCGCCAGCCCCTCTTGGGTGGCTGGGTGCATTCTGCGCCTCCCTCTGCCACCGGTGCCTCATACCCTTTATTCTAACAGCACTCAGGTCCTGGGATGCCTGAAGCCGGTGAGGCAGAATCAAGTTCCGCCCAGAGCTTGGAGGAGTCGGAGGGAGCGATGGAGAGGCGCGGGCTGGTGACCCCCTCTTTCCCCTCCTCCTGGCAGGCACCGCTCCGCGCCTCCTGGCACCGGCGCCCTTTCTCTGCCGGGGAAGGCTAGCCCAGCCCGCAGCCCCGTGCGGCGGGGGCCGAGGGCGCCCCCTCCCTTCCTCCCTCTCCCCCTCCCCTTCCTTCCCTCCCGATACAATGACTGGGCCGGAACAGCGCATCAGCCGAGCCTCATTGGCAGCGGCCGCCCCAGCCCCCGGAGAGGCGGCGGGCGGGGGCTGCTGGGGAGAGAGGGAGCCGAAAGCCCCGGCTGACAGCGAGAGGAGGCAGGCAGGACGGAAGGACGCGAGAAAGGCGGCCCGGGGCACAGCTGTAAGTGTGGAGCAAAGCGAGGACGCACGGCGAGCGGCGGTGGCGGGGGCGACCTGCAGACCCGGGCCGGGGGATGCGGCAGGCGCTGGCTGCCCAGAGAGCCCGGGAGTCGGGCTGCGTAGCTCACGTGCTGAGCTGGAGCTTGGACAGAGAGGAAGAGGAAGAAGAGGAAGGCAGCCGCCGCCGGGGAAGGCACAGCGCAGAGTGGACTTGCAGGACTGGCGCAGAGCCGGGTCCCCAGGTCCCGCGCGGTGCGCAGCCGAGACAATAAAGTAGCCGTCTACAGCCCCGGAGCGCCGCAGGGAGGAGGTGGCGGAGCAGGTAGGTGGGCGACCGCCCCGGGCTCCCCAAGCGTGCTGCCAGGGCGAGGCCGCAAGACGCGGCCACGGGCGCGCCCGGTGCGCCCCGGGCGCAGCGCGCACGTTTGGAGACCCCCAGCGGAGGTGCGGGTCCCAGGAGTTTGGGAGAGCGGAAAACCCCGCCCTGGGGCTCGAGGTCTAGTGCAGCCTCCGCTGGAGTCCCTGGGGCACTTGGCACGGCGCTTTGGTCGCTTTGGTGGTATGGAGACAGGAAGTTTGGCGGTTTCGAGGCGTTGGCGTTGGTGGGGTTTGCAAACGCGCCGCCGGGGACCGCGTGCTTCGGTTGCCGCGCGTTCGTGGGAGGTCGGGAGAAAAGCTGATGAAGCCCAGATCTGGCCCCCAGAGATACTTCTAAAAGGCAGCGAAAAGAGGGGGGGGAAATCCCTGGAGTTAGCAGAGGACACTAAGGGTTTCGTTTGGCTGCCCTTTTCAAATAGGTGTTTCAGATCCTAGCCGCTCCTATGTTGGAGAGGCAGTGTGCATGTGAATAGCTTCTTATTTTGTGGAGTATTTCACTTTTCATTTTCATCTGGGGAGGAAAAAATAAATATAATCTTTAGCTCCTACTTTGAGAAATGCCATTTCGTTTGGAATAGAGGACAAACTCTTCCCTTGCATTGGATGTCCTGTGCTTTGAAGGATACTGAACAGTGCCTGCTCTTGTTCACAAAAGGGGTGAGACGTGTATTAAATCTTCTCCCGCCTGAGAAAGCAGCCGCAGGAGGAGGTCTCTCTCTCTCTCTCGCTCTCCTTTGTGTGGCCGCTTCCTTCCAGATGTGAGAGGGTTGGGCTGGGCGCTCCTGGGTGGGGTAATAATTATCCTGAACATTCCTGCGATCTGTTAGGACTTGTAAACATACCAGAGCCAAGTCCTCTGAACTTCGCGAACTGATTTGGTGTGTTTGCTGGTACCCAGACGGCTGCGACTAGAGGCTGGGCCTTTCGGGAAGAAAGACCTTAGGGTGCTGATGGCAGCAGTCTTTCCGGGAAGCTGGTTGATCCTTGAAGATTAGGTAATGTCGCCCCAGAAATTTACTAGCCAACTCGAAAGATGTGTACAAGATTATAGCGCGATCCCCGACGTGCTGTTTCCCGTCCTAAAGGGAATGGATCTGTGGGGTTTCCAAATCAAATGTCTAGAGGGGAAGAAAAGCAGCTTCGCCTTACTTAACCTCATCAAGACGCACTTTCATATGTCATACACATGCTGTGAAGAGTGGTGGTTTAGAGAGCTTACTGTGTGCCAGGCATCCTGGTAGGCACTTTTGGGGCATCATCCATAATCCATGAAGTGGTAAACCTAGCCCTTGAGAGAGGTTAAGTAACTTACCGGAAGTCCCACCAGTAATCTGTGGTTTATGTAAGATCTAATTTCAGATGCCAGGCTCTTAACAAGACAGTGCCTCCGAAAGGGATGTGCTGCAGTGGTGGTGGTAATGAGTATGAAGAAAATAATAACAATAACAATAACTGCCGTGTGTGTGTGTGTGTGTGTGTGTGTGTGTGTATATATATATATATATATATATATTTTTTTTTTTTTTTTTTTTTTTTAGAGACAGAGTCTCACTCTGTCGCCCAGGCTAGAATGCAGTGGCCGATCTCGGCTCACTGCAACCTCTGCCTCCCGAGTTCAAGCGAGTCTCCTGCCTCAGCCTCCCGAGTAGCTGGGATTACAGGCGCATGCCACCACGCCTGGCTAATTTTTTGTATTTTTAATAGAGACGGGGCTTCACAGCGTTAGCCAGGCTGGTCGCCATCTCCTGGCCTTGTGATCCGCCCGCCTCGGCCTCCCAAAGTGCTGGGATTACAGGGGTGAGCCGCGGCACCCGGCCTATATATTTTTAATAAATTTAAAAAGATGATATTTAAGAGAGATTGACACTCAGTAAGCACTCTGTATATATTTTTGTCTCTAAATTAAGTGTCACAAGACAGGTGGTGGATGTATTGGTGTTTCTACAATTCTTCCTTTTTTTTTCCTTCGAACTCTGTCACCCAGAGTGGAGTGCAGTGGCGCGATCGCGGCTCACCGCAACCTCTGCCTCCCAGGCCCATGCGATTCTCTTCCCTCAACCTCCCTTGTAGCTGGGATTACAGGCATGTGCCACCAAGCCCGGCTAATTTTTGTATTTTTAGTAGAGACCGGGTTTCACCATGTTGGTCGGGCTGGTCTTGAATTCCTGACTTCAAACCATCCACCACTCGCCTCAGCCTCCCAAAGTGCTGGGATTACAGGCGTGAGCCACAGGGCCCGGCCAATTCTTCCTTTTTGTAATCTGAAAATGTTGTAATAAAAAGTAACACGCACACACACACACACACACTGTTTGAACACACCTTTTTTGAACAGTGCTTACATTTCCTAAAAGGTTGAGAAAAATTTAGGCAACTCCAAGGACTTACTGAATGGTAGAAGTTTAATCACTTCTTTGTGACATCTGCAAGTAATATTAATCAACCATTTTATTTGCTTAAATTCAGAAATGCAGGTGTAATGCATTTAAACAATATGGTGCTGGAACATGAAAAAATTACCTAAATACCGTATTTTGAGGTTTAGTTTTCATTATCCATGGGAAAGTTCTCAGAAGATTTTTCCCCTGCAAGTGATCATGGTGATCACGATCCTGTTTTCCTGTATTAAACTTCACTTTGTTTTGAAATTAATAAATTTCTATCTTAGTGGCAGAAAAGTGAATGGGCTTTTCAAACAGGCAGATGGTTGCATTTGAGCCTAATCTAGAAAAGTGTGGGAGGAGTTAACTTCACAGCCACTCCCAAGTGTCAAATCAGCTGAAGTTTTCTCAGTAATGTTTATTGTCGCTGGCCTCTAGTTTCAGCAAGCCTGAGAATCCTAGTTCTCCGTTTGATTCCACAGATTTAATCAAGACTCTGCATGCTTTGAGCAGACAAAAAGAAAGTTTTGGCTAACTTACAATACAAATAGGGTACATGGAAAACAGTTAAAAACACCCTGCCTTATCCAGCCTGCAGTAATTTTCTAGCAGGAAATCTTCATAGTTATCTTACACACATAAGTGAAGGTTTGAGGCTTATACTGCAAGTGATCTCTCGCTCTATCTCTCCCTTTAAATCTGCCCCAGAGATCTGATCTTATCATGAATGCACTATTTTTATATGTTCGGGAGTGCTGAGGCTCACTGAAATGACTGTCATCAGCCTATAGATAAGTAATGTACTCAGCTCATCAGCAGGTCTTACATGTATCTTCCTTTACTTACATATCTCTCCCTTTTTCAATGTAGTTGTTATTTGTTTTAGATGGAAGACTTTTGGAGGATAATTCATTTATTTCTAAGTCAGTAAGATTTTTTTTTCTCCTCTTCTGCCAAATATGTGCCGTGGGCAGTCAGAGAGAAGTGGTAAGATAACAATTTTCTGTTGCTAGATGCTTGATAAACCCTCTAGGTAATTTAGGAGCCAAATCTCTTATTCTCCCCAATGACTGGATTTACTGAAATTATCATGTCATTTTTTATCTCATGCTTCCTGGTGAAATCAATTTTTAAACTAATCTCATAAGACAGTGTTTTTTCAATATGAAGGTCATAAAATCCATTTAGTGGGTTACTACCAGTAATTTTTTTTAGGTATAACAAGACAGCAAGTGTCAGCATCATCATATGTTATAAGAGTTCTGTAATTTCATGAGACTTTGAGTCACTCCTATGTGCATTCTGGGTTGCAGTATAAAATGTGATTCTTAGCCATCAAAAAGTTTGAAAAGTACTGCCACAGGATGCATGTGTCTGTTAGTGCTATTTTGCTAATAAGTTACAAACCCGATTTTAAGTGGAATTAGGGTATTATGTATATGCATATATACAATATATATTTTTTTCTTACATATGGGTTCAGGTTACTAAAAGGTACTTCGGTAGGACTGACTTCAAGAGCGTCTTGCTTAGGGCTAAACAGTGACTTCAGGATCTGATTTCTTTTCATTCCTCAGGTCTGCCTTTTTCTTCTTTCCTCTGTGTATTGGGGTCCTTCTTGGGTGACAAGACGACCATATAGCACTTGCTCGTTTACACAGTTTCAAGTTCAAGTCCAGCAACCAAAGAACTCCCCTTCCCCAGTTGTTGAACAAAAAGTTTCAAAATGAGCTATGATTTGCCCAGTTGGCACGGCTGGAGGAAATCTGTGCTAAGTGGCTTCTGCAGAGGTTGAGGGCTTTGCCCCAGCAATGGAGTCCTACCCAGACCATGTAGACAGAGGACATCAAAGGGCTGGACTGCCACATGAATACAGTTGCAGGAAAAGGGGGAAATTAAGGCTAAGAAAGTCTGGAATAAATGTTCACCACAGGGTACAAGTGCCTAATGCACACAGGCTGATTTCTCTTCTTTTTGATGCCCCAAATAATGGAAAATGAGCTGAATTGTATTCAGGCAAATAGATTATCAATATGATTTTTCATGTGTATAAGGAAAACCTTAGCTGTCACTTTTAGCGTGGTCAATATCAGGACTTATGAGATCAAGATGCAGAACAAGTCAAATTGATAGTAGTTACTTTATTTTCCAATGACACTGAGAAGAAAAAGGCAGATATATTGATTAAAAACCCACAACAGTCCCAAAACCTCTTACAAGGGGGTGATCGTGATCCTGTTTTCATTTATGTGCAAATCTTGGAAGACATTTATTTGAATCAATTTGCCATGCTAATCTAGTGAAAACAGTTATTTAAGTAGTGTCTTAGAGCAAAGTATTTGAAGAATACACCTCCTTAAAGCCTAGGGCAAATGAGTGCTCTATTCTGCAGCTCTTCAGCCTTGAGGTCTTTATTTGGGTCTGTGTTATTTTTTCCTTAGAGATGTGCTGCTTTTAATTGTCCTCTGTCACTTTACGTACAGTTTTCCAGTGGGAAAGGGGGCCTAGTGTGTACAGCTGTGAGGACAATGTTCACTCACAGCAGAGGGGCCCTAGAAGCAGGGCGATCGTGCTGGCTTCCCTGGGTCAATCCTGGTTAATGTCTATGCCTTCAGTTTGGACGATAAATTATGTGGCCACCCCATGTGTAAAGGCTACTATTTTAGGGGGCCGTGACTAGGCATCTATTTAATAGATTAAATTATCTGATAAAGAATTCCTGGTGGGGTGCAGTGGCTCATGCCTGTAATCCCAACACTTTGGGAGGCCAGGGCAGGAGGATTCCTTGAGCCCAAGAGTTCAAGACCAGACTAGGCAACCTAGGAAGACCTCATTCCTACTTAAAATTTTTAAAATTACCTGGGTGTGGTGGCACATTCCTGTAATCCCAGGTACTCAGAAGGCTGAGGTGGAAGAATCACTTGAGCCCAGGAGGTTGAGGCTGCAGTGAGCCGTGATAGTGCCATTGCACTCCAGCCTGAGCGACAGAGCAAGACTCTGTCTCAAAAAATAAAAAATTAAAAAAATTAAACTGAGGAAGTCCTTACCATAACTGAAGGATAAAACTACTGATGCCTCCCCTCCTGGGAGTGTCACCAGTGACATCTCACTCTCCTCGACTTCCACAGCAGGATCATCCAGGTCTCCTGAATCTGAAAAGCCAGGCCTGAGCTGCAGCAGCTTCCCGGTGGCATGCCGCCTCCTGCCCTCTCACCATCCCCCCTATTCCCCACCCCCCGCACGGTGGTAGAGGCGCTGCAGGCTGGGGAGTAGCGCTAGGGCACGTTGGCGGTGGCCGTCAAGCTCTACATCCTGCACAAGTACCCAACGGTGGACGTCCTCCGCTTCAGGTATCTGCTGAAGCAGGCGCTGGCCACTGGCATGTGCCGCAGCCTCCTCGCCAGGCCCCTCAACTCCGAAGCAAGGGGGGCCACTGGCAGCTTCAAATTAGATCCCAAGCACAAGAGGAAAATCCAGCCCAGGGAGATGGCCCCCTGATGGTCCCCAGGAGAGCGGAAAAGGCCAAGGGGAAGGACGCCAAGAAACCAAGTGAGGCCAAGGAGGATCCTCCTAACGCGGGCAAGGTGAAGAAGGCAGCGAAGAGGCCAGCAGAGGTGCAGAAGGCTCCTCCCAAGCCAGGTGCAGCCACAGAGAAGGCCGGCAAGCAAGGCAGTGTGGGCAAGGACACCAGGCCACAGCCCGGTGAGGCTAGGAAGGCACCCCTAAGCCAGACAAGGCCACGCAGGTCCCTTCCAGTGCCAGCGGGCTTAGTAGGAAGGCAAAGGCCCGAGGCAGCAGGAGCAGCCAAGGAGATGCTGGGGACCACAGGAAAATGAAAGCTGGGAGTAAGAGTTCAAAACCCACTGTCAGCAAGGTCAAGAATGGCATTGCTTCCTCGACCAGAAGGTGGTAGCCAAGACCAAGGCTCCTAAAGGGGCAGCTGCCCAGGGGCCAAACACCAAGGCTGCTTCTCCTGCTAAGGGCAGTGGGTCCAAGGTGGTGCCTGCACACCTGTCTAGGAAGACAGAGACCCCCAAGTGCCCGTGAAAGGCTGGACTGCCCATTACGGTCTCCTCATCTGACGTATCTAGCCAGAGGGCTGTATCCTAGGGCCGGAGGCAGGGGCGGAGAGACCGAGCCACTGCCCTGATTTTTATTCTTCAGCAAACCACTGCTTTATTTATTTCATTGTAAGCTATTTATCAATAAAGACTTTTGTTTCTTCTGCCCTGGCCCGCCACCCCCACCACACACACAAAATCTTGTGCAGATGTAAAGGCTCAACAAATAATAGTAGAACTAATGGTAACGATAGCAGCACATGGTTACCAATTCACCTGTGCTGGGAATTGCTCTGTGATGTCCATGAGGGTGCCCTCATTCAATGCTCACCGCACCCTATGAGGTGGGGACTCCTAACACCCCTCACTGTACAGCCAAGGAAACTGGTTGTGAGGTTGCCACTTGGCCAAAATCACATAATATTTGTTGAGTTGGCAAAGTCTGCATGTTGACTAGTATTTTATAAGAAGGCAGGACAGGTCATTGTTGTGAATACTGGTTGTAGCTTCAGAGGATCTACACTCAGATCTATCTTTGCTGCTTACTAAATGTGTGCTTTGACCAAGTGACTTAACCTTTTTTTGTGCCTCAGTTTCTTCATCTATAAAGTGGGGATTATAAGAATTCCTACCTCATCAGGTTATTTGGAGGATTAAATGACAAAATATAAAGAAGTGTTTCATGTAGTGACTGCTGTGGAGTAAATACTAAAAAAAATTCTAGCTATTATTATTTGTGCTTTGTGGAGGCTAGGAAAAAATAATAATTCATATTATTTGTTGAACACCAACTATGTGCCACATTTTAAGCTAGGCATTTTTCAGTTGTTTTCTTTCTTCTTACAAATCCTTTCAGATGGATGTTATGTCCACTTATTGTCCATTTGACAGATGAGGAAAACTGAGATTTAATGAAATTAACAAGTAATGGAGCTTTAATTTTAACTTCAGGTCATTCTGACTCCAAAGCCTTTGATCTCATAATTATAATGTCATATTTTTTGACTTGGAAGGGAGCCTTGAGATGAGCTAACCCATAAAAATGAGCCCCAAAGAGAGTCTGTGACATGACAAGTCATTAAGGGATGGTGCAGGGCTAGAACCCAGGTTTTCAGCCTCCCACAACCATCTCTGTCTTGAAGACAAATGCATTCACCCCATAGGGTAACCATGCTGAGTAGGCACAGATACAGTTCAGGAGCACTGGACTTAGATGTCTTCTAATCCAGCTACAAAAAGTCTAGAGCTGTGTTTACTAAAGTGGGTAGGTGTATCCCTGGTGGTACATGAGTTAATTTTAGATGATAGATAGAGAAACATTTTACCTTATTGACTATTTATTTTAATGTGTACCAGAAAAAAAATTCACCTAGACCTTCATGTCTTGTAAAAGATTATATTCCTTTCTCCCTTGCTGATTGAATAGTATTGCTTAGGATGAGGCTGAGAAAGAAATAGTGTCAGTGTAAAAATATGTATTAGGTAAAACATAGTGTAGATTGTACTGGAAAATGGCAAAACCTATGAAGGGAAGATGTGAATGACTGAAGTCTGGGAAATACTGGACTAGAGGGATATTTCCTGAACTTGGTGCACACAAACCACTTGGGGATCAGATTCTGATTCAGTAGATCTGGTACGGGGCCTGAGACTGCATTTCTAACAAGCTCCAGGTGATGCCAACGGTGCTGGTCTGTGGACCTCACTTTGTGTAGCAAGGGATCAGGGAACCTGGAAGATTCTTGGGCATGTATTGAGTGCTGTGGAGGATATGTAAGGCAAATCCCGGTCTCCCAGATGCGTAATCATGTTAGGAAGAGGAGATGTGAATGAACATGGGATGTGAATGAACATGGAAGGTGAACTCTCCTATCCAGACACCAATGAGAGGTATGGTGATCTGTCTGGAGTTGCTGCAGTGGCATGGTAGCAGGGGGTGCATGGGATGGTACTGCGCTTGGGCCTGAAAGATTTGCAGCAGCAGGTGGAGAGTTCCAGAGCATTTGATAAGTAGGAGGAAGGACAGAAGTTGCAGGAAAGACTCAAAAAAGGCCAAAGTGGAGATTTCAGCAACAATCTGATTAACGCAGAGAATCAGCATGGAATGTTGGATCAGAATAAGTTCCCTTTTCAAAGCACAAGCCCCACTAACTGGTGTCTGATGATAATGGCTACCTTTTATTGAGCCCCTATAAGTGCCAGGTGCCAGGCATTTGCCAAGTACTTTCCAAGCAGCATTTCATTCCATCACCACAATGACCCACAATAACCCACATTCTGCAGAAGTGGAAACTGAGGCTTGGAGTGGGCAAGTGACTTGTCCAAAATCACACAGCTAGTAAGTGACACACCTGCAATTCAAACTCAGAATGGAGTTTGTGCTCTTTGCCACCATGTTGCAAGAGTCTCTGCTTTTTGTTGTCCTTGACAGTCACAGCATGAGAGCTTGCCTTTCTCTCCCAAGAGCCTGCCTCACAGAAGATTCTAATGGTTCATCTTGTTCCAAATGAGACTATTGCCCCCTACAACAGATCCTGAACAAGCATCCAAAGTTATCAAATAGGTTGTCCTTAATCATTATTTATAAAAAATGTCATTCCTTTCTGCCTTGCTGACTAAACTATTACCAGAGTGGAATTTTTGGCATTGTAAAACTGCCCCTCAAATAAACACTGAATGTGTTGTCACAGTGAGGAGGAGCTTGGCTTTGGAAATCACTAAGTAGCCTAGACAGACAGTTATTGGAAATAATTATGCTCTTGCCACAGCATGGGGCCCGTCACAGCCCCTCCTGATTCAAAAGGTCTTTCTGGAAATACCAGCATCCATCTTCTAGCTGGTGCTTATAACAGCCGACAGTGTCAGTGGGGGACCCAACAATGGATGTGGCTGAGGATTGTTGTCGGGCTTCCCTTGTTGCACCTGACTGAGCCCATCCCATCAATTCAGTCTTTGCAAAAGAGCAGAAGGCTCATATGTGACCAGAATGCGGGACAGGCACAAAGCTTGCATGGCCAGCTTTGGCCCTGCTTCATCCAAGTGTAATACTCAACCCGAGTTCTGTCAGATAAAGGAGGGGCTGGGGAGAGAGGGGAGCTGAAATTGGCACTGGATCAACAACCAGGAAGGCCAAGTTCTGATCCTACCTTGGCAGCAGACTGACCAGAAACCTGCTTATTAGCTCTCTGGATTTGTCAAATGGGTATTGACACTTGAGATCCTTCCACCTTTAAACATTTATGCTATGAACAACCAGAAGTGTGCACCCTGCACTTTGTCTGTGTCAGCTGCACTAGTCTCACTTTAATTTTTTTTTAAATGTCAGATAGATGCACTTAAAAGGCTTCCTAAGCAGTGTATCAGTGGAAGTGTATCAGTGGAAAGTTTCAGTATAATTATTTGTCATGCAGTAAAAGTGGTATTTGTTGTAACTTGTCATATCAAATAACCTTTTAGTATTTAGACAAATCTCAAAACATTAAGAGAGTGTGGCTTATTCAGTAAATCAGAAAAGATAAGGGTATGTGGGGCCATCACGAATGAACTAACTGCATTTATTTAAATGTGCAAATTGAAATGCAGAATCCTGACAAACTAATGAAAACCATGTGCCCTTAGACTGGGAACACAGAACGCCATCCCAGTTGGGCTGTAAGACTTAAATTGAGGACATATCATGGTCATTTGCTCCAACTATGTTAAAGTAATTCAATTTGTATTTTTAAGAGAAAAAAAGTAGTGTAGTGTTTTATATACCTCCAGGTTCCCAGTCTAGCTGCTCTTTTACTGCCTGAAAGAATGGGGCATCCAGTTTACTAGAGGTCAAAAGTTTGATTCAAACATATTAAGAAGAAGAAATTGTTTTTGCAATGATTCAGCTGCTTTAAACAGTTCAGATAATGAGTGGTTCTCATTGTACTTTCTAGCACTGAGCTTGATTACACTTGGAAAAGCATACTGGAAACTGATCTTTGGTCTTTTTTGGATCTCAGAGAAAAGCTATGAAAATGATGCTGATAAAGGGTATTTAAAAATTGGCAGTTTGTCAGCAAAGGTTCATGCTATTCGATAGATGCTTTCACTAAATGATGAGTGGGAAATGTAACTTTGTCATCTTGCAGAGCCTACAATGCAAACATTTTTTCCGCCCCATGTACAGTTTCATTTACATAGTGTTGTCAAGGAATAAGTGATTTGTTTCACTTAAGTGATTTTTCCAGGTAATTGAAGCTTACCTCTTTGTGCACACATTATTCTTTGCTTAAACTTTCTTTGATGAAAACATGGCACATGGTTCTTTCCTTTTTTTTTGCTTGGTACATATAAATGTGGCTACATCTTTTCTTGACTTGGGGTTATCATGATAAAGATTGCTTTTTGTTCTGTGCCGTAATCCTGTTATTGACAGCTGAATTGTGTGGGATTGAGAGCCTGTATGTGAATAGTCACAGATCCATATTCTTTTAGAGTTACCATTATTACTAATAATATAGCTCCTCTGAGTCATTAGCAAATCCCAGGCAGGATGCTAAGAATTCATATACATTATAATCTTGGCTAAACCATCCACCCCACTCCAAGAAATGATCATTATTATTCCTCCTACTTTACAGGTAAAAATTGAAGTTTAAGGGATAAGTAGTAAGTGGTAGAGTTGAGATTTGCATCCATGTCTCTCTAACTGCAAGATGCCTGTTGCCAGTTATACTTCTTCTATTTCTCCTCTCTGCCCCTCTTTGGGTATTTCTGTCTGTCCGGTTGCTTTAAAAGCCTTTGCCCAGGTAAGGGCCCGAGATTAGGTCTGTGCCTATTTTGTGGAAATTATTGGTATGTTTTTCGTTAAGTGGAGTTCTGAAGGCATTTTTGCTGATTTCTGGGTTCCCAGACATCTGCACGGTTGCCGTTTCTAGAAGTCTAACCTGTGAATTCATCACTGTGTATGCTAAGGCTTTGGGAGGGATTATAGGATTTTCTGCATTATGATTAAGCAGCATAATCAAGAAACTTGCAGTCAGAGGAAAGCGTGGCAATTCTGTAATGCAGAAGTTGGCAGACCTTTTCTGTGGAGGGCCAGATACTAAACGTCTTAGTTCATTTTGTGTTGCTATAAAGGTATACCTGAGGCTGGGTAATTTATTAAAAAAAAAAAAAGAGGTTTTATTTGACTCATGATTCTGATGGCTGGAAAGTCCAAGATTGGGCTGCATCTGGTCAGAGCCACAGGCTGTTTCCACTTATGGTAGAAGGGAATGGGAACTGGTGTGTGCAGAGATTACATGATGAGAGAGGAGGGAAGAGGTGAGGGTTGGGGCATGCCAGACTCTTTTTAACAACTAGCTCTTGTGAAAACCAATAGAGTGAGAACTCATTCACCTTTGAGTGAAGGCCTTAATCTATTCATGAGGGATCCATCCCCATGACACAAACACTATCCATCAGGACCCACCTCCAACATCAGGGATTAAATTTCAATATAAGATTTGGTGGGGACAAACAACCCTTATCAAAGCTACAGCACTCAATAAAATAGGCTTTGTGGGCCCTATGGCCTGTATTGCACCTCCTCAATTCTGTCTTTGTAGGGCAAGAATGGCTGCAGACAATACATAAATTAATGGGTGTGGCTGTATTCCGGTTTACTTTTTATTACAAACCAAGCAGGGTATAGATGTTGGCCCATGAGCCTGTGCTTTGCCAATTCCTGTTATCATGGGAAAAAGGACCAATCAGGGTATTCTAAAAGTCTAAATAGGTAGGTGATTGAGTGTCAGTGTCAAGTAGTGGTTGTCAATCAGTGGCTCTGGAGACAGCTGCCAAAATTTGTCTCCTAATTCCACTACTACTTCAACTCAGGCAAGTATCTTAACCTCTCTGCATTTCAGTTGTCCATCTTTAAGACTGGGAAAATAATAATCCTTAGTTCATAGGGTTGCTTTGAGAATGAAAGTAATTATTTGTAAAGTACTTAGAAGGGTGCCCAGGACACAATAAGCACTATCTAACTTCTGTGAAATTAAGAATAGTAAGGAATCCATTTCTAGTGAGACAAAATATTTAGTGCTTTGATGGAAGGAAGGGAAACTTCCTTTGCTCTGAGTGCAGTGGAGGGCAGGGATAAGGCTCCTGCCCTTTGAGGATGGGTGTGGAGAGGAGAGAGTGGGCAGTGTGGGCAGCACAGTGGGGTTAGGAAGAGCTCTGGCCTGGGAGTTAAGGGAATTGGTTGCAGATCCCAGACAAGTGGTAATTTGCAGCATCCCCTGAGTCAAGTCGCTGTCCTCTAGGGCCTTGGTCTCCTTATCTATAAAATAAGGATGTTAAACTAGAGTAGTGGGTGCAAACTAATGGCCCATAGGCTACATTCTGCCTATAGACATGCTTGGTTATTCCCTAGACTGTTTTTAAAATATTTGAATCAATCAACAGCAATTACGAATCAGGAAATTCCACAAAACAATCTGGATCCTTGGTTTCTTTTAAAAATTCAGAAGCTCTAGCAACACTGGCTGCATTCTCACATGGCAGCAACGGACTAGCACAGAGCTATGGTGGCTCATGGGTTCTGTGTTGATTACTATAGCAGACGCTGCTGGTGTTGCTGGTGGCCAACCCTACATCTTTGCCCTGGCCATGGTCGTGCATACCAGCTTCACTTCCCGCTGCCAGCACCTGCATTGGTTTGTCTGAGGACTTTCTCTGACTGTGGAAGTGGTGGGCTGGAAATGCAGGGGAATTAGCATCCACTCCCTCCAGTGATGAACAGGGTTTGGCCTATGGATACTCCAGCTCCCTTGCTCATCCAGTGAAACTAAGGGGTGTATATTGTACACCTTTTCCCAGAGTTTCCACCATGGTGAGTATCACCATGGTGATAGGTGACTTAATAGGCTAGTACTTTTTTTTTTTTTTGGTGGCCTTATCTTTCTTGTCTCATTTATGCACTGTCCTACTATTGTTTCCTGGGATGACCTCTCAGATAAATACCTTACACTTGAATCCTTGTTTGGGGTTGGCTTCTGGAGGAATCCAGACTAAGAAAACCATAGGCTGGGTGCGGTGGCTCACGCCTGCAGTCCCAGCACTTTGGGAAGCCAAGGCAGGTGGATCTCTTGAACCCAAGGATTTGAGAGCAGCCTGGGCAACATGACAAAACCCCATCTCTACTAAAAATATAAAAAATTAATCCAGCATGGTGGCATGGGCCTGTAGTCGCAGCTACTCAGGAGGCTGAGGTGGGAGGATCACCACAGCCCACAAAGTCAAGGCTGCAGTAAGCCAGGATTGCACCACTGCACTCCAGCCTGGGTAACAGAGTGACACTGTGTCTCAAAAAAAGAAAAAAAAGAGAGAGAGAAAGGAAAAGGAAAGAAAAAGAGAGAGAGCGAGAAAGAAAGAGAGAGAAAGGAAGGAAGGAAGGAAGAAAAGGAAGGAAGGAAGGTAGGAAGGAAGGAAGGGAGGGAGGGAGGCAGGGAGGGAGGGAAGGAAACCCATAGTCGTCATAGTCCTTGCCATTGAGTCCCAATGAGAATTGCCCTTTTTTAAAAATCACACTTGAGCAGTTTTTCTTGGGCAGAGAGATATTTGTCCATCCCATGTCTATCAAAGGAGGGAAGGTAATGGACTAAATGGGCTGTGGGTTTCTGGAAGAATGAGATTCTATCTTCTTGTATAAGTAAAGAGTAGACTGGAAGATTTTATGCAAATTGCTTTCTTCACTTATTGAGATCTTGCCTCTATCAGTGTCTGCATTTGTGATTCCTTTAATAGGAGATCCCCATGGATTCTTAAAGTGAGGACCATTTTGTGGGGCATTTTGTGAGAAGCTATCAGAACCCTAAATTACCACTGGTGAATTGTTTTGACCTGCCTAAGGAGATTTATATTTTAAAAAAGAAGACTTGAGAATCAAATTTGTATTCTAATTGGGTGACCAACCATTTCTGTTTACCCAACACTAAGTAATTTTCTGGGACAAGGGACTTTTAGTACTAAAACCAGGACAGGTTGGTCACTGTACTGTAGGTGAGGTCACACATGGGACCTTTCAAAGTTCAACCTCTGAAAGATTATGCTCCTGCAATATAAACATATTTCAAAATAGCATTGTATTTTAAAAATATCCCAAATATAAAGGTGGAAATAAAAATAGCTTCTTTCTAGATTTCTAACTGCAAAAATCTGAGTAAGTTGAACAGAATGACTTTGGTTTTCCTTTTGGTCTTTGCCTCTGCTTTGCTTTTGGCTGGACTGTTGGGTAACAGCACTATTTGTTGAGGGACTTAATTTGGAAACACTGGGTATTTCCTCCTTTTCGGGACCTCCACTCACTCACCAAGAAGCAGCAGGTGCTTGGCAGGTTTGCGCTCCACCCCGGAAGGGCTCTGGGTGTTCTCTTCAAAGGGGAACCAGGAAAGGACTCCTCACCTTTGTCTAAGAGTAAAACGTTCAAATGTACATTTATTTGTCCCTGAGTTCCCTGTAATCCTTTTTTTCCTGCATTTTCATCTATTTTTAGTGATGTTGTATTTTACCCAGAGATGAACTTGTGAAAATCTTTACCCCCAAATTAAAAGTGTGTGTCACAGCTGAATGGGGGAGAGAGAGAGACCCATGCCCCAGGACGGAGGACACAAATAGCAAAGGGTGTGAATGGCACCAGAATGTGGGAATCTCTGAGGATCAGAAGCCAGATGTGGTATCTGCAGAGCACAGTAGGAAAGAAAGACCTGGGAATTTGAAGTTTAAAATGGTTTCATGTATCAAGTCAGGAAATTTAGGCCCTGAAGTGGATATGGGAGGCGCAGTGGAAAAGTTTTAAGTAGATTTGGAACCAGGAAGATATTTGTGTTTGAATCCAAGATCTGTCACTTAACCACCTTTTTAACCTTGTGCAAGTCAGGAAACCTTCCTGAGTTTCAGTTTCCTTATTTGTAAAATGGAGACAGGAGGGAAGAAAGCTAACTCCTGTTGAGTGCCTGTTATGTTCTCGGGACAGTGTTAGGGAAATCAGAGGAATTGTTTTATTTAAAGCTGTCCAGTCCTGCAAGGTAGGTATAATTGGCCTCATTTAATAGACCAGAAAATGGAGGCACCGGAGCCTAACAATTTTCTCGGCCCCACACAGCTGGTAAGTGATGAAGCCGGAATTCAAATCTGGGTCATTCTGACTGCAGAGCCAATGCGATTTTTATGGTGCCAGCCTGTTGCCTCCGTGTGGGGCTCATAACTTACTCCACAGCGGTGTCTTATTCAAGTTCGTCCAGAAGCAGATCCTGAGATAGACTACAAGTAGTTTATTTAGGAAGCCTGGGAAACATCAGTCAGGCAGTCAGGAAATGAGACAGGGAATGGGAGGCAGCCCCTGAAAAAGTGTGTTATCAATTCAACTACCACTGTAAGCTATTAGAGCTTGTTCACACTGGGGAGGCTCTGGGAACCAGTGGAGTGCATGTACCTCTGAATTTTCCCATCTGAGGAAAAATCCGAGGGAGCCAAGGTATTTATACACCAATTCCTGAGAGTAGTTAACTGAGGGCTACTTCTGGGAGGTGGAGTGTTCTAATAATTTGTAGGTGCATATGTTGTATCCCGTGCTTGGCAAAGTAGGACTCTAGCAGCACAAGAAAGTCCTCAGCAGAGAAATTCAGGTGCTGGCAGTTGGAAGCAAGCCACTGTGCTCTGAAATGGTAAGGACAAAGGAGTGGGAGGGATGCCGAAAGCACCTGCTATGGTGGTTTTAAGAATTAGAAACAGGCCGAGCATGGTGGCTCACACCTGTAATCCTAGCACTTTGAGAGGCCAAGACAGGCAGATTGATTGAGCCCAGAAGTTTGACACTAGCCTGGGCAACATGGCAAAACCCCATCTCTACAAAAAAAAAAAATACAAAACTTAGCCAGGCATGGTGGCACACATCTGTAGTCCCAGCTACTCAGGAGGCTGATGTGGGAGGATCACCAGAGCCCAGGGAGGTTGAGGCTGCAGTGAGCCGTGATTGTGCCACTGCACTCCAGACTGGGTGAAAGAATGAGGCTCGGTCTCAAAAGGAAAAGAAAAAAAAAGATTAGAGACAATATGTACAGTGGCAGGCTTCAGGCTACCATTTATAAAGAATCTACTATAAGTGTGCAAATAACAGCAAGAAGACTTTTGAGGGCTTAGCCTGGGCCTTTGTGAATCCTCAAAGCCTACATACAGTGGATCTGCATGTGTTGATTATGAACTTCTGATAATGCCGGGCCTGCCCAGCCCACCACTTTGGCCTGTTTCCTGCAGTGCTTTTCAACAGTGACTCCATCCCTCTGAGGTACCATCAAAACATCTACCACCTTGGGATCTGGGTCCAGAGGGAGGAGCCAGAGTGGGTATTTTCAGCACAAAGACCCAGCCACCTCCTCCTGCTGTCCAAAAACCCAACATCTACCCATCCTGTGTGCTCTGAGAAAGGGGAGTCTGAAAAAAGACTGTGAGCTCCATCATGGCCAAGAGCCAGGAGGATAAATGTATAACTTGGGTGGCAGGATTAGCAAGAACTTTTGTTTTATTTTTCTTATGACAATAACAGCTTGTTTTCCTTTCAGCTCTCATGGTCACTTTTTCTTCTAGTATATGATTACTGAACACTGCCCCAGTTGCAGTTTTGGGCTGTCCCACTTCCATTCTGCCTGCTCTCCATTAGCAGAGTTCCCCATTTTGTGTGGTCTTGGTTGGGCAGTGCCCAGCTCTTCCTCTGAACCAAAGAGTCCAGTTTCTCTTCCTGTGATGCAATCTGCAAGTGTGGCAGAGACTGCTTTTTGTCCCCCAAATCCATTTCCTCTCCCACTTTTAGGAATAACCCACACCTTTTAGTTTTGTCTGGGCATGTGGCTGTCAAGGTAGGGGCGACATTTCCTAGCCTTCTTTATCACTGGTGTGGCCATGTGACCAAGCTCTGCCTAAAGGACTGTGAGAGGAAGTGTGTGCCACTTCTGAGTTATTCCCATTTAAAGGAAACACCTTCTACTTGTTCTTCCTTCCTTCCCTTGAGCTAGATTAAGGAGGTGTGGAGAGCCATCTTTAACCATAGGATGGCAGAGCATCAATATGGAAGGGATATGGGTTCCCCTACCTTTGTGTGGAGCAGAGCTGTATTACCCAGCCCCCAGCTGCTGCCAGACTGTTTTCTATTTGGACTTGGACTTGAATCAGGACTAATCTAAACCACTCTCCCTTGGTCTTTATTAAAACCAAGCACCTACATTCTAACTGATATAAAGCCTCAACACATGACAGCTTTAGTTAATTTGGAGTTAACTGAAAGATCACTGGAGATTGGAGTCAGGAAGATTTGGATTAAATCCTAACTCTGTGACTTAACAACTGGGTGACATAGAGTAAGAAACAAATCTAAACCTCTTCTGAGACTGATACATTTCCACATTTAATACTCCCAAGTGGGCCTCTAGGATAAGATGCTCAGCACAGTGATTGGCACATGGTCAACAATCAGTGAAAGATGGCTGTTACTGTTATTTGTATCATTATTAATTATTCATAATACTGAGCTGTTGCTGACCAAGTCAGGCAGGATTAGAAACTTTACATTTGTTATCTCTGAGGCCTAGAATTGGTTTTGCTATATTCTGGAAGGGTGGGGGGTCATCTATGGTAAATGAGCATATGTTCCTTCCTATACATACCTACCATGGTGGTGAGCATTTGCTTATTTTAGGTAAAGAATGCAATCCAGTTAGTTGGGGCAAAGGATATGTCTGATGATCAAGTGGACAGTCTCTGCTGGGTGGTGCCTTCTGATCCCTCACAGAGGGATTCCCTGGGTAGGGTGGTAAATGTGGCAAGTGAAGGTAAGGGAACCAACTGCTTAGGGAGGAACTGAATGTCTTCATTGTCAGCATTTTTTCCTGGCTCACCTGGGAAGCCACATCCTTAGTGTTTGTGGCCAACTACTAGTTGCCTGCCTGACATCCATTTCTCCCATTCTTGGTAACAGAACCCCAATCTTAGTTAGGGTGGTAGTGTGCTCTGCTTAAAACCACATTTCCCATCCTCTCACACTGCTAAATATGGCTCTGTGACACTTCTAGGAAGGGCTGTTGTTGGGAGCTGACTCAGGTGGGAGGCATAGTCTTTTGCCTTTCCAATTCCTCTTTCTGCTGTTTAGAACACAGATACCATGACCGGAGCTTCAGCAACCAATTTGCTACTTTGAAACCATACGGCATGGGCTCATGATGTCAGAATAGAAGAGGGAGGGTCTCGCTTCCACTGGAAATGGTACCCCACACCAATACCTGAGTGCTGCCCTAAGCTCCTCCCCTACCACCAGCCTTCCCCACCATTTCAGCTTTATGCGTGTGAATGGGCCTTAACCTTATTTTACATTGAGCTTTCCAATAGCTTTCAAGGCTTAAAGCCCTGTGCTAAAGGACTACTTAACCACTTCTGTCATCCTCTTATGAGGCTGGATTAATTTCTTCATCCTTTTTCAAATGCCTAGAGTCCAGCATCCCAGCAGAATAATCATACGATATGATCATTCTATCCATTGCCATTTTGGTGCTTAATTTTTCTCTAGTTGTTTTTTTTTTTTTCACTTGTTATTATATGGCCTCTCCAGGTGGTCAGAAAATTTTCTTTTAAATGCACTAACACTTCTTGTATTTTGCTTTTCTGAGTATGTGAATGGATTCCTGAAAATTTTTCCCTCAGAGGAGGAATCTTTAGAAAAGGCCTTAGAAAAATAACCTATGGAGTAACCTAGGGTTTGCAACCTCTTGATTATCTCTGTTGAATTAATAAGCTCGACACTCTGCTGGTTATTTAGCTATTGGTTCTCATCTCCAGGCCCACCTTGCTATGTGCTGGACTGTGATCCAGGGTCAAAGTCTGTAAGCAACATTTGCCAGGCTCCCTTATTAGCTGGCTTCTGATTAGGTTCTGTCATGGGAGGTGTTGGCTGGAGATGGGGGTGCAGAAGGTCAGGAGAAGGGATTATTTTTGCATCCGTTGCATGATTACATCCTTCCAACAGCAGAAGTCTCCAGTGGTGCTTTAGCTTGGACATGCATACTTGACTGGCAAGACGGACCCCAGTTTCAGATGACAAATAATGTCATCTGAAGCCTGATGGAATAGGCTATCACATGGCCCAATACTCACCAAACTCCACTTCTTTGCTTCCTGGGTGGCACACAGATTACATTGCTCAGCCTCTCTTGCTGGAGTATGGGGGAGGAGGAGGCTGCGTTCTGACCAATATGATGTGGATAGAAGTGTTAAATGTTTTTTCTATGCCTTGCCCATAGTAACTGCTTGCCCATAATAACTCACTACTTTCCTGACTTTTTGCCCTCATCTGACTTCTGGATAGAGAAGATCTAGGGCCTGATTCTAAGACCCCCAGGCTTGGCTGACTCACTAGAAAAAAAGTTATGAATCAAAATTTCTCTCCTCCCTCAAGCTGACCTGCATCAGATCTGGAAACGATGAGAAAGCAACCTTTGATGTGCTAGCCCACTGAGATATGGGAGGTGGTTTTGTGGACAGTAGCATGACTTACTAGATAGTATATGGGTAGATGTCTAAAATGGCAGTCTTTGACCCTAAGGCCTTACTGTATCCGAAGAATCTGAGTCAGAACATGTCTTAGAATAAAAAGCAAAGTAGTTAAAGCACCCATAAACATGTGTGGCCTTCACAACTTGCTAAAGGGTGCATTCATTGATTTATTCATTCAGGAAACATCGAATGTCTGCTATGTAACATGAATTGTGTGTGACCATGAGGACCATAAAAAACAGGTGATTGAGCAAGAGGGTGCAACGTGGGGAGGTAGTGTTACTTTGGATTAGCTGTTGTGGAAAGTTTGTCTTTGGAGCGACATTTCAGCTGAGACAGAAAGCTGAGAAAGACCCCGCCATGGGAATGTCTGCGGGGTGGGTATTCCTAGGAAGAGGGTATGGTGAGTGCAGAGGCCCAGAGGTAGGAACATGCTTGGTAGATTTTATGAGTAGAGAATGGGCCTGTGTGGCTGGAACATATTGAGTAGGGGAGGGAGTAGTGAGGCAAGATTAAATCAAAGATGGCCTTGTAGGCCATGGTTGAGCATTTGTATTTTGTTCTAAGTACAATGGGAAGTTAATGGAGTTTCTTAAGCAGAGAGGGGACATGATTTGACTCACACTTTAAAATAAAAGTCACATGGGATATTTACTAAGTTAGGAAATGATGAATGCAATTAGTAAGTTAGCTAGAAAGCTGCAACCATGCCTCAGTCAGGTGATGATGGTGGCTTGATCTAGGAAAAACATGCTTGGGGAGAAATCAATTAAGAAAGAGAGATACAGACTGAGGAAAGAGGCCAGGACTTCTGAGGACCAGAGAAACTAACACAAAGACCAATAGAAGAGACTGCCAAGAAGTTAATTTTGTTGTGAGACTCACTGAAGATTTCCTCAGAGGCAGAAGTCAAAGTACCTTCCTCAGTCGTAGGGCCTGGCCAGACCCCCATAGTGGGTGCACATCTGCTGTGTGGGAGGGACAGCAGCCCTGATGCAGGGTGGGGGACCATCTGGGGTCCCTCCTCACTGTCCCTGAGAGGATTAGGTAAGAGGCACAGAAAGCCAGTAGTGACTCCATCAAGCTACATGCAGAGAAACTCCCCATAAGATCCAGATAGGATTGGAAGTGCTAATTCCCAGAATAAAATCCAAACTCACTCCAGACAGAACTGAGGTTATTCTCATGGGAATATCTAGAGCAAAGTGAAAAATTTAGAGTACTAGAGACCTGAACAAGCCCATATGCATTTTCAAGTAGACCAGGGTAGATAAATAAGCCTTTCTAATATTCTGATGACCTTAATCCTTCCCTTTGGTCATTATTGATGTCAGCTTGTCTAAGAGCTTGGGTGCCTGTGGTTTATTCTGGGAAGAGATCTCAAGGAGCAGGAGCAAGGATTGGGAAGTGGCCACCAGACCTCAGTCCCACTGAGGATGCTTTGAGATGCTATGTAAAATGCACCTTAGAATTTTCTACCCACCAGGAAGAAAAAAAGAATATTTTTCCATGGGCTCTTGTCCCCTTTTGGCCAAGGGTTTCTTCTTGGGTGTTAGCTCCCTCACACTGAGTGGCTTCCAGCAGCCATCCCATGCCAAGCCCCAGGATAGAAAGAGAGAGACCTGTGGTATAGCTGAGGCAGGGAGTAGCCCAGAAGAGAGGTTGCAGGGTGCAGCCCAAGAGGTATCTGGTATACACCCCAAATCTCTTTTCTGTGATATATATATATATCACAGAAAAAATATATATATATTCCATCATATATATATATTCCATCATATATATATATTCCATCATATATATATTCCATCATATATATATATTCCATCATATATATATATTCCATCATATATATATATTCCATCATATATATATATTCCATCATATATATATATTCCATCATATATATATATTCCATCATATATATATTCCATCATATATATATATTCCATCATATATATATTCCATCATATATATATTCCATCATATATATATATTCCATCATATATATATTCCATCATATATATATTCCATCATATATATATAGTCCATTTTATATATATATATTCCATCATATATATATATTCCATCATATATATATATGGATGGAATATATATATATGATGGAATATATATATATATATATATATATATATGGAATACTACTCAGCCACAAAAAGGAATGAATTAATGGCATTCTCAGCAACCTGGACAAAATTGGAGACTATTATTCTAAGTGAAGTAACTCAGGAATGGAAAACCAAACATCGTATGTTCTCACTCATAAATGGGAGCTAAGCTATGAGGATGCAAAGGCATAAGAATTATACGGTAGACTTTGGGGACTCGGGAAAAGATGGGAGGGGGTGAGGGATAAAAGACTACAAATTGGTTTCAGTGTACACTGCTCGGGTGATGGGTGCACCAAAATCCCACAAATACCACTAAAGAACTTACTCATGTAACCAACTACCAACTGTTCCTCCCCAAAACCTATGGAAATAAAAACAAATAAAAATTAAAATGTGGGGTTTTGATTCTAGAAACATTAGGGAAGCTAACCAGAGAGGGAAAGGGTCTAGGTAGAGAAAATAGAAGATAGCAGCCAAAAAGCCAGCAGGCTCCCTGAGGCATGAGGAGGAATAGAGTATTGCCCATGGGAAGAAGTAAGAGGATGACTGCTTTCCAACAGGGGGATTCCTGGTTATTGGTCAGTGTTCTCTCTCTACCCACCTACCAGCTCCCGCCACACACACACAGATGCTGCTGCTCTATTCATATTGAATTTTGGATCCTTAGATATACCAGACTCCCTCTTGACAGAGGTCCTTTGCACAACCTAGCTTTCCCCTGCTCTCCCCAGCCATGCACACATTCACACTCCACTTGGCTAATTCCCACTCATCCCTGAGGACCCACATATCACTTTGTCTAATGGCTTGCCTTTACTTCCCAAACCTTGGTAATATGCACTGCCTTGATTAATACTTTTTGATTCTAAGAACCAGACACCCACTCAAAGGGGCTGAAGTTAAAAACAAACAAAGAAATGGAGGATACTGTTTCTCAGAATATAACCCACAGACTTCCATCATGATCACTGGGGTGCCTGTTAAACATCCCCATTCTTGTGCCATGCCCACACCTTCTCAACAGATTCTTCAGAGGGGAATCTGAGGTGTCAACACAGAAACAAGCTGCCTGGATGTTGCTTCTGCACGTTTGTATTTGAGAACCACTGCCCCCAGAAGAATCTCCCAGCACTCTTTGCAAAGAGTCCATCCAGGTCTCAGAGGAACCAGAACCTTATCAGGAATTGCCCTAGATCTGCAGGGGGCTGGTCTTGTTTCCCTGCTAGTCTCTTCAGCCTACCTTCCTTGGCTTGCACAGGGCTCAGTCCTAAACATTATAGCTCCCCACAGCTAACTCTAACTGGCTCACCTTCAAAATCCTTGTTCCAAACATGTTGGGTTGGTCTAGCTTGGTCAGGGGTCAATCTTTGCTCCAGCCAGCTGTGGCCCAGGGGTTGGAAGGGTAGATAACACCAGGTGTTACATTCTCTGCTACAATGTGGACCACAGAGTTCCTTAAGAAAAGGATAGTAGAAATAGAATACTGTCATTTCTAGTGCCAAATTCTATATGGTCTTGCCTTTTCTCTATTCTAACATTTACTATGTAATATTATAATTGGCAGTATACTTCTCAGTATTCACCATCAGAATGGGAGACATTTCCAGACAAGCTTAGCATCTTAGCCACCTTTATATTCCCAGAACTTAGCTTTACATTAAGAAGGGAAGAAGGGACTCGGTAAGTCATCACTGAATGATGATTGATCAGCTATGTCCAATGTATAAGAATACATTGTTTCTTTATTTTAAAAAATTTAAGATCATTTTTATTAAAGCATTATTCATATACAGTAAAGTATACCTACTTTAAGTATATAATTTGATGAAATTGACAAAGGCATACACATTGTAATCTCTGCACCAGTCAAGATAAAGAATATCTTTATCACCCCAAAAGTCTCCTATTTGCTAGGGGTCACTTTTTAATTATTCTAAGTTCGCTTAAAAAAGGAGTAGCCCAGAGCTCAGATTCCTGTGGTTCTCAAAGTATGACGTCTAAACCAGCAGCAGCAGCAGCAGCATCTCTTGGGGACTTGTTAGAAATGCAGATTCTTGAGTTTTACTCTCTACAGAATCAGAAACTCTGTGGTGCAGCCTAGCAAGCTGTTTTTGCAAACACTCCGGGTGATGTTCATGGACACTTAAGTATGAAAACGACTGCACTAGGCCAGCAGGGGTTTCTTATACCATGTGCAGCAGGAATGGAGCCAGATAGGTAACAGAGACATTTGAGGTTCCACACTTGAGCTGAAGGCAGTAAGGAGGCTCAAGGATGTTGTGAGCTGGAAAAGTGTTTTCTGAAGAAGAGGCTGGGTGGGGCATGCAGGGTGGATTTGAAAGCAGAAGATTGGAGTCAGGAAGCCCGGTTCTTTTCACAGCATGTCCCTGGAGGGTAGCATTGTCACTGTGCATTAATCCGTTATTTGGGGGCCTTTGATAGTTTTGGACTGCTTACACATGAAGCCTTTGAAAGGTCAATATCTTAAGGATGAGACTTAATGGTCAGGCAATTTTCCTTCCCTTTGGAAGGATTTGGGTTATATCTCTGATCCTAACACTACTTTCAGTTAAAATTTTTTTTTCTCTGTTCAATTATTTCTTAATCTTTATGATGTCTATTTATGTGACTGGTGCTCTTTTTTTCACAAGGTTGTTGGGCTGAACAAATCAATCTGACATAGGGTGGTATTTGGGCGAGCCATCACAGAGGAAAAAGTGGAATGAAGGGAGTATGTTGTACATATTGCATATTATTGAAAAAACAAGAAATATGCATTTACAGATTCTGGCTTCAGGAACAATGTCAGTTAGTGTATAAACTTTGGTGTCAATGGATTTTTTAAAAATGTTTAACAGAAAGTAGCATTAGTATCAGAGATATGACCTGAATCTTTCCAAAGGCAAGGTAAATTGTCTGACCATTAAATCTCATCCTTAAGATACTGCCCTTTCAAAGGCCTCATGTGTAAAGAGTCCAAAGCTATCAAAGGCCCCCAAATAATGGGTTAATGTGCAGTAACAATGCTACCCTCCAGAGGGAGGAGAGGTATGGAAGTATGTGAATGCTTCTGAGAGAAATATGGGCACAGCAAAGAGATGTTAAGAAAGGTTATCGAAAATTTGGGAATATAGCAAAAAGATGACTGTTCAACACACTGTTAGAGCTCTGTTCCATCAAGCCCACCCAGCAGTTTTCCAGCTCTCTAGGGAATAATAACTTTGTTTCACTGATGATTAATTATTGCTTAGAGACCAGATTCTATAGTGTTAAATGTTAACTCATAGAAAACTGATAAGATCCAATGACTTCTCTCTGGTAGAGATTGTATTAATTTCCTATTGCTACCATGACAAATTACCACAAGTTTAATGGTTTAATACAAGCGCAAATTTATTGCATTATAGCTCTGTAGCTCAGAAGTCCTTGCCAGGTTTCACCGGGCTAAAATCAAGATGTTGGCAGGGTTGCATTCCTTGTGGAAGTTCCAGGGGGAAAACCTGTTCCTTTGTGTTTTCTACTTTCTGGGAGCTGCCTATATTCCTTGGCTTTGGGCTCCTTTCTCCATTTTCAAAGTTGCAGTATAACATCTTCCAATCTCTTTTTGACTTTGACCCTCTTTCCTCCTTTCTCTTATTAGGATTCTTATTATTACATTGGGCTCACCTAAATAACATCCCCGTCTTAAGATCCTTAACTTCATCACATCTGCAACAAAACCTCTTTTGTCATGTAAATGATATATCTGCAGTTTCCAGAATTAAGGCATGGAAATATTTATTATTATTATTATTTTAGAGATAGGGTCTTGCTGTGTTGCCCACAGTAGAGTGCAGTAATGCCATCATTGCTCACCACAGCCTCAAACCCCTGGGTTGAAGCAATCTTCCTGCCTCAGCCTCCTGAGTAGTTGGGACTACAGGCATGCACCACCACACCTGGCTAATTTTTTAATTTTTTGTAGAGATGGAGTCTCTCTTTGTTGCCCAGGCTGGTCTTGAACTCCTAGCCCCAATGTTCCTCCTGCGTCACCCTCACAAAGCACAAGTATGAGCCACTGCAACCGGCCAAGACATGGCTATCTTTTGGGAGCAGTTATTCTGCTTAACCAAAGATGCAAATGATTTTGTTCATGAGAGATGTTAACTCCAAAAGTTATAGGTTTAATGCAGTGTATGACATTAACCAGCATTGCTTCTAATTTAGCAATCTTATTTCGGCGTTATATTTTCCATTTAGAAACTATATATGCGTCAGTTTCTTGTGTCTTCCTTTGAACTCTATCATCCTTCTGGTTTCTTTATTAATTAAATAAATCTTTAGATACATATTCTATATCTATTTCGTCATTATGTTTTTAATATTTTGATAATTATTTTTGGCCACAATGATGGGAATACATCAAAGGAACACAGGAGCCTAATGAAAGAGATCTCAATGGCCAAAGCTGCAACAGTTTGAGCAAGAAAGTAAATAAAATAGTATTGAATTATAACCCAAAGAATAAAATACCCATGAGTCCATACTGATACAAATGAAAGACCAAATACGTAAATAAATTGGGGAGAATAGACAAATTTCCCATGCAAAAGACTTCAAAATAATTGAAGATACTGCAGTCTTAAGAAGGTGGAGCATGACTTCTCATTCCTTTAGTCTGGTGATATGGTTTGAATCTGTGGCCCCACCCAAATCTCATGTGGAATTGTAATCCCCGACGTAGGAGGTGGTACCTGGTGGAAGACGATTGGATCATGGGGGTGGATGTCTCATGAATGGTTAGCACCAGCCCCTTGGTCCTGTTCTCGTGATAGTGAGTTCTTGAGAGATCTATCTCTTTAAAAGTGTGTTGCACCCCCTACCCCACCCAACTCTCTCTTGCTCCTGTTCCTGCCATGTAAGACACCTTTCCCCACTGAGTGATTTAGGCTCCTTGTTGAAGATCATTTGACCATATGTGTGAATGTTTGTTTCTGGGACCTCTACTCTATCCCATTGGTCTATTTGTATGTCTTTATGCCAGTACCACATAGCTTTGATTCTTGCAGTTTTATAATATGTTTTTAAATCAGGAAGTATGAGTCTTCCAACTTTGTTCATTTTTTTCAAAAGTATTTTGGCTATTCAGTGTCCCTTGAGAATCCATAGGAATTTTAGGATGGATTTTTCTATTTCTTCAAAAAATGCCATTGGGATTTTGACAGGGATTGTTTTGAATCTGTAGATCATTTTGGGTAACACGGACATCCTAACAGTATTAAGTTTTTCAATTCGTGAACACAGAATGTCTTTCCATTTATTTATTTATTTATTTATTTATTTATTTATTTATTTAAGATGGAGTCTTGCTCTGTCACCCAAGCTGGAATGCAATGGCATGATCTCAGCTCACTGTAACCTTTGTCTCCCAGGTTTAAGTGATTCTCCTGCCTCAGCCTCCTGAGTAGCTGGGACAACAGGTGCCCACCACCACGTCTGGCTAAGTTTTATATTTTTAGTAGAGAGGCTTTCACCCCATTGGCCAGGCTGGTCTTGAAATCTTGACCTCAAGTGTTCTACCTGCCTTGGCCTCCCAAAGTGTTGGGATTACAGGCATGAGCCACTGAACTTGGCCTATTTCTTTATTTTTTTTTCAGCAATGTTTTGTAGTTCTCAGTGTACAACTCTTTCACCTCCTTGCTTAGCTTATTCTTAAATATTTTATTCTTTTTGATGCCATGGTAAATGAAATTGTTTCCCTAATTTCCTTTTCAAATTGTTCATTGTAAGTGTATAGAAATGCAGCTGATTTCTTATATCGATTTTGTATCCTGCAATCTTGCTGAAGTTGTTCATTAATTCTAACAGATTCTTTGGTGGAATCTTTAGGTTTATCTACATATAAGATTTGTCATCTGTGATCAGAGACCATTTTACTTCCTTCTTTCCAATTTGGATGCCTTTTATTTCTTTTTCTTGCCTAATTGCTCTGGCTTGGACTTTCAATACTATGTTGAAAAGAACTGGCAAAAGCTGGGATCCTTGTTTTGTTCCTGATCTTAGAGGAAATGCTTTGTCTTTCACCATTGAGTATTATGTTAGCTGTGGATTTTTCATATATGGCCTTAATTATGTTGAAGTAGTTTCCTTTTATTTCTAATTTGTTGACTATTTTTATCATAAAAGGGTGTTTAATCTTTTCATGTACTTTTTCTGCATTGATTGAGTTGATTCCATGGTTTTTGTCCTTTATTCTGTTAATGTAATATACAGTAGTAATTTATAAATTGGTTGTTTTTTTCATGTTGAACTATCTTTGTATTCCAGAAATAAATCTCACTTGGTTGCCCTATATAATCCTTTTAGTATGCTGTTGAATTTTGTTTGTTAGGATTTTGTTGAAGTTTTTTCATCATTATTTTTTAGGGATATTGGTCAGTAGTTTTCTTGTAGCATCTTTGGCTTTGGTATTAAGGTAATGCTGGCCTCATAAAATAAGTTTGGATGTGTTTACTGTTCTTCAGTGTTTTTGGAAGAGTTTGGGGAGGATTGGTGTTATTCTTTTTCAAATGTTTGGCAGAATTCTCCAGTGAAGCCATCTGGTCCTGGGCTTTTCTTTGTTGGGAGGTTTTAGATTACTGATTGAATCTGCTTATTAGTTACGGGTCTGTTCAGATTTTGTATTTCTTCATGATTCAGTCTTGATAGGTTGTGTGTTTCTAGGAATTCTTATGTTTCTTCTACATTATCCAATCTGTTGGTATACAATTGTTCATTGTATTCTCTTATAATCCCTTTTATTTCTACAACATTGCTTCTAACATCTCTTTCCTTTCTAATTCTAGTTTTTTGAGTGTTCTCTTTTTTTCTTAGTTCATCTAAGAACTTATCAAATTTGTTGATTTTTTTCAAAATACTCAGTTTCATTGACTCTTTTTCTATAAATTTTCTACTCTCTATTTTGTTTATCTCTGCTCTAATCTTTATTATTTCCTTCCTTTGGTTAGCTTTGCATTTAATTTGTTCTTATTTTCCTAGTTCTTTGAGTTATAAAGTTAGGTTGTTGATATGAGATCAGTCTTCTTTTTTAATATATGCATTTACAGCTACAAACTCTCCTCTTATGACTGCTTTCACTGCATGTCATAAATTTTGGTGTGTAATATTTTGATTTTCACTTATCTCAGTATATTTTTAAATTTCCCTTGTGATGTCTTTTTTGACCCATTGGTTGCTTACCTTTTATCCTTTTAATGATGGAACATTCCTCCAAGTTTTATTTGGGCGGGAAGATGCACAGTTAGAGACTACTTTCCCTAGCTTACTTTGCAATCAGCTGTGTTCATGTGTCTGAGTTTGGGCCAGTAGGATCCTCTTTCTCCCTTCCCCTATTCTCGTTGACTAGGAAATGAGGAAATAATAATATCTGGAGCAACCACGTTGGAAGCCATGTTTGAAAAATGGCAGAGCTCACCCATCATCATGGATCCCTGGGTAACTCTATAGAGCAGAACTATCCACCTGCCCTAGATTCTCTGCTTCTCTTTAGACCATTATGTAAAAAGAAAAAATACAGATTTATTTCAATTAAACCATTGTATTTTCAGGGTCTCTTTGTTATAGTAGCTTAGCCTGTACTATATGAATACTTTAGCTTTACCAAAAGTGCTACATTAACCCAAGAAATTATGCGGTTAACCCAAGAAAGTGTTGGCTTTCTTCTTTGTTTGCCTTCCTTATTAAGATATTAAAACCAAATAAGTAAATAAATTATTATGAAAGCATTAAGTAGGGCCCAAGTCTATGTATGTAGGGTTTTTCCTCTTAACTCCAGCCCCGTGCAGTGCCTCACTATGGTGAGCCAGAGTAGATGCTTTTCTTGTTCCTCTTCTTTTTATCTGGTCCTTGCTTACCTCTGCAGCTTCTTCTCTCTCTTGCTTTGTATTCTAGGCAAAGAACATAAATCTCTCTTCTTTATTCTTTTGTCCTGTGACAGAGGATCTTTGACATGCTAATTTCTGTATGTGGAATGTTCATTGCCTCCTCTTAGCATCATTGCTTTCTACTTGTACTCATCTCATTTATTGCCCCCTCCAGGATGTCTTCGCTGATCCCTCAGACTAGGTTGTACTCCTCTCTTCTAAGTTGTATATAGTCCAGGTCCTCTGAGAAGCATGTCCAAGGGACATACGAGGGAAAACACCTGTGCAGGATACAGTGCAGGGGTAAGTGGGGTAAGAATAGGCAGGGAGAGCCTTCAGACCACAAATGCAGGTCTGATCCTTGAGAAAGGAGAAGGGGAAGGAAGAAGGAATGGATAGGAAGAGTCTCAGACTCTACTCAGCTCTAAGAACACTTCAGTGATGCCAGTGGGGTGTTCTTAGCCCAAGATGCACGTTAGACAAGTTCTGCGTCTGATAGGAATGGGAGCCATTGGCTGGGGGTGGCCTGAAGGATCTAGAGGAGCGACAGCTGGGGCTGTCAGTCAGGTATGCTCCCTGCAGTTGGAGAGTTGTGTTTCCATGGCCACCACATGTGCCCACTGCATCCTGTGTTTTTAATTATACATGCATGTGTGATTATATAGGCATGGTATTCTTCTTGCTGCTTCCCGTCTGTACTCTAAGCTCCATGTAGGCAGGGACTATGTGTGTTTTGCCTAGGTATCCTCAGGGCCTAGCATAGTGGCTGGCACATTTTAAACAAAGGCAACCTGAACATTAAAAAAATTATAAATTCTTTTTCAGTTTAAAAAGATTTTTAAAAAACTTATCCAACATGGTTTTAAAGAGGATTTGCCTTAGGGAAAAAAAATGAAATGCAAAATAAATAGATTCTGCAGTGATGCTTATACAACTACTGGGACCATGAACCTGAAGATCTGTATTTGATAAAATTTAATGCAGTAAATGTCCTTATGGCAGTTGATCAGGGCGACATATCTAATCTCAACAAAATGTTAACCCCAAGAATGCATTAAACATACTTGGAAAAATGGTGTTTGTTCTGAGAAATCTTTATGAGCTTAATAAAGTACTCTATTTATAAATGACCCCACATGTAAATAAAATGCTCTATTGGTCTGCAAGGAAAAAATGGTTAGATTTATTGGTCAACTATAAGAATGTAAATTATTCTCCCATGCTCACTGCTTTGAAGTTAGGCAGAGAGGAAGTGTCAGAATGTTCTGAAGTATGAGAAAAGGTCAGGCATGAAAACTGGGCATGATGACAGAACTGCATGAGAATGCTTGTTGTGCCCTGTATGTGGACTTGTTAGTGTAAATGTGGGTGGTCTGGAAATTATAGAGTAGTGTATGGGAGTTTAGGGCTGCAAGTAGTATTAGTAAGTGTGAGCCTGCCTGCTGTGGTCATCAACACCTTTGGCTTGCTTGTTGCCTGGCCTGTTAGAGCTCTGTAGCCCTAAACGTGTAAATTTTGATCTACAAGTATACTCATGGGCTGAGCTCCTTTCCTTGCAGAGTGCATGAAAACTGAGAATTTGAAAGTTAAATTGCTTTTATCCTTGATTTATAATTTCAGAAACACCCGAACTTCGTCTAAGTTCTTTCTCCCCAAGTGGAAACTGCTTTATTGTTTTGTCTGATAATAAAAGTAATACAAAGGCAATTCATTATCAAGGAGAAGAATAAAACGTCTATGAATCATCACCATAAGATAAATTGCTTAATAGTTTTTATATAGACTTCTGGACTGACTTCATTTCTCATCTTTATTTGGCTACTGCTTCTGACACTATTGTTTTATGTTACAATATTTTCATCTCTCTAATTTTTTGTGGAGTTTGAGCTAATAACAAAAATCGCTATTATTACTATCAGTTTACTATATACTAAGTATTCTATAGGGATTATGTAATTTAATCCCAGAACCCTGTCTTAAAGTAGACAAAATTGTTCTGGACGAATATTCAGGAGGAAACAGAGACCTTGGGAGGCACAAGCATACCTTGTAGATACTGCAGGTTCAGTTCCAGACCACCTCAATAAAGTGAGTGTTAAATATTGCAATCAAGCACGTCACATGATTTTTTGATTTCCCAGTGCATGTAGAAGCTCTGTTTATACTCCATAGTAGAGTGTAAACAGAACTTTTATATGTACTGGGAAATCAAAAAATCATGTGACTTGCTTGATTGCAATATTTGATACTCGCTTTAGTATCAAATTTTACTAAAATTTTAGTAAAATTACTAAAATGTGACCCAGTGACATAAAGTGAGTACATGCTGTTGGAAAAATGGCACCAATAGATTTGCTTGATATAGGGTTGCCATAAACCTTCAGTTTGTAAAAAACACAACAAAACAAAAAATTAATATCTGTGAAGTGCAATAAAATGACATATGACTCTACAAGGTTTCTGAGATTTTCCAGCAGTAGATGAGTTTATACAGCTGCAGAAGGCAAATGCAATTGAACAGATGCCCTCAGGACTAGAATCAAATTTAGACCCACGTTTCTGAGAACTCTTTCATCAAATGCTTCTTTAGAGGTCTGAAGACACCCTGATAGTCAAGATTTACTTAATGACTCACTTCCAGCACCTTGAGAAAGGGGAAATTGATAACTTGTCATACTTGATTCTGTGTGCCCCTAACTAGATGACCATTTCTACATATTACAACATGGCGGGAGGGAACAGCTAGCTTTTGCAAAAATTCCTAAGGGAAAATTCTGATGAATGTTTCTGTTGGAATTTGGCAACAGACTTGCCCGTTCAACTGGCCTCAAGTGAAGACGTAGAGTTAGATGGCACTGCAAGCGATCGCTTCCGTTCCAGGGGAGGTAATAAAATGGTCAGAATCTCTCCTTCCTTGAAACCATCACCTGTGTCATAGAGCTTGCTTCACCGTCTGGCCTGGAGAGATGTCATTCTGGAGCAGGGCTGCTCAAATGTAGAACAAACCCCACTGCTGCAGAAGCCTGTGAACAGTGATCATCCATGTATCACTTGACATAGCTAGATGGGAGCAGAGACAAAACTTCTGGCCTCAACAGGTGATTACATGTATTTGGGTTTAAAAGAATTCAAGACCTAGTCTAGAGAATAAGGTTTTAAAACAATGGGTTCGAATTCTAGCTCTACAACATTCTAGCTGTGTGGTCTTGAGATTGTCCTGTGCTCTAGATTCCTTGTCTATGAAATGGAGACAACAGCAGTACCCACCTTGTAGGTGGTTGTAAGGATCCACCTCATAGGTTGTTGTGCCTGACCCAGAGTGATGGCACTTTATGATGAAAGGTGGCTATAATATGTTGCTCTGTACTGTCCCAAACGAGGACCAGATAATGCAACCTATTCTTAAATCACCTGATATTTTAAAATTTCCCTTGTGATTTCTTCTTTGGCCCATTGGTTGCTTACCTTTTATCCTTTTAATGGTAGAATATTCCTCCAAGCTTTATCTGGGCAGGTGGATGACCAATTAGAGACTACTTTCCCTAGCCTACTTTGTAGTCAGCTGTGTTCATATATCTAAGTTTGGGCTAGGAGGATGCTTTCTTTCTCCCTTCCCCTATTCTCATTGACTAGGAAATAAAGAAATAATAGCTGGAGCAACCACGTTGGAAGCCATGTAATTTGTCCCAACAGTAATTTGTCCTCAAGGAAATTTTCCCAGCCTGTTATGCGATTGAAACCTGTTGATAAAATTGATATTTTTAAAAGTGGAAGACATCATCAGTAAAGCTGTTGAACAAAATATAGGAGCACTTCTTTCTATCAAGTTCTGTTGTTGAATTCCAACTAGATATTAACCTCGTTTAATAAAATAAAAGTTTTTATTTTTTTCTTATGTAAAATGTTACCCTTTATTATGTTATTTTTTGCCATTCAGGAAACAAAAAAGAAGAGGGAGAAATATGTTCAGGAGAAAGAACAACTTTTAATATTTAGAGTCAATGAAATGCTGTTTGGCAGAAACTAAATGCAGTACAAGATAGTGAGGAAGCAAAACTATTGCTTCTGAACCAGGGTGAATAAAGCAGTTACTTTTTCAGTTAAGAATCAAAGGTTATCCATGTGGGAAATCCCTGTTCTTAGAGATTTCATGCCTTAAGTTCCATATGGCCTTGCGTAGGAACATGCATATAACCCGAAACCTCTTTACCTCTAAAAGAAATAGGATTTTTTAAAAACCTTAATTTTTCTTACCTCTGAAAAAAAAACCTATTTTTCCCTCTATTTTAAACAGACTCTGACAATTTTTTTTAGGGCTTAGTTCTGTAAACTCTAAATTCTTCTCTGTCTCTGGATCAAGCCAGACCATCAGAAGGCTGCAAACCTGGGCCATTTTTGACCTCACAGAATCATATTATGTTATGATGCCCCTTTCTAAAAATCAAAATCTGATACAAGAAACACCATGGTGCAAAGAAAAATGTACAAGGGTACCCCCTACAGCACTGTTTGTAGCAGTAAAAGATTAGAAATATTCTAAATATCCATCAATATGGTACTGGTTAAACATATTTAACACATCTATACCGTAAAATACTATGTAGGTATTAAAAAAGTGACACAGCCTTATATATATGGATATGGACTGATTTCTAACATCTATTAAGTAAAAATACAAGGTACAGAACAATATATATACTGTGACTCAAAACTGAAACACACACACACACACAAACTTACACATATACACACATACATACGTGCATGCATGGTTGCATATGCCTAAAATATCTTAGAACTTGAAATCAATAGTTGTTTCTTAAGAGAGAATTTTAGAGGCAAAGGTTGAAGAGAGATGGACCTTTCACTGAATAACTCTGGATACTCAAAATTTACTGTCTGTATATACTGCCTATTTAAAAATCAAACCAAAAATGAATGGCCATTAAGAAGTTCATTCTGCTTGTGTGTGTCACAAAAAACAGCTCCATTAAAGGCTAATTGGTGTTCCACAAAAATAGTATTGATTCTTCGCCCATCTTGGGGCTTCAGAATACACATCCCTATATTAGAATCTCTATGAAGGTCCACACTCAAGAATCCTGTACAATTTAATTTAACAAAATTTATTGATCATATGACCCACCCAATTTTTGGTGGGACATTTTCTCTGAAATTAACACCTTGGAAAGTACAGCACTGCAGCATTTATATTAAAATAAATCGTCACCGCAGTGTGCACTGTCTCCAGCTGAGAGGCAGGAATTTAACAGTAGGATGCCAGGTACTGTAGCTCACCCCGTAATCTCAGCAGATTAGGAGGCCAAGGCAGGAGAATTGTTTGAGTTCAGGAGTTCAGGATCAGCCTGGGCAACATAGTGAGACCCCACCTCTACCCACCCCCCCCAAAAAAATTAGCTGTAGCTGGGTGTGGTGGCCCCCGCCTATAGTCCCAGACTCAGGAGGCTGAGGCAGGAGGATTGCTTGAGCCAGGGAGGTCGAGGCTGCAGTGAGCAATGATGTTGCCAGTGCACTCCAGCCTGGGTGGTAAAACGAGATCCTGTCTCAAAAAGAAAAAAAAAAAGAATTTAGCAGTAGAGTTACCTTTATTTACTCTGAGGAATTAATACACTTCCTAAGTACATTCATAAGAAGTCTGTATTTAATAAGATTTTTTTTTTTTTACACTTGGGTTCCAGGATGCACAGCACAACTATGCCTCCACTTTCTCATCCTTAGAATGGGCATAACAGCACCTACTTTGTGGGTGGTTGTTATGTTGAAATTGGATATCCTGTGTAAAATGCCTCCCCTAATTGACATGTAAGAGAATTCCAACACTTATGAGTCCCCGCCAGTCTTCTCAACATAAATGCGTGTTGTTCTGAAGAGGAAGTGGGGTGAAGATCAGGGCCAATCCATCAGCACCACGGATAATAACATTAAGGGCCTTGGGGTTGCAGTGGATGGTCTTTGTACAAAGAATGGAGTATTTTTAACCACCTTTGTTGCTTGTGACCAGAAAGGTCAGTGGAGGAAGCGTGTCCAGGGGTGAAGGTGAGGGCACCATAAGCCATCCTATTCACCAGCATTCAGCGAATATTTTTCAGGCGTTGGAAAGATTAAACGCAGCTGTAAATGAGGCAGCTCTCTTATCTACTGTTAGTTGGTTGCTGCAGAGACCATTCTATTTGTAAACATTATCCAGGATTCACACTGACTAAG
Organism: Homo sapiens; assembly: GCF_000001405.40. Taxonomy (NCBI): domain Eukaryota; kingdom Metazoa; phylum Chordata; class Mammalia; order Primates; family Hominidae; genus Homo; species Homo sapiens. The sequence goes on along the minus strand of NC_000003.12, from coordinate 69,505,895 downwards.
GCTTAAGCCTGGTGTTTACCCACCAGCTGCCTTCCCCACAGGATCCTTTCATATAATAAAGAAAATGTGTGAGTAGATTTCACCCAGGAGGCCACCCCAAGAGTTTAACAGCTATGTTGGATTAAAATCCACAGCATGTAGAAAACAAATTTTCACTTCCTTCAAATTCTTAAGAAGGAGAAAGTCAGTTTATCTGTAACATGTTGTAAATAAATAAGATTATGAGCCTAATGATACTTGGCTTCTTAGGTGCTATGAAACCTTGGGTCAAAATTTTACTGAATAAGAAATTATTTTTCTGGATATTAACCACTTTCAAGAGGTTGATAGTAGAAACACCTACTTACAAGGACAAAGTGAGATGCTTTAAAGAGACTATCTGCCACTTACAAGTCTTACAAGCTGACTTTCATTAATGTCACACTTAAGGGGGCTTCCAGTTGAAAATGGTAAAGAATGATACAAGTAAATACTGTTTATTTCCTTTTGTTTCCTTTTTCTTTTTGTTTTTTGTTTTTGAGATAGGGTCTTGCTCTGTCATCCAGACTGGAGGGCAGTGGTGCGATCATAGCTCACTGTAACCTCGAACTCCTGGGTTCAAGTGATCCTCCTACCTCAACCTCCTGGGTAGTTGGGACTACAGGCATGTGCTACCATGCCCAGCTTATTTTTTTTATTTTTAATTTTTTGTAGAGATGGGGTCTTCCTATCTTGCCCAGGCTGGTCTCTAACTCCAGGCCTCAAGCAATCCTCTGGTCTCAGCCTCCCAAAATGCTGGGATTATAGGCATAAGCCACTTATGCTGGCCACTATTTGTTTCCTTTGGGAGTGTCCTTGTCCATCAGAGTCTCTGATATCCAAAAGAGGATAGAATCCCTGGGGATGTTGCTTTAGAAGATTAAAAATTGCAAATATCTCCAGGCATCACAAGGAAGAGATTAGAAAAGTTTTGTAGTTGATAGGATGAAGAGCAGTGACCCTTCAAATGAGAAAGGAAGCAGTGTGCTCAAGTGAGAAATAAAGCTTTAATTGAAAGTGTCTAATATCCAAAAGTTTAGAAATTATGTGTATCATCTTTCACCTAGCATTTTCATGTCTAGGAATATATTCAAAGGAACCAACTAAGATGTGTGCAAAGATTAACCTATAAGATTATTCATCTTGGAAACAACCCAAATATCCATTACTGATGAATGGATAAATAAAATGTGGTATATCTGTTCCATGGAATATTCAGCAATAAAAAGGAATGAAGTGTTGGTAGATCTATAATGTGGATGAGCCTCACAAACATTAACTGAAAGAGGCCAGACACAAAAGACCACATATTTTGTGATCCCATTTATATGAAATGCCCAGAATAGGCAAATCTACAGAAACATCATGTACATTGGAGGTCGCCTGGGTCTGGGAGGGGTGGTTTGGGGATGACTACACTCGGTGTAGGTTTCTTTTAGGAATGACAAAAATGTTCCAAACTTAGATTGTGGTGATGGTTGCACAACTCTGAATACACTAAAAACCATTGAATTGTACACTTTAAGTGGGTGAATTTTATGAGGTGTAAAGTATATCCCAATGAAGCTGTTAAAAAAAGTATTCATCCCGGGGTTACTTAAAATGAAAAAATATTGGAAAAAATATAAATGACCAACAATAGGGCTGGGTAAATAAATTATTCTGAGCCTATAAGATGTTATACTTTACTGCCATTAAAAAGAGACCCACCACAGAATGTACAGTATGATCCAATTATGCAAAATATGTGTGTGTATAAGCTTTAGAAGAAGGTCTCAAAAAAACATATGCCAATATTATTTTACAGTGATTGTATATGATCCTGTAGGAGTATGGACAATTTTTGTTTTTTTCTCTTTCCTGGTTTTAATACAATGACCATTCCTTTTATGACAATAATCGCATGTAACATTGTATTGAGTACTGATGTGCTGGGCTAAGTGTTTGACTGGATGTAGTGCATTTAGTCCTCCAACAACCAGGATACTAGTAACTGTTATCATTTTACAGATGAGGACAGTGAGGCTGTAATGGGTGAATTTACTCAAGGTAGTGCAGTGGGATGGTCTGCCCGGTAACAAATACTAACTGTTTAGCTGGTGATCTCCAAAGTGGGAAGTATATACCCTGATGGAAGCATGCATGATGGGGCATGGAGAAGCATATTCAAAGTTTATGTCTCTATTTGTTTTTATTATACTTTAAGTTCTAGGGTACATGTGCACAACGTGCAGGATTGTTACATATGAATACATGTGCCATATTAGTGTGCTGCACCCATTAACTCTTCATTTACATTAGGTGTATCTCCTAATGCTATCCCTCCCCCCTCCCCCCACCCCACAACAGGCCACAGTGTGTGATGTTCCCCTTCCTGTGTCCAAGTGTTCTCCTTGTTCAGTTCCCTCCTATCAGTGAGAACATGCAGTGTTTGGTTTTTTGTCCTTGTGATAGTTTGCTGAGAATGATGGTTTCCAGCTTCATCCATGTCCCTACAAAGGACATGAACTCATCCTTCTTTATGGCTGCATAGTATTCCATGGTATATATGTGCCACATTTTCTTAATCCAGTCTATCATTGATGGACATTTGAGTTGGTTCCAAGTCTTTGCTATTGTGAATAGTGCTGCAATAAACATAGGTGTGCATATGTCTTTATAGCAGCATGATTTATAATCCTTTGGGTATATACCCAGTAATGGGATGGCTGGGTCAAATGGTATTTCTAGCTCTAGATCCTTGAGGAATCGCCACACTGACTTCCACAATGGTTGAACTAGTTTACAGTCCCACCAACAGTGTCAAAGTGTTCCTATTTCTCCATATCCTCTCCAGCATCTGTTGTTTCCTGACTTTTTAATGATCGCTATTCTAACTGGTATGAGATGCTGTCTCATTGTGGTTTTGATTTGCATTTTTCTGATGGCCAGTGATGATGAGCATTTTTTCATGTGTCTGTTGGCTGCATAAATGTCTTCTCTTGAGAAGTGTCTGTTCATATCCTTTGCCCACTTTTTGATGGGGTTGTTTGTTTGTTTCTTGTAAATTTGTTTGAGTTCTTTGTAGATTCTGGATATTAGCCCTTTGTCAGATGAGTAGGTTGTGAAAATTTTCTCCCATTCTGTAAGTTGCCTGTTCACTCCGATGGTAGTTTTTTTTTTGCTGTGCAGAAGCTCTTTAGTTTAATTAGACCCCATTTGTCAATTTTGGCTTTTGTTGCCATTGCTTTTGGTGTTTTAGACATGAAGTCCTTGCCGATGCCTATGTCCTGAATGGTATTGCCTAGGTTTTCTTCTAGGGTTTTTATGGTTTTAGTTCTAACATTTAAGTCTTTAATCCATCTTGAATTAATTTTTGTATAAGGTGTAAGAAAGGGATCCAGTTTCAGCTTTCTACATATGGCTAGCCAGTTTTCCCAGCACCATTTATTAAATAGGGAATCCTTTCCCCATTGCTTGTTTTTGTCAGGTTTGTCAAAGATCAGATGGCTGTAGATGTGTGGTATTATTTCTGAGGGCTCTGTTCTGTTCCATTGGTCTATATCTCTGTTTTGGTACCACTATTATGCTGTTTTGGTTACTGTAGCCTTGTAGTATAGTTTGAAGTCAGGTAGTGTGATGCCTCCAGCTTTGTTCTTTTGGGTTAGGATTGACTTGGCAATGCAGGCTCTTTTTTGATTCCATATGAACTTTAAAGTAGCTTTTTCCAATTCTGTGAAGAAAGTCATTGGTAGCTTGATGGGGATGGCATTGAATCTATAAATTACCTTGGGCAGTATGGCCATTTTCACGATATTGATTCTTCCTACCCATGAGCATGAAATGTTCTTCCATTTGTTTGTGTCTTCTTATATTTCATTGAGTGGTGGTTTGTAGTTCTCCCTGAAGAGGTCCTTCATATCCCTTGTAAGTTGGATTCCTAGGTATTTTATTCTCTTTGAAGCAATTGTGAACGGGAATTCACTCATGATTTGGCTCTCTGTTTGTCTGTTTTTGGTGTATAAGAATACTTGTGATTTTTGCACATTGATTTTGTATCCTGAGACTTTGCTGAAGTTGCTTATCAGCTTAAGGCGATTTTGGGCTGAGACAGTGGGGTTTTCTAGATATACAATCATGTCATCTGCAAACAGGGACAATTTGACTTCCTCTTTTCCTAATTGAATACCCTTTATTTCTTTCTCCTGCCTGATTTCCCTGGCCAGGACTTCCAACACTATGTTGAATAGGAGTGGTGAGAGAGGGCATCCCTGTCTTGTGCCAGTTGTCAAAGGGAATGCTTCCAGTTTTTGCCCATTCAGTGTGATATTACCTCAGCCTTATAAAACTTCTGTGTTGAGCTATGTTTTATACTATAATGTACCACATATTCTGCTTGCCTCATGTCAGGCACTGTCCTAAGGCCTCTGCAGATGTTCATTTAATTCTTACAACAATGCTATGAAGAAGCTGAGCTACAGAATCCATGCCCTTACCTAGTGTGTTATACTGTACACTGTATATTAATATGGTAATACATATATGCCATATACCAGGGATGTCTAATCTTTGACTTCCCTGAGCCACACTGGAAGAATTGTCTTGGGCCACACATAAAATATACTAACGCTAAGGATAGCTGATTAGCTAAAAAAAAAAAAAAAAAAAAAGAAGGTCCATGCATAAACCTTATAGTGTTTTAGGAAAGTTTACAAATTTGTGTTGGGCTGTATTCAAAGCCATCCTGGGCCACTGGTTGGACAAGCTTGCCATATACAATTTATACATTAATAAATATGCAAATTTTGGATTGCCTGATTTTTAAATTTTTTTACTGATAGGATATATCACCAAACATATAATTGTGTCTTAAACTACACCACACTGCTTCCAGGATAATATTTTAAAAATACAAAGTTGGCCTTCTTTTTTGGTAGGAGGGGCGTGTGTACATGCGTGTGCCTAGACATGTTTAGAGACAATGCTAATGCTGTCATGTGGAGAGCGTGACTTTCCCACTTGTCCTGGGGATTCTTTATTTGTGCTTCTTGATTCATCCTCTTCCCTTTTCTACTTCCTCCCTCCCCTGTGGGAGATGACAGAAAAGAGAGCGTGGGCGTTCCTTCCTTTCTCTCTCCCACTTCTGGGCAACTTCTGTGGCAGTCACTGCTTCCCTCTGTGTGACTCCAGCCCTGGCTTGGGGGGTGGGGGGGCCTTCTCTGTGGTTCCAGTTCTTACCAGGTTCAGGTAACTATGTGCCCTCACTTTGTGCCCTTGAGGCCCAGGGGTAGTACCTGCTTGCCCTTGTTGCTAGCCTTTTAGGTGGCTCCCATTCCTTGTTAGTTCCCTTGGCCCATCCTACACCTCTGCAAGTAGTTTCTTCATTAATTCTCTTCACTGGAACCATCAGCCAGCATCCTGACTCACTGAAACTCTCCTCTATGCCCAAATAGGACACTTTACCAAGTGTCAAGGAATAAGGATGACCCACTCAATGCAATGAGTTCACATTTCTGTCCTCATTAAGAATATATATCCTAGGGATCCTCCGCGCATCTTCAACCAGGAAATTATCATTGCCAAGTGCAGCTGACGTTATAAAATCTATTTTCATAAGTCCCGATGAGAGTTCTGCCCAGGAATACGTGTGATTTCGACCACATGCCTGACCTTAGTCTCTTGTCTGAAGCCAACTCCAGAGCAGCCCGGGGACAGCTCACCCCACCCTGCTCTCTGTCCAAACCACAGTGGTGACCCAGCTCAGCCACAGCTCTGGGTCCTGGGGCTTGGCCTACTCTGCCTGTAGAAGGCAAGAAGCCAAAGTGGCCAGGCTGTCATCTTCTGGCCTCTGGGGATGTTCAGATGTCCTTGACCACGGTCCAGATCCCCTTCTGGAACCCAGTCTGTCATCACATGTTGTCAGTGCATGTACACAGAGTCTTCTTGACCAAGCCGTGAAGCCAGATCCAGGAAGTGGGCTTCAGACACAGGTCAGCAATGGGCAACAGGAAGGCCGGAGAGGCCAGTATTGTTAGACTCTCTGTCTTCTTTAAATCTAAGGGACTGGACACTAAAACACACTCTATCATTGGCTGAGCCAATGCCTATAATCGGGCCACAGCTATTAACACCAGAAGGCTTGGAGCAGATGAGTCTGAATTCAAATGCAATCTATTAGAATCCATCTCTCTCTCTCTCTCTCTCTCTGTCTTCCTGCTCTCTGCAGATAGAATAATAAGATAGCACTTCAGTAGAGAGAATTCCTCACCAGAACACACAATTAGAGATTACTGGAGAGCTATAGAGATGTGGATTGCATCATCAGTATAAAGCTTCACGATTTAATTACTTCGGTCATAAACCTAGAAGCTGTCCTTGTTTCTGTTTTATCATTCTCCTTCACATCTAGTCCAACAGCAAACTCCTATCAGCTCCCATGCAAAAGTTATCCCAAATTCACCCATTTCTCTGTATCTCTTCTCCTACAGCCATGGTCCAAACCAACAGCCTTTCTCCTCAGCTGTTGTTTTTCATGCACTCTGTGCTTCTACCTAATCCACTGTCCACACAGGACCTAGCAGGAACTTCTTAACTACTGCTTGGATCAATGGCTTCCCACTGCACTTAGAATAAGATTCAGACTCTTTACTGTGGCCCAAAAGAGTCTATAATCTCTTGGACCCCAATTACACCCTTTTCTCCTGGGTTCAGGGCACTCTCACCACACCAGTTTTCTGTCTCCTGTTGTAAAGTCTGCCAAGTTGATTCCTGCCTCAGGACCTTTGCACTCACCGTTCCCCCATCTGGAATGCTTCCTATCAATTCTGTCTCAGCTCAGTGTCTTTGTTTTACAAAGGACTTTTATTAACAAGTATCCTTTCTAATGTGCCACTATCATCTTATATCACACTGTCCTGTTTTATTTTTCATGATATTAAATTATATTGTTTTTTGCTTAGTTATCTTCCCAAATAGAACATAAGCTTCATGACAGTAGGAAATTTATTAGATGATATTATTAAGTTGGAAATATTCCTGGTGTACAGTAGATATTCGATAAATACTCATTGAAGGAATAAGTCCTGGGTATAAATATAAGCTTTGAATAATAATGAGTGCCTGTGAGCCCGTCTGCAAATCAGTGAATACTTGTAAGCCTCAGTTTTCTCCTCTATAAGAGATACTAATAAGTGTCTGCTAAGTGTTTATTTACTCTTATAACTCTTAACAGTTATATGTTGTAGAGTTCTAAGCTATGAAAGTTATATGGGTATATTCATATAGCACAGTACCTGAACAGAGAAAGATGAATCCTTGTTGAAAAGAGGAAGACTGAAACTATCAACAATTCCCAGAAAATACTTCTAAGCTCAATACCTTGAAGAGCATGCTATATTTGCACAACTATTCTCATATTCTTATCCTTTGAGATTTCTCTTTCTGTCTCTCTCTCTCTCTCATGCACACACACGTGCAGGCTTCAATCCATTCAAATCATTCAAAAGGCATACTCTTTGTTATTCAGGAGATAATTGCCCTAACAAATATTCTTGTCATAAAATCCCCTTATTGCCTTTTCCAAAAATATTAAATGATAAGTTCAATCAATGTAAACTTCGCCCATTAGCAAAACAAATTGTCCAAATGCTACTCATAAATGAAGATGAATGTTCAACAGCACCAGCTTGATTCTGGTGTCCTCCTCAGTTCTCACTTGAGGTCCAACTCTGGAGGCATTGTTCTCTTTTCATTGAGCTTTAGAATGCAAAGAAATTCAGAGGAAAAATGGCTATCCCACTTCTCAATATATTCCCTCAGCTCCCATCCAGCTTCCTCGGCAGCATTCTCCCCAGCCACTCTTCCTTGGATGGTATACGTGCAATTTAAAAAGTAATGTCTTAACAGCCTCCCCAGAATGCTATTTCTTAGGGAATGGTGCTTAGTGTTAGCTAGGCTCACCTTGGACTCTACCACCCATTGGGGGATTGTTTCTGGAAACATCAAAAAGAGTTCAGCCAGACATGGTGGCATGTGCCTGTAGTCCCAGATACTCAGGAGGCTGAGGTGGAAGGATCACTTGAGCTCAGGAGTTTGAGACTGCAGTGCACCATGATTGTACCTGTGAAGAACCATTGCACTCCAGCCTGGGCACCATAGCAAGACTCCATGTCTTAAAAAAAGTTCCATGAGGGCACTTTCTTCTGTAATGGTAAAAATTATAGTTGCTGTTTCCTAAGTGTTTTACCATGTCCCCTGCACTGTGTTTCACTCTGTATACACAAAAATCCCATGGGGAAGACATTATTATTATTACTATTATTATTTTTATTATAAGGAGGATATTGAGACTCGTAAGTTCAGGTAACTTACCAGTCATTAAACCACAAAGACAAAGCCCACATTTTTGACCACCACTGCATATAACTGGGCCACGAATACTAAAACAATGAGAAGCAATCAGTCGTCCGAAATTCTTTTGTGGTAACTTTCAGGATATAAATTATAAACACCATGATAGGTGCTCTAGATTTATACTCAGTTATGAACTTTGACAAGCATTACAAAGATAACAAGTATATTAGTCAGCTTTTACTAGGTTATGCTTCAGTAACAACTACCCCCAAATATCAGTAGTTTATAACAAAATAAATTTATATCTTGTTCATGGTACTCATTAGCTGTAGGTCAGCTGAGGCTCTGCTCCAAATATTTTCTCCATTCTGGGATTCATTCTAAGATGGGATAGCTACTTGGCAGAAAACAAAAAAGGAAGTATGACAGGACCTTGTGATAGCCCTTAAAGCTTCTGCTTGGATACAGCATATGTCATTGCTTTCCACAGCCTATTGACCAAAACAAGTCACATGGTCAGAGTTTACATCAGTGGGTTCGAGAGGTATTCTCCTTCCTCGGCGTAGGCAATGCCAGTCACATAGCAATGGATGGGGAAGCAAGCTGTTATTGGGAGAAGAGCAAACAATTGATAATAATAAAAAAAAAACTACCATAGCAAATAGAGATGTAACTCTTGGGGGTCAGATACAATCAACATATCTCACCTATATTAATTGAAAGTATTAATTAATTGAAAGTGACAAATAGCCCATAGCGACTTAAGCAAAAAGGTGGACTTTATTGGCTTGAGTTAATGAAGCTTTAAGTATGACTTGGCCTGGACACTCATGATGTCATCAGGATCTATCAGGACCTAATCTCCCTGTCTCTCTCTCTCTCTCTCTCTCTCTCTCTCTCTCTCTCTCTTTCTCTCTCTCTCTCTCTCTCTCTCACTCTCTCTCTTTCATCTTTCACCTGTACTCTTCTTTATGCTGGCTTCATTCTTAAGAAAGATGATTGTCCACAGCTTATGGCTTATAGTCTTGTACGTCTAAACCAACAAAAAAGAGCATGTGTCTGCTGACAGATTCTGCACAAGTCCCAAGACTGACCCTAATTGGATGAACTTGGGTCACTCGCCCATCTTTAAATCAATCAATATGGCCAGAGGGTTCAGTGTTTTGATTGGCCAGTCCTGGGTCATTCCTGGAGCAGAAAGTGGGTCCTCCTGAACCCAAACACTAAGAGTATTGACTCTTTCTCTAAAATTCCTGAAATAACAAAACCTCTAAAGAGTGCAGTATTAACAAATTTCAAAGCATTCACAATAACTTGCATAAATAGTCAGACAGATTTGAGCGTCTGGCATTTTTACAATACTTACTAAAGCCACCATCTGTAACCATTTTTCTACTCCTATTTTACAAATTTAATTTGTCTTCATTACAAATAATGGTTAATTAGATGATACGGAAGATTAACTTAATGTTTACTGAGTAAAACAGAGGAAATAGTATAAATAAAAATATTTGAAATATAAACTAACCTACTTATTCAGGTCAGACCCAAAAAGGTTTTTGTCCAGGCTGCAAACCATATACTCATAGTCTATTCTTGTGCCATAAAATCACTGCATACTGGTTTGAGTGGTTTTAATTAGGGAAATCTGTTTAGTGAATTACTAGTAAATTTTAGATAAAATGATGGCCCTCAATTTAAATATATATTTCAACGTAGTCAAACAACAATAAAATATATTGTATGTCCATTTCATAGTTGAAATCATCACAGTCCCTTTAGCATCTCTTTCTTCTTGTGTTACTGAAAGTAACACTAGCTGCTGTAATAATATTTACATATATTTACTCACTTAATCCTTACTCACTCAACCTAAGAGTGAGGTGCCATTAATTATGCCCATTTTACAGATGAATAATTCAACTAAGTTCAAGGGGCAGAGGTGGGATTCAAACCCAGCCTGTCGGATGACCCAAATTCGTGCTCTTGTCTACCAAGCTACATTGATTCTGCATAGGAAAAGCCCATCTCTTTCAGAAGAAAGTGAAGCCAACGATAGAGAGTGACACAGCCCAGGGGCAGAGAGAGAGCATAAGCTCCAAGACCAACTCTCCTCCTGCCTTCCCATGGTGTATTTGTGCAGCCAACAGATTGCTCTTTCTTTCTAAAGGGGGTTTGGATTATCTTTCTGTTCTTCATAGAGAAAGTCCTGATTGCTAATGTAAGTAATAGCAGTAACTCACACAGGTTCTTCTGTTCTGGAAATGAAACAGTCTAGTATCACAGTCATTCAAGACAAAAGGCAGGATTGGGAGTTCTTGTCTCTACAGTAAAGAGGAGTGTATTCCCTCAGGAATTGGCATTCAGTGTGTCCTTAGTGGGGTTGTAGTTTATTAGGGAACTTAACACCAACCAACACTATGGGCCTGACTTGAGCTTCATCCTGGATGCTGCGACCAAGTCTATACCTTGCAACCACTTCTGGAATTTTAGAATGCTAAACACATTTTGGGTGCCTAGATTGTTTTCCTTACCTTTCCCTCCCTTTCCCTCCCTTTCCTTCCCCTCTCCTTCCTTTCCTTCCCCTCCACTCCCCTCTCTTCCCCTCCTCTCCCCTCCCTTCCCTTCCTTTCCTTTCCTTTCCTTTCTTTTTTTGGACGGAGTTTCACTCTTGTTGCCCATGCTGGAGTGCAGTGGCGTGATCTTGGATCACTGCAACCTCTGCCTCCCGGGTTCAAGCAATTCTCCTGCCTCAGCCTCCCAAGTAGCTGGGATCACAGGTGCCCGCCACCATGCCCAGCTAACTTTTGTATTTTTAGTAGAGACAGGGTTTCACCATGTTGGTCAGGCTGGTCTCAAACCCCTGACCTCAGGTGATCCACCCACCTTGGCCTCCCAAAGTGCTGGGATTACATGTATGAGCCACCGCACCCAGCTGATTGTTTCTTAGTGCCTATTCTCTGTTGTGACTTTGACTACCACCCCTCTTCCCACATGTGTGAACTCAGCCTTTGGCTTTCATGATTGTAGTTCTATTATCAGTTGCTTACTTGAGGCAGACCACATACGTTTATCTGGGAACACTGACCCTTTCTGGATTCTCTATTTTTAGCCATCAGCAGACATCCCTGATGCCAGCAACTTGCTTAGATTACTAGTCATGCTTTATTAGTATTCATAAAACTTGCTATTTTCTGTCTTACTGAATTTCCTTGCAGAGCTGGATCTCGTGCCCAATCATCTCCTCAGCCTAGTGACCACATCTATTTCTAGACCCTGGACCCACCCAGTATACACCACCTCCCTGTGGTTAACCATTCGTGGTGGAACATGATCACCAATAATTTCATTCAAGAAATACTATCATGGTTGGGTGCTGTGGCTCATGCCTATAATCCCAGTGCTTAGGGAGGCCAAGGTGGGAGAACCACTTGATGCCGAGAGTTCGAGACCAGCCTGGGCAACATATCAAGACCCTGTCTCTACAAATTTCTTTTAAAAAATTAACTGAGTACAGTGGCTTACACCTGTAGTCCCAGGTACTCCAGAGGCTGAGGTGAGAGGATGGCTTGAGGCCAAGAGTTTGAGGCTGTAGCAAGCTATGATTGCACCCCACTACTGCACCCCAGTACTTATCATTACTATTGTACTACTATATGCTTGGGGTCCCAAGATGAACAAGATATGTCATAGGATGACAAAACGTATCATACTCCTTCCTTGATCCATTCAGCAGTTTTTATGAGAACCAATTATGTCCCTCACCCTGGCTAGTGCTGATGATAACCGTAAGCAAGGTAAACACAGCCCCTGCCTTCGTGAAGCTTATAATCGAGAGAGAGATGGAGAGAGAGAGAGAGAATTCTAAAGAAGTAAGCAAATCAAGAGGCCAATTCATTACAGAGGCTGTAAATGCTAGGAGGGCGAATAAATGGAGTGCTGGTGTAGAGAACCAGAGAGATCTACTTGGATACAGTGGTCAAACTTCTGGGACCTTAAAATGTTTCCTTACTTTGTACCTAACCTTCCATTCCAGGAACTAGGAATTTTCAAATAGCAGCCAGACCTGGTCTAAATGCAGCTCACAGTGTGTTTTGTTTGGCTAGCAAAATATATTTTTTTAAATGATTAAGGCAGGAGATGGTTTTCCAGTTTGCCGTAAGCCCCACCACTCCCTATTGCTCCCACGTGGCCTTGATTATACACTTACGTTATCTGCCTTATTGGCTCTTAGCAGCATTTTGAGTTTGTAAGTCTTGACTCAACCTTTCAAATACTTGAGGCAGTAAGATTAGACCTTACACTGTACTCTACTCTCCCCTCTTAATTTGATAAATTGACAAGTTTATTTGGCCAATAGTTCCCTTTTTCTAAATGTTAAACTGGAAATTAAGCTAAAAGTCATGCATGTGAGTGTGAGTTTGTGCTTTTGATTGTGTATAAAGGAATGTGCATTGTTGGCTGCTTGTAAGATAATATTTAAGTTTGCCAGTTCTTCAAGTAACAGCTCTTGCTTTGATAATGACTTCATCCAGTCTCTTAAGAATCCTAATGGAGCACCTGAGACTGAAGATACAGAGATGGTTGCTGAGAATTATCCCTCATCTTTGAAACACTCATACATAAAATATAGAGTATATGTCATGCTTAGAAGACCAACAAGAGGACTAAAATGTAACTGGAAACGTTTACCAGCCATGAAGTGGTAGAGGTCTATTTAGAAAGCTTGCAAATAACTAAGCAGACATACAAGACATTCCAGACATGCTAGAAGGTTAGGTTGCCAAGCATTAGAGTTTGTCAAAAATCATGACCGCCTAAATGGAGCACTAAGGGTAATTATAGTTGTGCCTTCACTTTATGAAACTCTGAAATTACAAATCAGGTAAATTAGGGATAAGTGGTTCCCTGACAAAATGGTTTCTTCCAGGGTCGCAGAAGGGCAGGCTATGAATTTATGCACATAGCAAGGTCCCTCAATTCCTCCAAGAATGTATATTTGTATCAGATATATCTCATGCCTTCTTCCAGAAGGATTTACAAACAGTCTGTAATGATCCACAAAATACAATCAGATGATGTAAACTAAAGCATGTATTTTTTCTCAAATCAAAGAGACCTGCTCAGGTTAGAATGCTGGTTTTCTGTTTAGCTAATAATTTTACTGTGTAAAGGGGACTAACACTTATTGAGCAAGCTACTGGCTGCCAGGAATTATTAGATGTTCATAACCCTTTAAAGAGGGATCGCTGGCCCTTGTTCACCAGTGAGAAACAGGCCCTCAGAGGTGAAGTGAGCTGCCAAGCTCACATGGGAGAAGTGCCAAAATCAGGATTCAAATGCAGGTCTTGCAAACTTTCACTCTGCATGTGGTCATACCACATGCTCTGCCGCCTCCCCAAGCATGCAAGATATAGAAAACAGAGATGAGAGGGAATCTTGATTGCCAGGTTCAGCTTCCTGCCAGGGCAGGATGTAATTGCAAGGCTAAGACTAGAGCCTATGATAAGCTGATACTAAACTTGCTCTTGGCCGACTGTCTTGGTACTTGCGGGGGTACGGCGGAGGAGGGGGAAGAGGAGGCTTAGGTATAATCTCTGATCTCCGGTTGTTTGAGCATGACAACACTTCCTGAATGATGGTCCTAAATAATTTAGTGGTCTTTGAGATATGTTACTACTGGTCTTCAAATGTTCATACCTGGAGACATGGTTGCAGTGGTGTGAGTTGCTTTGCTGTGTCTGAACTTGGTCTTCATTCCTCTTGTGAATCTAGCTGGAGGCTTGCATATCAGCAAGTTATTTGGATGTGATGTCTCTCATGGTGTAACAGGTAAATTGTGAAAGCCTTTTGACATTTTATTGATTGACTGTGTGGTGCTTAGGTTAAAAAGGAAGCCAGCATCATTTGATTGGTTTTGTATTTGTAACTTTAACCCTGTCTCTTTTCTTCTTTTTCTCTCTTTTTGTTCTTTTTGCAGAAGAGAAGTTCAGGAAATAGAATAAAATATGTGCTTTTATGTAAAGTTTTCTTTAATTGCAAATAGGTGTCATTTTCTTTGTGTTGATTCTCTCACTAGCTCTTTTATCCAGAAGAAGATTAGGTGAGGAAATGGTTTTGCTTTTTTATTTTAAAACATTTTCTTCTCATCTTATCTTTTTCTTTCTTTTTTCCTTTCTCTTCCTTCCTTCCGTCTTTCAATGCTGAAGGGCTAGATGCTTTGCAGTTCTTCTCATAGAGTCAGCTATAAATTTCAGGACAAACTCCACAATAAGCTATGCTTCATTCTCTTCTTCATTTTCCTGGAGTGATCTTCATTTTGTCTGAGTAATCGCTGCATGGCTTCTCGACCTATTGTTTCTATTGTTTGAACTCCCCTGGGACAGACTCCGCTTTGATTTTCCTTGCATTGGAAGTGCAAGTTAGTCTTTGTTGCTTTTCTCTCTTTCCTCCTATTGATCTTTCCTGAGACTAGTTTTACTGAAACAATTTTCATTGAGCTGGTGCTGCACCTTTAGGTGAAGAGAAATTTATTTTTCTGGAATCAGTCTCTCGGGGAGAGGTTTTTAGCATCAAAAAATTGTTGTTAAGGAAATTCTGGCTCCTTCTTGGAGGAGGTGGGGATGAATGAGGGTGGGGTTTTGGAGAGGGAAAAGGCTTCATTCTTTTTCATCCTATTACTAGGGCAGAAGCAAGCAACCTTATCGTGTGCTTCATTCACCCTAAAGGCATCGGCCAACGTCTCTTATTATAGGCCTGGTGTGGTGGGGACAGCTGTGACAGAGCTCCCGTCCTCAGGGAACATATGATCTAGTGAGGAAGATACACAGTAAATCCTTTAGCAAGCAAGCAAACAAATACAAATGGGAATATGGAAACCAAGACAGAAGCTACTGTTAGGTACTTGCCATGACACAAATACAGTGAGAGGTAGGTGGTGACTGTGGGCTGCTGAAGCTATGGAAGTCTAAGACCTCTCTTTTGAGTTGAACCTCAGTGGTGAGAAGGAGGCAGTCCTGCAGAGGCAAGGGAGAGAGGTTTCAAGTAGAAGGAAGCACCATTGCAAACGCCTGCAATAGGAACAAGCCTGGCATGTTTGAGAGACAGGAACTTGAAGCTGTTTTGGAAGATAAGAGAAGCAAGTTTGTGGTAGAAAGAATCAAGGCATTCATGACAAAAAGAAGAACTGATGCAAAGATCTTAAAGAAAAGAGACTAACAAGATTAAGAGACCCTTTCTGGCTAGTGCTGAAAACTTCATGTAGCACATGATAGATGAAACTTTTTAAGCTTTCATTGGGATATAATTTATAAACCATCATCTCATTTAAAATGTTTGTTCATGTTTAAAATACACAATTCAGTGGCTTTTAGTGTAATCATATTAGGGCAACCAGCACCATAATCTTACTTTGGAATATTTTCATCATCCCAAAAAGAAACCCCATACCCATTGGCAGTTACTTCCCATCCTCCCAGCTACCCCAGCCCTAGACAGCCATTCGTCCACGTTCTATCTCCCTGGATTGCCTATTCTGGACATTTCATATATGTGGGATCATAAGATTGTGGTTTTTCTGACTGGCTCATAATAATGTGTTTGAGGTTCAACCCTGTTGTAGCTCTATCAGTATTTTATTACTTTTCATTACTGAATAGTATTCTATTGTGTGGATAAATCACATTTTATTTACCCATTCATCAGTTGATGAATATTAGGCTTGTTCTCATTTTTTGGCTCTTGTGAAAAATGCTTCTGTGAACATCTGTGTGCATATCTTGGGATGGACATATTTTTATTTCTCTCCAGTGGATACCTAGGAATAGAATTCTGGGCTATATGGCAACACTATGTTTATTTTTTGAGGAACTGCTAGACTTTTCCAAAGTGGCTGCACCATTTTACATATACACCAGCAGTGTGTGAAGGTTCTTGTTTCTTTCCACCTCTTTGCCAACATTTATTATCTGTCTTTTTTATTATAGCCATTCTAGTGGGTATAAAGTAGCAACTCACTCTGGTTTTGATTTGCATTTCCCTAATGAATAATGAGACTGAGCATCTTTTCATGTACCTACTACTCATTTATATATTTTCTTTGGAGAAATGCCTATTCAAATCCTTTGCCCATTTTTAGATTGGCTCATTTATATATGTATACATTTTATATACATATATCTCATTTATATATGTATACATTTTATATACATATATCTCATTTATATATGTATACATTTTATATACATATATCTCATTTATATATGTATACATTTTATATACATATATCTCATTTATATATTTTCTTTGGAGAAATGTCTATCATATTTTTTACCCATTTTTAGATTGATTTGTCATCGTATTAAGATATAAGAGTTCTTTATATATTCTGGATATAAGTTTCTTTTTAGATATATGATTTGCAAATATTTCTCCCAGACAGTGGATTGTCTTTTCACATTCTTGATAGTGTCCTTGGAAGCACAAAATTTTAAAAAATTTCAATGATGTCCAATGTATCACCCTTCTCTTTTACTGCTTGTGCTGGGTGTCACATCTAAGGAATTGTTGCCTAACCCGAGGTCACAAATATTTACTACTGTCTTTTCTTTGAAGAGTTTTATATCTTAAACTTTTTTTTTTTTTTTTTTTTTTTTTAGATGGAGTCTCGCTCTGTCACCCAGGCTGGAGTGCAGTGGTGTGATCTCGGCTCACTGCAACCTCTGCCTTCTGGGTTCGAGTGATTCTCTTGCCTCAGCCTCCTGAGTAGCTGGGATTACAGGCACCCGCCACCATGCCCAGCTAATTTTTAGTGGAGATGGGGTTTCACTGCTTTGGCCAGGCTGGTCTCGAACTCCTGACCTCATAATCTACCCGCCTTAGCCTCCCAAAGTGCTGGGATTACAAGTGTGAACCACCGTGCCAGGCCTATACCTTAAACTTTTATAGCTAGGTCTATGCCTTTAGTTGTATTTTCTATATGATATGAAGTAGGGGTCCCATTTTATTATTTTTCATGTGGCTATCCAGTTGTCTCAGCATGATTTGTTGAAAAGACTATGCTTTCCCTATTGAATTGACTTGGCACCTTTGAAGAAAATCAGTTGACCATAGAAGTTAGAGTTTATCTCTGGATTCTGAGGTGGGTGCATTTTTAATTGGTGCCATCTTTCTAACATGATGTGAAGCCTTCACAGAGCCAAGCTCTGGTTGCATGGTAAAGCAGCTGATAGCTGTCAGGTGAATTTTGAATTGGAGGGCCTTCAATTTCTCTGGCTATAAAATGAATTTTTGGACAAAAGCTCTAGTGTTGTTTACTTATAGGACTGGAAAGAGCCTTCAGGCAATTCTCAGATCCTTAACAGGGCTCCATTTTAACCACTCTTACAAGGCAATATCTACTCCAAAGCTCCTTTCTCTTTCTTTTTCTCTTTCTCTTTTTTCTTCCTTTTTTCTTTTTTTCTCTTTCTTTCTTTTCTTTCTTTCTTTTGTTCTTTCTTTCTTTCTCTTTCTTTTTCTTTCCCTTTTCCTCTTAAAACGTAATCTGGTTGAAGAGATGAAATTTTACAATGGACACATTTAAATTAGGTGATACATACAATAATACAAATAAAATAGAATGCATTTTTATTTGAGATCAATCACAAATTCAAGGGTAGTGATTTCTCAATTTAGCAAGGTTTTTGAAGTAAGCTGTAAGAAACATAGATACTGGGTATTCATCTTCCCAGGTTCATGCTTCCTCTCTCCGTGAATCCTCTCCCTTGAGCTTTATCTGTGGGCCATCCTCATGTGGCTAGCACTCCAACTGCCTCAGCATCCCTGGACAGCCTCCTAAATTCAGGTTCCAAAAGTCTTCCTGGATATTTGCACTAGGATGCCTGCAAATACCAAAGGCCCCAAACAGAAGAGTGATCTTTGACATCTTCTAAGAGGAAGCAGATTATGAGTCCTGTGGATTTATCCATTGCCATGGATCTGTCTCATTCACTAGCTTTCCATTCCTCCTGCCTCCACCAGTCCTCCTAAGATAGTGGAGTCTCCTGACCAGTCTCTTCTCCTGTAGTCTCTTTCTCTTCCAGATAGGCTGGGTTAGTTTTATTGGAAAACCCAATCTCTAGACCCCCAAATCTTCCTTGCCTATGAAATAAAATTCAAATTTCTTAGCTAATATTTAAGATCCTTATGTATCTGATCCTTCATTTGCTTTACACGCCTTATCTCTAACTTTCTCAGTGTCATCTAAAGGAACAAAGAAAGCTTTTGAAGATTTAAAGTTAGTTTTATTCAGAAGCCTTACTGGGGACTATAGACTCAGGCCTATAGTCTGGGATCAGCCATTTAAAGAGGTTCTATGAGACTGCTCCAGCACAGTATTTCAGCCCAGTGTGCTCAAGTACAGGTGGTGGAGATTCAGTACATGCAAAATCACATCAGATTTGTTCAGAAATCACATCAAGGTTTGGGTGTAAGAGTATATCTGGTTATAGATTACAGAGGCATAATCACTGACCCTGTCAGACGTTATCTTAAGTGTAGAGAAAGGCAAGGTCTAGGGTAATTTATCTTTTAAGGAATATAGTGACTCAAACAAGAGACCTTGGGGGCAGGGGCATGTTTTGTCTTTTATTTATCCTGTTTTGTCTTTTCAAAGCATCTTTCTGGAGAGTTGCATATCTTCACAGAGTCAGAGGCTTTGTGAAATTATTCTGGCAAGCAGAAATGAGCAAACATTGCTTCTTAACATTTGCTACTTTGCCTCACATCAGTGTATGGGTTTTCTCTTCTAACCAAACTAATCTCTTCAGTGTTTGTTCAACATGCCTTGAGCCTTCTTGCTTTGGGGCTTCTTTTATGCTTTCCTCCCCATGTAGTATGTCTGCCACTGTCTCTCCCTTCTCCTTATAAACATTTTCCCCCCTTTTCTTTCCAAGATTCAATGTAAATCCCCTTCTGCTCACTCCAGAGTGAAGTTATAGGTTCAATTCCCAACACTTAATGGCTTAGTTACCTGGCAGAGATTCAAACCAGCAATCCACAGGCCAAATCTAACTTACAAATATGTTTTCTTTTGTCCATATAGTGTTTTATAAAAAATGTCTTTGGGAGCTAAGCTATAAGGACGCAAAGGCATAAGAAAGATACGATGGACTTTGGGGACTTGCAGGGAGGAGTGGGAGAGGGGCGAGGGATAAAAGACCACAAATATGGTGTGGTGTATACTGCTCGGTTGATGCATACACCAAAATCTCACAGATCACTAAAGAACTTACTCATGTAACCAAAAACCACCTTTACCCCAACAACTTACGGAAAATAATAAAAATAAATGTTTTGAATTAGTTGGCAACAGTTAGAAACCTGATGTTTCATATTAAAAACAACAATAACCAGACTTCCAGCCAACTTGGGAAAAATTCAAAGCCAGGCTATTTATGCCCAACATGGCAACTACATGCAATTGCTCTATTGAACTGCCCCATGTAGCCAATATATGTGTATGTGCACCACCACTATGCATTGTATTCTAGAATGCATTGTATCTCAATCTAGAATCATCTGTAATTATAATATTCTAGAATACATATATCTGCATGTATTGGTGTTACAGAGATGCTAAATACATAATAGTGATGGCAGCGATGGGCCTTCTGGTGTGGCTGCTGCCATCACACTGGCCACTGCAGGGAGGGCACAGGGAGGTGGACAGCCCCACACCTGCAGCCCACTGCCTTGGGGGCCACCATGATGGGGCTGGGCTGCGTCGCACCAGGTGAAGGGGAGCTCTGGGTCACCCCAAGCACCAGGGCCAAAGGGGAGCTTGCAGCAACATTGCCCCTGCCCTGGATGCTGGTCCAGGCCCAGCAAGGACCTGGATCCCCAACCCCAGGCTGTGAGGGGGCTGGGCCAGGTGCCATGCTCCATGGAGCCAGCGGGAACCAGGGACAAGCGGGAGCCCTACCCCTTCCAAGTTGGTGGGGTGGGAGCTCCCCAGTTGCATCTGCAGCTGCCCAAGCTGTGGCTGCAACCCAGGCACCCCTTGCTTCTGGGAGCTGAGAGTAGGCAGGAACGCTGTTCTCCTGAGCAGGGCTGCAGCCACCCAAGTCCTGGGTGCGGATCTGGGCCTCCTGCTTCACAAAGTAGGCAGGAGCCCCCCACCCTGGTGCAGCTCCAGCTGTGCAAGCTGGGGCTGTAGATCCAGGCATCCCTGCACTCTTAGGGGGCCTCAAAGGCCCCACTTGCCCTTGCAGGCTCTGCGGTGCCTGTTCCAGCTGCCTGGCCTCCCCCGACTCCTGGCTCCCACTCCAATCTCTGAGTGGAGTTGGGGCCAAGCCCAGCCACTGTCACAGCCCAGCCGGGTGTGTGCACCCACAGAGCAGTGCTGACATGCCAGCCCCCTGCTGCTCTGGCCCCTCAGGACTTTGGTAATAGAGGAGCAGGGGAGGGGAAGTTGAGGGGGGTTGAGGACAGCTGGGAGCTGGCCTGCAGGTGCACCTTGGTGCCAGCAGCCTGGGTGCCATGGATGGTCACGGGAGGCAGAAAGCCTCCTGGGCAGAAGGTGGGGGGGCCCAGAGAAGCCCCACCTTCAGGCTGGGGCAGACCTGAAGCCTGGGAACTGAGCTGTCAGCCCTGCCTACTGGAGGGAGAACTCATGGTGCTTTTTCCTGGGCCTGCCCATGGCTGCCCATGGACGAGTTAGCACATACTTCCCCTCCTCTGAGGCCCATAAAAGCCTCAGGTTCAGCCAGAGCAGGGCAGAGGTCAGAGAGGATGGAGAGATGATGAGAGGACCAGCTGCAGAGAGGAGTTATCCTCTCTGCTGATAACTGGAGATGACTGGACAACCAGCAGCAGAGAGGAGCTATCCTCTCTGCTAAGAGCTTCAGGGACCTGCAGAGAGTCAGGAACACCAGCTGTAGAAAGTAGCAACCCTCTCCAGGGACTCCTCTCTGCTGAGAGCTGAACACTTGATGGGATGACCTGCCTACAGATAGGAGCTAATCACTGCGGGTCTCCTCTGAGCTATTCTAACACTTAATAAATCTCCTCTTCATCTTGTTTACCCTCCTTTTGTCTGTGTACCTCAGTCTTCCTGGACACAGGACAAGAACTCGAGCAAAGGCCACAGAGGTTTCTGGCCAGAAAATCAACACCCCAAAGATCTTGTAACAATAGCACCTGGTACAAATATATAATAGCACCTGGTAGAATTCTAGAATGCATTGTGTCTTGTAACCAGGCCTCCACCTTCCCCATCCAGCCCCTGTGGGAATCTGACCGGGCAGTCAATCTTACAGAGGCTTATGACCACTTCTTTGTCTTGAACTGTTAAATCATTCTTCTGTTGCTCTTCACTCCTTGTATTTGTAATCTACTAAATAAATGCACTAAGATTATTTTAACCTCCCATCCCTTGCTCAAAACATCCTACGCCTTGCTCAAAAAGCTTTGAGGTAATTTTTTAAAGACCTGTTCATAAAAAAGAAGAGAAATTCAAATAAAGAAGCAAGACCAAAGACTCAGGAGAATGTAATAAATGCAGTTGCTGTGATTTTTTGTTTAAAGGGGAAAGCAAGCTAAGATGTATTTTATTTCAGGGAGAACAAAATCGGCAAGCTGAACCGACAAAAACCTCACTGAGCAGGGTTCTGGTTTCATTATTTATTTGTTGAATGTGACTGGTTTTTATTTTTAAGTGACATTTTCTTTCAAATAAAATAATTTGGGGCTTTTGATAAGGTCATCGTAATGGAAATTAAGTCTTCCATTTTATTTCTGTTGATTTTAAAAATAACTATAAGGGTCCACAGTTGGTTAACATTTATTGCCTTTTATTTTTAGAAGTTGGCGAAGAGATCCGTAACAATTTTTCCACCAGCAGTTTCCAGGTTTTCTGTGTCTTCTCCTCATGAAGTTTCCCAGCATGAATTGTAGGGAAATGTCCCTTTGGTGACCATTTCCCAATATGGTCCCATATTTTCCAGTGTTTCATCATTAATATGAGGTGAGGCAGTTCTACAATCCATTTTAAGCTTTTCATTAGTCAAATCCTGAACCTTGGCATACTTTCTATCACAGACTCCAAAATATCTTCTTAAACTAAAGATTTTCAGAGGAAACCTCTATGGGATTCTAAATCATTATAATCTTTATTATCATCAGTGTAAGCACTTCATAAGGGAAAATACAATCTTGGACTGAAGGAAAGAAGCAGCTCTTAAGATTTATTTTAAAATCCAAGAATCTCTGGCAAAGGCCTTAGAAGCCACAGACACTCTTCTCACCTAAAATATTTGACTGTTATTCTCACACTGACATGGGTTGGGAACATGGAGTCTTCCTTTTGACCCATGGACCTAGAAACATACATACTTAGTAACTAAGAGTACTTTTGGAACATCTGGTACCACCACTGTTGATATTTTTCTTTCAATTTACTGCCTTTTTTGAACTACAAAAAAAATTTTAGGAAGCAGCTTTACATGCCTACTCTCAAAGGAAGACCGATATTCCTAGCCTAAAATTGAACATTATTGGGATATTCAATGCAATGAAACACACCAATGTTACTCAGTTCTATCTAGGTCCTCCTGCCTAGCCGAGTGTCTGCTCTTTCTGTACAACAGGGGGTAGAATTGGTGTTAGAGAAGTAATAAATATGTAAAAGTGCAAAACACTGTCACATATTAATTCAAAGTGGTTAAAAGCAAACCAAAAAAGAGTAACAGTTTACCCTGGGATGCGATGTTATTTAGGCACCCCTATGGGGGTCACCCGAGGTCATTTCAGGCAGTGGCACAAGCCCCATACTTTTGACAGTCCCTGGACGAAAGATGTACTTCCTGCCCCCTCTAATATATTTTAGGAACAGTTGGTGAAAGATTTGATTCTTCAGTTAAAAGGAAATTGGCATCAGTAAGCTTCTAGAAAAATCTCCACTGGTTGAAGTGTTCACATGAAACATGCTCTTTTAAGGAAGATGTTAGAGCATTGCGCAGGTCAGACTGCTGTCATTTTCCTGTCTCCTTCATTTTTCTCCCCATTCCCCCTCTCTCTTTTCTTCCTCCTTTCCCTTTTTCTCCTCTTTCTCACTTCTTGTTAGACATCTTCACAAAACAGTCACCTGTGGGAGTGTGGTTTTGATCATTAAGTGTGGGAGCAGACACACTTCAGAGGTCTCCAGGGCATGGCTCGTAATTCCCAACTTAGTTTACTAAGTTCTGTGATATTCTTAGTTAGGGCCACAGAGAAGCTCTCAGCAACAATGCCTGTTTAGGGTTATTTTTTAAATACTCTATTGCACTACAGCTTTTACCCCCACCCTACTCCCTACCCCTTAAAGAAAGCTAGAGTCTAAGGAATTAGATTGGGGCATTGAACTACAGGTCTGCAGGAAAACTTTTGCATGAGCAAAGCTAATGAATGTGTGCTCAGTGATTTCTGAAACCCAGGTGATGATTTTTGTCCCCAAACAGAATTTCAGCTTTTGAAAGAATTTGTGTGCTTTGTTTATTCAATTAGTTGCAGCTTTAGCATCATTTTAAAGAAGGAACTTGCATTAAAAAAGAAAAAAAGGATCTAGTCCACATTTGTGGGATTTTCTGCTTGGCTCTACCTGTGTCTCCTTCTTTTGAGAATGGCTCTGTTAAACCTTATTTCGCTGGTTGCTGTAGGAGCCACTGTTTTATACTCTAGTACCCTCTTTTCTGCTGACTGCTAGTTTATCCAGAGGTGAGTATCTGACTCCAACAAGGTCAACTGAAGCCCTTCTCTGGGATCAGATTCTTGAATGTGGGGCCCTAAAGATTGAGATTTTCATTCTCCAGGGACTGAAGTTGTGAAAGGTGAAGCTTGAGAGTTGCCATGGCCAAGTTTTCCTCCTTATAGGAAAAGTCAGTGAGCCAGAAATTGAAGTTGACAGGCAGAAAGAGTTAAGTGTCTTGGCTGCATTTGAGCCCCTGAGTACCTCCTTTCCAAGACCTGCTTCCTCCCTGCCATTCTTACTGCCTAACTGTTACGTGAAATATCAAAATAGCCTCTCTAAATTTCCCTTTTTTACTGAGGGATTTTCATACTGGGGTTCATTCATCTATAACCAAAAAAGTCCTGATAGGTAACAAATGATCATTATATGATTGAGTCTCATTCAGTAACCAACACTATCATGAGCAAAGAAAAAATATAAGAGGAGTGTGCCAAGATGGCCGAATAGGAACAGCTCCGGTCTACAGCTCCCAGCGTGAGCGACACAGAAGACAGGTGATTTCTGCATTTCCATCTGAGGTACCAGGTTCATCTCACTAGGGAGTGCCAGACAGTGGGCGCAGGACAGTGGGTGCAGCACACCGTGCGCAAGCTGAAGCAGGGCGAGGCATTACCTCACTCGGGAAGTGCAAGGGATCAGGGAGTTCCCTTTCCTAGTCAAAGAAAGGGGTGACAGACAGCACCTGGAAAATCAGGTCACTCCTACCCTAACACTGGGCTTTTCCGACGGGCTTAAAAAACGGCGCACCAGGAGATTATATCCCGCACATGGCTCGGAGGGTCCTAAGCCCACGGAGTCTCGCTGATTGCTAGCACAGCAGTCTGAGATCAAACTGCAAGGCGGCAGAGAGGCTGGGGGAGGGGCGCCCGCCATTGCCCAGGCTTGCTTAGGTAAACAAATAAGCCAGGAAGCTCGAACTGGGTGGAGCCCACCACAGCTCAAGGAGGTCTGCCTGCCTCTGTAGGCTCCACCTCTGGGGGCAGGGCAGAGACAAACAAAAAGACAGCAGTAACCTCTGCAGACTTAAATGTCCCTGTCTGACAGCTTTGAAGAGAGCAGTGGTTCTCCCAGCACGCAGCTGGAGATCTGAGAACGGGCAGACTGCCTCCTCAAGTGGGTCCCTGACCCCTGACCCCTGAGCAGCCTAACTGGGAGGCGCCTCCCAGTAGGGGCAGACTGACACCTCACACGGCCGGGTATTCCTCTGAGACAAAACTTCCAGAGGAACGATCAGACAGCAGCTTTCACGGTTCACGAAAATCCGCTGTTCTGCAGCCACCACTGCGGATACCCAGGCAAACAGCGTCCGGAGTGGACCTCTGGCAAACTCCAACAGACTGGCAGCTGAGGGTCCTGTCTGTTAGAAGGAAAACTAACAAACAGAAAGGACATCCACACCAAAAACCCATCTGAACATCACCATCTTCAAAGACCAAAAGTAGATAAAACCACAAAGATGGGGAAAAAACAGAGCAGAAAAACTGGAAACTCTAAAAAGCAGAGCGCCTCTCCTCCTCCAAAGGAATGCAGTTCCTCACCAGCAATGGAACAAAGCTGGATGGAGAATGACTTTGACAAGTTGAGAGAAGAAGGCTTCAGACGATCAAACTACTCCGAGCTACAGGAGGAAATTCAAACCAAAGGCAAAGAAGTTAAAAACTTTGAAAAAAATTTAGACGAATGTATAACTAGAATAACCAATACAGAGAAGTGCTTAAAGGAGCTGATGGACCTGAAAGCCAAGGCTCGAGAACTACTTGAAGAATGCAGAAGCCTCAGGAGCAGATGCAATCAACTGGAAGAAAGGGTATCAGTGATGGAAGATGAAATGAATGAAATGAAGCGAGAAGGGAAGTTTAGAGAAAAAAGAATAAAAAGAAACGAACAAAGCCTCCAAGAAATATGGGACTATGTGAAAAGACCAAATCTACGTCAGATTGCTGTACCTGAAAGTAACGGGGTGAATGGAACCAAGTTGGAAAACAATCTGCAAGATATTATCCAGGAGAACTTCCCCAATCTAGCAAGGCAGGCCAACATTCAGATTCAGGAAATACAGAGAACACCACAAAAATACTCTTTGAGAAGAGCAACTCCAAGACACATAATTGTCAGAGTCACCAAAGTTGAAATGAAGGAAAAAATGTTAAGGGCAGCCAGAGAGAAAGGTTGGGTTACCCACAAAGGGAAGCCCATCAGACTAATAGGGGATCTCTTGGCAGAAACTCTACAAGCCAGAAGAGAGTGGGGGCCAATATTCAACATTATTAAAGAAAAGAATTTTCAACCCAGAATTTCATATCTAGCCAAACTAAGCTTCATAAGTGAAGGAGAAATAAAATCCTTTACAGACAAGCAAATGCTGAGAGATTTTGTCACCACCAGGCCTGCCCTAAAAGAGCTCCTGAAGGAAACACTAAACATGGAAAGGAACAACCGGTACCAGCCACTGCAAAATCATGCCAAATTGTAAAGACCATCGAGGCTAGGAAGAAACTGCATCAACTAACGAACAAAATAACCAGCTAACATCATAATGACAGGATCAAATTCACACATAACAATATTAACCTTAAATGTAAATGGACTAAATGCTCCAATTAAAAGACCCAGACTGGCAAATTGGATAAAGAGTCAAGACCCATCAGTGTGCTGTATTCAGGAAACCCATCTCATGTGCAGAGACACACATAGGCTCAAAATAAAAGGATGGAGGAAGATCTACCAAGCAAATGGAAAACAAAAAAAAGGCAGGGGTTGCAATCCTAGTCTCTGATAAAACAGACTTTAAACCAACAAAGATCAAAAGAGACAAAGAAGGCCATTACATAATGGTAAAGGGATCAATTCAACAAGAAGAGCTAACTATCCTAAATATATATGCACCCAATACAGGAGCACCCAGATTCATAAAGCAAGTCCTGAGTGACCAACAAAGAGACTTAGACTCCCACACAATAATAATGGGAGACTTTAACACCCCACTGTCAACTTTAGACAGATCAACGAGACAGAAAGTTAACAAGGATACCCAGGAATTGAACTCAGCTCTGCACCAAGCAGACCTAATAGACATCTACCGAACTCTCCACCCCAAATCAACAGAATATACACTTTTTTCAGCACCACACCACACCTATTCCTAAATTGACCACATAGTTGGAAGTAAAGCTCTCCTCAGCAAATGTGAAAGAACAGAAATTATAACAAACTGTCTCTCAGACCACAGTGCAATCAAACTAGAACTCAGGATTAAGAAACTCACTCAAAACCGCTCAACTACATGGAAACTGAACAACCTGCTCCTGAATGACTACTGGGTACCTAACGAAATGAAGGCAGAAATAAAGATGTTATTTGAAACCAATGAGAACAAAGACACAACATACCAGAATCTCTGGGACACATTCAAAGCAGTGTGTAGAGGGAAATTCATAGCACTAAATGCCCACAAGAGAAAGCAGGAAAGATCCAAAATTGACACTCTAACATCACAATTAAAAGAACTAGAAAAGCAAGAGAAAACACATTCAAAAGCTAGCAGAAGGCAAGAAATAACTAAAATCAGAGCAGAACTGAAGGAAATAGAGACACAAAAAACCCTTCAAAAAATCAATAAATCCAGGAGCTGGTTTTTTGAAAGGATCAACAGAATTGATAGACTGCTAGCAAGACTAATAAAGAAGAAAAGAGAGAAGAATCAAATAGATGCAATAAAAAATGATAAAGGGGATATCACCACTGATCCCTCAGAAATACAAACTACCATCAGAGAATACTACAAACACCTCTACGCAAATAAACTAGAAAATCTAGAAGAAATGGATAAATTCCTGGACACATACACCCTCCCAAGACTAAACCAGGAAGAAGTTGAATCTCTGAATAGACCAATAACAGGCTCTGAAATTGTGGCAATAATCAATAGCTTACCAACCAAAAAGAGTCCAGGACCAGAGGGATTCACAGCCGAATTCTAACAGAGGTACAAGGAGGAACTGGTACCATTCCTTCTGAAACTATTCCAATCAACAGAAAAAGAGGGAATCCTCCCTAACTCATTTTATGAGGCCAGCATCATCCTGATACCAAAGCCTGGCAGAGACATAACCAAAAAAGAGAATTTTAGACCAATATCCTTGATGAACATTGATGCAAAAATCCTCAATAAAATACTGGCAAACCAAATCTAGCAGCACATCAAAAAGCTTATCCACCATGATCAAGTGGGCTTCATCCCTGGGATGCAAGGCTGGTTCAATATATGCAAATCAATAAACGTAATCCAGCATATAAACAGAACCAAAGACAAAAACCACATGCTTATCTCAATAGATGCAGAAAAGGCCTTTGACAAAATTCAACAACCCTTCATGCTAAAAACTCTCAGTAAATTAGGTATTGATGGGACGTATCTCAAATTATAAGAGCTATCTATGACAAACCCACAGCCAATATCATACTGAATGGGCAAAAACTGGAAGCATTCCCTTTGAAAACTGGCACAAGACAGGGATGCCCTCTCTCACCACTCCTATTCAACATAGTGTTGGAAGTTCTGGCCAGAGAAATCAGGCAGGAGAAGGAAATAAAGGGTATTCAATTAGGAAAAGAGGAAGTCAAATTGTCCCTGTTTGCAGATGACATGATTGTGTATCTAGAAAACCCCATCGTCTCAGCCCAAAATCTCCTTAAGCTGGTAAGCAACCTCAGCAAAGTCTCAGGATACAAAATCAATGTACAAAAATCACAAGCATTCTTACACACCAAAAACAGACAAACAGAGAGCCAAATCATGAGTGAACTCCCATTCACAATTGCTTCAAAGAGAATAAAATATCTAGGAATCCAACTTACAAGGGATGTGAAGGACCTCTTCAAGGAGAACTACAAACCACTGCTCAGTGAAATAAAAGAGGATACAAAGAAATGGAAGAACATTCCATGCTTATGGGTAGGAAGAATCAATATCGTGAAAATAGCCATACTGCCCAAGGTAATTTATAGATTCAAAGCCATCCCCATCAAGCTACCAATGACTTTCTTCACAGAATTGGAAAAAACTACTTTAAAGTTCATATGGAACCAAAAAAGAGCCCTCATTGCCAAGTCAATCCTAAGCCAAAAGAACACAGCTGGAGGCATCACGCTACCTGACTTCAAACTATACTACAAGGCTAGAGTAACCAAAACAGCAGGGTACTGGTACCAAAACAGAGATATAGATCAATGGAACAGAACAGAGCCCTCAGAAATAATGCCACATATCTACAACTATCTGATCTTTGACAAACCTGACAAAAACAAGCAATGGGGAAAGGATTCCTTATTTAATAAATGGTGCTGGGAAAACTGGCTAGCCATATGTAGAAAGCTGAAACTGGATCCCTTGCTTACACCTTATAAAAAAATTAATTCAAGATGGAATAAAGACTTAAACGTTAGACCTAAAACCATAAAAACCCTAGAAGAAAACCTAGGCATTACCATTAAGGACATAGGCATGGGCAAGGACTTCATGTCTAAAACACCAAAGGCAATGGCAACAAAAGCCAAAATTGACAAATGGGATCTAATTAAACTAAAGAGCTTCTGCACAGCAAAAGAAACTACCATCAGAGTGAACAGGCAACCTACAAAATGGGAGAAAATTTTCACAACCTACTCATCTGACAAAGGGCTAATATCCAGAATCTACAATGAACTCAAACAAATTTACAAGAAAAAAACAACCCCATCAAAAAGTGGGTGAAGGACATGAACAGACAGTTCTCAAAAGAAGACATTTATGCAGCCAAAAAAACATATGAAAAAATGCTCATCATCACTGGCCATCAGAGAAATGCAAATCAAAACCACAATGAAATACCATCTCACACCAGTTAGAATGGCAATCATTAAAAAGTCAGGAAACAACAGGTGCTGGAGAGGATGTGGAGAAATAGGAACAGTTTTACACTGTTGGTGGGAATGTAAACTAGTTCAACCATTGTGGAAGTCGGTGTGGCGATTCCCAGGGATCTAGAACTAGAAATACCATTTGACCCAGCCATCCCATTACTGGGTATATACCCAAAGGATTATAAATCATGCTTCTATAAAGACACATGCACACGTATGTTTATTGCGGCTCTATTCACAATAGCAAAGACTTGGAACCAACCCAAATGTCCAACAATGATAGACTGGATTAAGAAAATATGGCACATATACACCATGGAATACTATGCAGCCATAAAAAATGATGAGTTCATGTCGTTTGTAGGGACATGGATGAAATTGGAAATCATCATTCTCAGTAAACTATCGTAAGAACAAAAAACCAAACACCACATATTCTCACTCATAGGTGGGAATTGAACAGTGAGAACACATGGACACCGGAAGGGGAACGTTACACTCTGGGGACTGTTGTGGGGTGGGGGGAAGGGGGAGGGATAGCATTAGGAGATATACCTAATGCTAAATGACGAGTTAATGGGTGCAGCACAGCAGCATGGCACACGTATACCTATGTAACTAACCTGCACATTTCGCACATGTACCCTAAAACTTAAAGTATAATAATAATAAAAGAAAAAAAAGAAAAAGAAAAAATAGAAACACAGGTCAGGAAATTAGCTTATGACACCTCAGACTGTGATCCTCACAACAGCACTAGTGAGGTAAGTAATAACCTGGCCCTGTTTTGTAGATTAAGAACTGTGGCCCTAAGAGGTAAGGGCACACACCCGAGGTCACGTTGCTATGTATTGTGTAATTTGGG
Source organism: Homo sapiens (assembly GCF_000001405.40). Lineage (NCBI taxonomy): Eukaryota > Metazoa > Chordata > Mammalia > Primates > Hominidae > Homo > Homo sapiens. The sequence continues at coordinate 69,475,017 of NC_000003.12, read as the reverse complement.
AACCAACAGCAAGACATTTCCTTTTTCCCTCAAACACATTCTTTTGGTCTAAGCTTGAAAGCCGCTTCTTCCCAAAGCCTTTAGAATTCCTGGACCACATGAATTGCTCTGTCTATAGGCTTTCCTAGCATCCTCTCTTTCCCCTTTGATAGCATTTTATCCCTGGTTTAAGGGGTTGTTAAACAGTCCGTCTTCCACATCAGACAGTAGTCTCTATGAAGGCAGGAACCCTGTCTATCTTGTTCACTCTTGCCCCTTGTGTGGCATGTGCTTAGTATACCTAAATGGTGACTGAATGGATGAGTAATAGCACACAAGATCGGCAGCAATGCTCCAGTGTTTAAAGCAATCAAGGTATTGGAACATATCTTCTAATTGTAATTCTTTGGTTTTTGCAGTGTTCAACATTTGCTGTTGTAATAATATATGAAGCATTTAGACTTGTAGCTTTTGGGGCAGAAATGCTCATAGATGAACTACCAGGAACTCCACTGTTTCCCTGGCTTTCCTTCCTTTGGGCTGGGGATTTTAATAAACTGTCAGTCACAGAACCATCCCCAATTCCCCTTGGAACACACACTAGAACAATAATATGAGGAAGTGAGCAGCAATACTCAGGAACTTAACTCAGCGTCATCAGATGGTAGTTTTGGAATGACCATTTGCAACTTCATGCTGCTGAGTTTCCCCAGATATACCCTGGTTCCTACTCTACCAGAATTGTATTGTTCACTCTGCCTTTAATTCTGGGAGCTATCTAAAGCCTTTCAAATACATTTCTTTCTTCCTTTCTTTCTTATTAACTTTGGTTTGCTAAAACAGGTTTCTGTCACATGTATTCAAGATTCTGTAGCAATACATGAGCTAAGACCAGGCTGAAGATGAGAAAATAGAGGAGAGCAAGTAATTCAGACCATTGCATAAATCACTGATGGGCTTTACCATCCCTTGGGCATTTGCAGTTTAGAAGAGAACTTGGATGACGGTAGGGCATCTCTAATTTTTGTATTGTGTAGGGAAGGTTGGAAAAGAGGGAGAAGACAAGTTACATGGCAGGATGGGATACGGCTGGGATGGGAGAAGCCTGGGCAGCCTAAGCGCAAACCCTTGAAAGATCAATAACATTTGTTAGAAGTGGGACTAGTAGAAGCAGCCTTCTCTTGTTGGATTTACTGGGTTTTCTCCTTATTGACTTAACCTTGTGTAGGGTCACTTCTTCAACCCCTTGCCCAAAGCTACTTTGCTTTTCACCTAAATTTTTATGTCATATTCAGCAACGACAGAGTTTCATAAATTATATTAGTTGTATTAAACTCATTATTAAAAATCATTGTGAATGCCCACATGGATGGATTATAAGCCACCAATTAAATCTTCAATGGACACAAAAACCTAAGGATGTTGGGAAAATAAAAGTATATATACTTGGATGATTAAAAGAGAGATTGATATGGCTGGAGAGGTAAATTAGGGTCAAATGCAAGATGGCTATATGAAAACCATATGAGGTCTGGGCTTTGTGGGAGACAATCAAATCTCCAAGTTCAGAATGAGGAGTGAGATGGAGATTCAGATACGTGCTGCATTGCCAATGAAGCCAAATTGTAGAATGCAGTTTAGACTGGAAATCGAATTGGCCTTTATTTATTCTAACCCTGTAACTGGACTTTGGAGCCTAAACTTGGGAAGAGTTGACTTGGTAGAGTGGACAGAGCCATCAGCTGGATAGAAGATTGCACCTGACCTCACCCTTGTCAAGCCCAAGAATACATAAGTGCTTGCTGGAGGTATGGAGTATAGGAAGAGAGAAGGCCAAAGAAAGCAGATGCCAATAATTGGTCTTCTGCCATCCTTGTCAGATAAATTACTTCTGAAAAGAAGGGCTAAAGGTTTTCCTCCAACCTTCATTCCTTTGGGGAACATCCTTTCTCTTCAATTTACAATCATAAGGAGTGGGATTAATGAGCATAACCCCCCTATATGGAAGTTAGATCTTAAATTTCTCTCCTTTAGAAATAATGCCCAGAGGGAATTAGTCAAAAATAAGATTCCACCCCCTAAGCCAAAAAAAAAAAAAAAGAAAAAAAAAAAAGAAAGACTCACTTGAAGCCTTGGATATGCTACTACAGCCATCACTATGGATAAAACTTCTGGTCCTTTGGAGCCCTCTACTCCCAATATGACCAATATGGTAATACTTGAACATTTGACCCATGGCAAGTCCCCATGGGATGTCCTCTTAACACTGGACTGGTGGCAACCCCTCTTCCGGGTCCCCTCTCTGCAGCGGAGAGCTTTCTTCTTTTGCTTATTAAACTTTCGCTCCAACCTCACCCTTGGTGTCCACACTCCTTAACTTTCTTGGTAGTGAAACAGAGAACTTCTGGGTGATATCTCCGGCTATTGGCTATGAGACACTGCTACATTGTGGTGCATTGGCAAAACTGTAACATTTTGGTGCATTGGCCAGAAGTGGAAACATCCAAAGGGCATCAGTTTTGAATGTCAAGGAATCCAAAGCTTTGAAAGAACAGTTGTAACTACAACTGGTTGTACTGGCTGGTCTTCCGTTTGGCCTTTTTAGTGATTAATTATTGGCCATATTAGTGAAGAGGCACTTCCAAGATATTAAGAATGAGGGTGGAGATGTTGAAGATGTGATATATCCAACAAGAATCCCAGGGAGTTGCATCTGTAATATGCAAAGAAAAAAAAAGTTGCAGAGAATGTCATCAGACATAAACAACAGCCAACAAGGAAGGCTGGACATGCTGAACTCACAGTCTCTCATTTTAGTCACAAGATCTTCAGCTCTGTAAATGCTATCCTTGATCTTTCTGTTTTTGGAAGTGAAGTTACTCTAGAAATTCTGGTAATGAACCTGAAAAAGAAATTCCCAACTTTAAGCTTTAGTCCTTTGGAAGCTAGTGGAAGACTTTCCATGGAAGGATCATTTCTAGCTGTCAAAGAGGCTCAAATAATCTTTGCAAGTAAAAGCAAGTTCTCTTTTATAAAAAAAAAAAAAAGACAACTTTCACCAGTGAGGGGAGAAAGTAGAATAAATAGAGCCCCCAAAGGAATCTATAGAGAGGCAATAACTCTTTGGAGTCAGTCGGGACCTTAGTACCTGAGACTACTAGAAGTGGAGAAATACTTCTGCCCAACACAGATGTTTTTCTTTACCTGAAACAGAAATGTGGATTTTTTGAAAACGCACTGAACAAATTCCATATTCTGAGTCAGAAGAGAGTGGATGGTGAAATGACCACAATTTGTCTAAAAAGTACTCAAGCCCGTTCTCAACCAAACAATCCAAAACATGTAACAGAGCTCATTGAGGAATGGTCACATGCTCTTCATTTAGAGCTTAGAAAAGAGACATGTATTTTGGGGGGGAAAAAAGGAAAACAGAGAGAAAATCATTAAATGGGCATATGAACAATTAAGTTTGAGATATCTTGGAGTCCTAATTAACCTTTATAGGACACACATTGACATTATAGGATCTTCTTCTGACGCTTACCTATTTTTAAAAGGGGTCATGAAATTAATAGGGCAAAAGGTTAGTTAATAAAATCTCAGCAATATAGTGATAAGGGCTACATTCTCTTGCTGAGCAGTGACCGTTGCCATGAGTGAGGCTATCTTTACACACCTTATCTCATTAATCCTTATGATCACCCTTCATGATCAGTGTTTACTATCCTCATGTTATAGTGGAAGAAACTAGCATTTGAAGAAGTTAAAACACTTTTCTGAAGTTATCCAGTTGACAAGGAATGAGGCTGGGACTTAGCCCGGTCTATTTGATTACAAAGATATTATCTAAGGAATTAAACTTTGAAAAAAACTCACCAAACCCCTTGAAAGAATCTTACCTTCTCTGTAACTTCAAATGATTAGAAAAAAAGTAGCCTTAACATATGAGAAGTTTGGAAGATAACTCTTATGCCATGGGCAATTTCTTAACATTTACAGTTTGTGTTTACTGCGTGTAGAATTAGAGTGTTGGCAAAAATCACTTAGGAAACTACCTAGGTGGACAGTATTTCTGATGCAGTTAATCATTATTTGACTAAATTCTATTGTTTCAAGCCTGTCGGCCATGTGGGATGGTTTTACTACTACTTATTTAGCCTAAGTGCTTACATAAAATGTTGATTCTCTTATTATAATTGTGCAAATTGATCATATGAATTGGGTAGATCTTGTCATGCCCAAATAAAACAGATTCGAAAAGCTAGGGGGAAAAAGTACTTAGGACACTTAACATTGCCCTAGGAATGTAGTTCTCTTTGAGCCTGGTTACTGAAACTGCTTGCTGTAGCCTGAGACCAGTTTTGTCTACAGCTGCAGAGATAACTTGTTGCAACTCTAGGACTAATTTACCTATGGCCATTGCCCACCAATTGGAGCTTACCAGCTCCCCAGAGCTTTACTAATACCAATGAACTTTCTCTGAAGACCACAAGTAACTTTCTTCTTTCTAAATAAAACCCTCTTTGTTCTTTGGACATACTTCTCTTTGTTCTTTGGACATACCAAAGACCACCTAGAATTGAAATTATTTCTTCTCAAATAAAGCATTAAATTAAAAAAAACTGGACTGGTAATTTGAAGTAGAACTTGCAAAATGGTGTTTTACTATACAAAATGCTTCTCCAAGGAATAGAGTCATTTGGAATGAAAAGACAAACCAAACGTTTTAGTATCCCCTTCCAAACTCATCATGAGTATGCTTTAAAAAGAAATACACATTTTGGCAAAACAAAAGCTTTCTCTATTAATGTAAATATGATTTCCATAATGGACTGCACTGTGGTGCCTTCTCAATGTAATTGCAAGAAACCTCTTTGGCTGCACTGAGAAATCTTATTTACCACCATAAATAATAAACTTGTTTTCTGCAAAAGTAATCTCTTTGGAGAATACCGATCCAAAATATTCCCATCATCTTGGAGTCTCTAATGTGTTTTGCATCTGGGTGTCTTGGGGTGTATTTCAACAAACCTCTGAACTAGATTTTCTGATTCTGTCCCACAGAGAACTGTGCTATACTGCTGTTAATCTGAAACATTCGCTGCAACACAGCAATTTGGTGAAATTATAATTGAAACAAGGTACTTGACCCTGAGGGGACCATAGAGAAAGGGATTTGCTTTGGTGGCTTCTCATGCATCATTTAAAACCTGCTGCCGCTAAATCAAAGTCTCGCTTGTATCTTAACTATATAAAACCTTTATCAACAGCCATTTCAGCTGGGCTGTAGAATACTGTGCTCTTAGCACTATCATTTTTCTCTATTTGTCTGTCTTTAATTTTCCATAAATTGAATTACTGTGATTAATAATAATCTTGTGGAGTAGGGGCTTGCTATGGGATTCTGGTGACCAGTGAGCAAAATATAATTGAACCACTCTCATGCAGTTTAACTGAGGAAAAGAGATTTGAAATCAAGGAAAATCAATGAAGTTCAGTTATTTCACATACACAAGGTAATAAACTGGGCCAACAAAGTATTGCTGATTGCTGAGATCCTTCTGGGATTCACCTAAAAAGAAGAGATGAAAGGGATGTGTAGTTTTACCTATATCTAAGTAAATACGTTCTGCTAAGTCATGTAGGGAGGCACTTAAGAACATTTCTTTTGAATTTTGCTTACATTTCTGAGTTGTTTTAATTAAAGAGTCAGTTGAACCAAATCAAATTAACCCTCTCTGCTTCTTCTCTAGCTGAGACTTCCTATACTGCATTCTGATGACGCCTCATGACCACTGTAGCTATGTTACAATATTTATTTCTACCTTTTCCTTGTAGTAATAGAACCGGCAAATGGCCACCCAGAATAACAACTACATCCCCGAGCCTCCCTTGCAATTGGTTGCAGCCATGTCACTAAGTGAGATGTGTGAGATTAATTTATGGGTTTTATTTTTAAAGGGATTTGGTAGGAACACCTCTGCAAACTCTTAACATGAGAAAGAAATCAATTTATCTCTGGTTGAAGTCACTGTATTTTAGGGTGTCTTTGTTACATCATCCCAGTATGATTCCTTACTCAGCTTTTGAAGCTCGGACTATACAGGCCATAGGTCTGTATTGATGGCAAAGTTGGTTATTTTCAGCAGCAATTAACAGATACCTGGACTCAAACATATTTACACAATGAAGCAGATTTTTAACTCTCAGAACAGCAAGTCCAGAGGTGGAGCAGTCCCTCGACTTGCTTGATTCAGTCGCTCAATAATATTATTAAGGTCTCAGCTTCATTCCCCCTGTCCTCTGTCATCTTTGGTAATAGCTTCATCTTCAGACTAGTAGCAAATATAGCTGCTCCAGTTCTGAGCATCACATCCAGACAGGATAGCAGTCAAAGGAAAAAGAGAGACAATTTTTTGTGGCTGCTCCTTAAGAGCAGAAAATTGTCCATAAGTATCTCCCTTCCCCAGTAGTGTCCCTTTCATGTTTCAACACCCAATATTTATTGCATTTCTGACCCTGTTACTGACCAGGGGAATGAAATTACCCCTAGACCAAACAGGTCCATCTCTGGGATTTAAATACAAACAGGTCCATATCTCTGGCTGCATGAGAGAGCTTAAGAAATAAACATCACTGAGTGGAATATTTGGGAAATGAGTGATGGGTAGGCCACCAACAGTGTCTACTACACAAGAAAACACTATAAAAGGATCTGAAAAATATAAATGAAAAGGGAAAAAGGAAATAAGTAGGAGGGACATAGTCCGAACAAGACTATTCATGAATTGATGATTGTTGGGAGTTCATGAGGATCCGTGATACTTTTTTTCTCTGCTTTTGCATATATCTGAAATGACCTGTAATTTAAAAAAAAACTTTAAATAAAAAGAAATAACCCAAGCAAAGCAACAGAATGTAAGGTAGCAGGAAAAATTTGATCTGTTTTCATGTTTCAAGTGATAGCTAACATTTATTGCACATTTGCTCTTTGTCAAAAACTCTGTTAATCAGTTCAGAATGGCTTACACCAACAGAAGAATTTATTTGCTGGTGTGACTGAAACTTTTCAGGGTAGCTTCAGGCCCAGGTGAGTGTATCCCTTGGCTCTGCGTTTTTCCACATTGGTCAACAGTTCCTGGCTGACTCCTATTTCTTCAGTGTCCAAAAGGAAAGAGCACCCTCCTTTTTAGTATTTGCAGCAGAAGGTCCCCTGCTAGGATCCCATTTACCTAGCATGGATTCTGTACCCGTACCTAAACGAGTCATGATCAGGAGAATGTGGTGCTTGGACAGACTAGTCATATTCTTCTTCTGGAGTTGGGAGGTATATACTAGGATTGAGAAGAGCTGAGACACTATGGTTGTGATTATGTCATTTATTTCTCACAAAAAACCCTAGGCACATTCTTTTATTAACCCATGTTACAGATTTAAAAATGGAGGCTTGACAAGGTCAGGTGACTTGCTCACAGTCATGTAGCTGGTAATGGGAGAGCAGGGATTGAAACAAGGGAAGCTTGATTTGGGGAACCACAGGTTTCACTGCCTACAGTGAGCGAAACAATTTTTTTTGAACCTAGGTCTCTACTGGCTGTGAATCTCCATAGCCAATTCACAAACAGTGAGGTGCCACTCTAGAAGACTGTGTGATGTAGTAGTTGTGAGCATGGATTTTAAGAGGCAGATGGATTTGGGTCCAAATCATGCCAGTTACCGCTCAAATGCTAGCTCTCTTAATAAGTCACAAGTGCTTCTTGGTGAAGTATTTCCTAGCTTTATTAGCTTCCTTCCAGAGATGGAAAAGTTGAGCTTGGAGAACCAAAGTGACATGTCAAATTGCAGACCCAAACAGTACCTCCACTTCTCATTGGCTCCAAAGCCCATTCTTTTTCCATCTTACCAGTGCCTTAGAAAATACAGTGGGACCTCTGGGGGAGAGAGATGGAGACAAATAAGCATGTTCTGGCTTTCTAACTTTTGCTTTGCCTAGAAGGCGGGGATTCTAATTAAGGTTTTATTTTTTAAAAGACTTCTAGCCGGGCACAGTGGCTCAAGCCTGTAATCCCAGCACTTTGGTAAGAGAAGGTGGGCAGATGGCTTGAGCCCAGGAGTTCAAGATCAGCCTGGGCAACATGGTGAGACCCTGACTCTACAAAAAAATAAAAATAAAAAATTAGCTGGGTGTGGTGGTACATGCCTATAGTCCCAGCTACTCAGGATCCTGAGATGGGAGGATCAGTGAACCTAGGAGGTCAAAGCTATAGTGAGCCATGATTGAGCCACTGCACTCCAGCCTGGGTGACAGAGTGATCCTGTCTCAAAAATAAAAGAAAAGAAAAGGTTTTGCTTTTCTGTTTGTTGGTTTTAACTTTGTGTTGTGAGAAAATACAAACATAAACAAAGGCAAAATGTATGATTATCATTCCTGTATCCAGCATGCAGGTTTCAACAATTATCAACTCATGGCCAACTGTGCTATATTAGTACCCTATTTCTCCCCTCCTTATTATTTTGAAGCACATCTCAGATATCACATTATTTTTCTGAAAATATTTCAGTGTGTATCCTCAAAAGATAAGGACTGTTTTTCCACAAAAACAATCTCATACCTTTAACATTTAAGAATAATCCAGTTTCTAATCAAACTAAAGAGCTTCTGCACAGCAAAAGAAACTATCATCAGAGTGAACAGGCAACCTACAGAATGGAAAAAAAAATTTGCAATCTACCCATCTGACAGAGGGCTAATTTCCAGAATCTACAAAGAACTTAAACAAATTTACAAGAAAAAAACAAACAACCCCATCAAAAAGTGGGCAAAGGATATGAACAGACACTTCTCAAAAGAAGACGTTTATGTAGCCAACAGACACATGAAAGAATGCTCATCATCGCTGGTCATTAGAGAAATGCAAATCAAAACCACAGTGAGATACCATCTCATGCCACTTAGAATGAGAAAAAAAAAAGTCAGGAAACAACAGATGCTGGAGAGGATGTGGAGAAATAGGAAGGCTTTTACACTGTTGGTGGGAATGCAAATTAGTTCAACTATTTGTGGAAGACAGTGTGGCAATTCCTTAAGGATCTAGAACTAGAAATACCATTTGACCCAGCAATCCCATTACGGGGTGTATACCCAAAGGATTATAAATCATGCTCCTATAAAGACACATGGACACATATGTTTATTGCGGCACTATTCACAATAGCAAAGACTTGGAACCAACCCAAATGTCCATCAGTCATAGACTGGATAAAGAAAATATGGCACACATACACCATGGAACACTATATAGCCATAAAAAAGGATGAGTTCATGTCCTTTGCAAGGGACATGGATGAAGCTGGAAACCATCATTCTCAGTAAACTATCACAAGAACAGAAAACCAAACACCACATATTCTTACTCATAGGTGGGAATTGAACAATGAGAACACATGGACACAGGGTGGGGAACGTCACACACCGGGGCCTGTCGGGGGCTGGGGGACTGGGGGAGGGATAGCATTAGGAGATATACCTAATGTAAATGATGAGTCGATGGGTTCAGTAAGCAAACATGGCACATGTATACCTGTGTAACAAACCTGCATGTTGTGTACCCTAGAACTTAAAGTATAATAATAATTTTAAAGAAAGAATAATCCAGTCAATGCTAACCTAAATGTCTCATGGAATTCTGTATTTCCTGAAGGTTTTTTTTTTTTTTTTTGAGACGGAGCCTCGCTCTGTTACCCAGGCTGGAGCGCAGTGGTGCAATCTCGGCTCACTGCAACCTGGGCCTCCTGGGTTCATGCCATTCTCCTGCCTCAGCCTCCCAAGTAGCTGGGACTACAGGTGCCTGCCACGGCGCCAGGCTAATTTTTTGCATTTTTAGTAGAGACGGGGTTTCACCATGTTAGCCAGGATGGTCTCAATCTCCTGACCTCATGATCTGCCTGCCTTGGCCTCCCAAAGTGCTGGGATTACAGGTGTGAGCCACCACGCCTGGATGAAGATTGTTTTTGACTTAAGGTCCAAATAACATCAGCTTTTGGGGATTGGTTGATATGTCTGTAAAGCCTCTTTTAATCTGTAAGTTTTCCCTCCATCTCTTTGTTATTTCCCCTTGCAGTTTAGACATTGAAGAAAATTGGTTATTTGACCTGCAGAGTTTCTCACAGTCTGGATTTTGCTAATTTCATTGCCGTGTTGTAATTCAGTGTTCTGTTTGATGCTTGTTGGTAGTTGGATCGAGATAGTTGTTAAGATTCAGGTTCAATTTTGTTTTCTGAAGACTAATTTATTGACGGTGTGTTGTTCCCTTAGGAGCCCCATTGCATCAGGTGATCACTCGGGGATATTGGCAATCAGTGATGGATCCATTAATTCATTAAGGGCTGTGAAATAGTGATATTCTAATTCTGTCAGTTTTTTTCCTCCTGTCCTAGAAGGACCACTTCTATAAGAAAGGGGTCTCCACATTTAAAACATTTGCAAACCATTGCATACTGAGTATCACATGGTCTTTACTTAATCTGTAGTCCTAGTTTCATGTTTTAGAGAAAAGAAGAAAGAAAAACACCATTTCCAGGCCTTATCTGCCTTAGAAATCATATATAGGTGACAGTTTACTTTCTGGCCTGCAGACAGTCTATGGGTAAGGGCGCTGATAATGTTATGTTATCCTACTGCACTCACTTGCCAAGCTAGCATATTTCCAAGGCACTCTAAATGGTCAAAAAATACCTCTGTCCTGTTACCAGAAAACCTCCTGGCCAACATACCCTTCCCATTTCTGACAGGATAGGTATTAATGGGCAAAAAAAGTTACCAGCATGTATTTTAAATTACTATAAGCAAAAGTTTAATACAAATCAGTTGATCATTTATTCAGAAAGTCAGCCTTAGTTGCTGCTATAACCTCAGAATTGAGAGCAGCAGAGTCTGCACGTGGTAGTTGCCCCATAAATATGTTTGAATGGGTACGAGTTAAGTAAAGGGTGTACTGTACTTTTCCAAATGGATCAAGGTGAGGCTTCACTTATTCACAGTTTACTCCCTCTGGCTTCCAGGGTAGTGTTTCAGCAACCTGCCTGCTGTGGGAATAAGTGATCAATCATCTTCTGTGATACCCAGTAATCTTTCTACTGGGTGGATCTCTAATAGCCTTTCAAAGCTGTACTCAGGAGATGAGGCAGTCATTTCTTTGTGCAGAGAGAGCCCTCCTTTTGCAAATTTCCTTGTCCCTTTAGCTTTATGCATCATGAGCCAAAGTTTGCTTATGGATTTCCGTAGAGTCATGGTTACTAATAGGGAGTTTCTCTTCAGATAACTTATATGTAGAGTATTTTATGAAAGAGCATAAGACTTGGAGGCAGATGCAGTCTGGCTCAAATCCCAACCTTGCCTCTATTACATTGTGTCATCTCAAGTCACTACTCAGCCTAACTGGAGACTTAGTTTCCTAATCTATAAGCCAAAGATAATAGCTATCCTAAAGACTTATAATGAAGATAAAAAATTAGGATCTATAATGCACTGAGGTCATTGCTTTGAATATCACTCATTAAATGAAAATGTTTTGATCGTGAACTTTAAATACCAATATTTGTAATTATTTTGGTCTACCCTGGAAGTGGTATATGGTATGTGTACTTCAATGGACCAGAATTATGAGAAAAACTCAAAATATACCAAGTTAGAGGTAAGTCCTCACCCAGGTTCCCTGGAAAACAGATCCCCCAGGCAAAACTGTATGTGTTAGATTCTACGATTGTCATTTATTTGATATTCTAGGACAGGTAAAGCTTGATACTGAAATAAATCAGAACAGTGGTTGCCTAGGAATGTGAGAAGAGTGGATTGACTGGTGAGGGGTCTAAGGAAACTTCCTGGGCTGATGGTTGCTCTAGATCTGGATGCAAGGGTGGGTCACATAGGTGTAGGCATTTGTCAAAACTTACTGCATGCAGATTATGTTCCATTACAAAATGAAAGCTTGGGTACTAGCACTTTATTGGGGAGTGCAATCCCAGGGAAGCAGGTGTGAGTGTGAATAAGAAGGAGTGAGCAGGGAGGGCAAGGAGGTGAATACAAGGAAGTGCATCATAGATGAGAAAGCTGGCTTTGTGACAAGCTGACTACATGGTCTTCCAGGGGTGTCTTGGGAGAAGCCATATGAAATTATTATGCTTCTGAGCAGTGCAGGGGGAGAGAGGAAGAAGAGTTCATTGGTCATTTCCCTGAGAGGCCAGGAGGAATCGCCTGCCACAAGTACCTCAGTTGGTGACTGTGGCAGAGGCCTTGGCTACCTGGCTGTACAGCAAGCCATTGCCAGGGCCTCTCAGGCCAGAAACAAGGCCAGTGCACAGATATTGGGTGATGCACAAGTGACTCAGGTGTAGGCACAGGGAGTTCTATGCATGGTTAAGGGTAAGCTGTGCAGAGCCAGAATGCATGAGTCAAGATCCTGTCTCCACCACTCACCAATTATGTAGCTTTGGGCAAGTGACTTAACCTTACCAAGCTTCAGTCTCCCTGTAGCTGTGCTGTTAGTGGCCCTGGGCCTACCCCAGAAGTTGTCTTCAGACAGTTCTCATGCACCCTGACAAGGCTGTTTGTGTCTTTTACCTGAGGGCTTTCTCTAGCCACAGAAGTGAACTGCTTCTTGCTATGGGACAGGCCAGACATCAGGGAAAGAGAGGGAACATTTCCAGGAGTGACCCTCAACCAATGAGGAGTAAAACTGCAGGATAAAACTGCGGCCTCCTAGCCCCTCCATGGGAACATTCTGAGGCATGCTCACACAGTCTCTCAGACAGTTCCCGGCAAGACTGAGCTCTGGTTACTTGCGGCTCTGGTTACTGTTCACGAAGACACCATGTTTTGGCATCCTTCCCTTCCCTGACTCCATTCCTCACTTCCCTACCTATGCTTCCTGGTAATATTTCCCAGAAAAAATCCTCCTCCCTGACTCCTTGTCTCAGCATCTGCTTTTTGAAAGACCCAACCTCAGGATATCACCCGTAAGCAAAATATTGTGAGGATTCATTGGGATAATATAGAGAAGGCCCCCAGAGCAGGCCTGCCTCTTACTAAGTATAAAATAAATGGAGCAATCATTTTGGCTGTTTCACCTACAGGAAGGATGCCATGTTATTTGTCATCCAAACGGGACACTTTTGAGAGGGAAAGTGGCACTCTGTTAATTACTCAGAGACAACAGGTAAAAACTGGGGCCGTCCTGGAAAAATCCAGGATATATTGTTACCTGACAGTCATGATTTCAGTAGAAAAGAAGTTCTCTATACAAAGGAAATCCTAGCCTGGGCCAAATATTATAAACACCCCTTAACTGTTTCATAATTTCACTTTTTGTTTTAAGAGTCCATGATCTGTTTCTTTTTTTTTTTTTTTTTTTTTTTTTGAGACAGAGTCTCACTTTGTCCTCCAGGGCGGAGTGCAGTGATGCAATCACAGCTCACTATGGCCTCAAACTCCTAGGCTCAAGTGATTCTCCCACCTCAGCTGCTCGAGTGGGTGGGACTATAGGCGTGCGCCACCATGCCTGGATAATTTTTATTTATTTTAGAGATGGGGGTCTCACTATGTTGCCCAGCCTGGTTATTTTTATTTATTGATTTATTTATTTTAGAGATGGGGGGGGTCTCACTATGTTTCCCAGGATGGTCTCGAACTCCCAGCTTCAAGCAATCTCGGCCCACCTTGGCCTTCCAAAGTGCTGGGATTGCAGGCCTGAGCCACCAGGCCTCACCAATTTCACATTTTTATGTGTTATTGTTTCTTAAAGTGGAGGTGTGTACTGTGCTGCTTTATTGCCTAAAAGAGATAATATTAAACCTCAAATTTGCAACTTAACAATGAAAATGTCATTTACAAAGAACTGACAGGGGATATCACACGCAGAGAGAGCTGCTTTAGATCTAAACACAATTGAAAGAACTATTCAAACTTTTCCTGGTAGAGTAGCAAATTGAATTTTGAGAGACCAAAAACTTCAGATGTAGAATGCTAATATCCAAATGTGATGCATTTGAAAGAATATGAGAATTATTGTCTAGATAGTGTTGACCAAGAATAGCCATTTCTCATGGTGAAAATAAGAAATGTAGAATCTCAGCTCCAATTAGAGCTGGAAGGAGTCTTACAGATCACGTAATCTGGTAGTTCACAAACATCTCTGCTGCTGAAGTCACTTAGAGGAGCTTTTGTAAATATGCAGAGAACTGACCCTTATGCTTGGAGGCCACAGATGGCCTAGAGGAGGGCTCAGGAAGCTGTGTGCTGTGGGTAACCTGGTCAAATCCAGACACACCCATTTGTTTCCATATTGTCTATGGTTGCTTTGGTTAAGTAATGGCAGAGTCAAGTCTGAGTAGTTGTGACAGAGATCATACAGCCTGTAAAACCTGGAATATCTGGCACTTTATATTAAAAATTTGCCTCCCGCTAGCCAAAAACAAACTATATTTTAAAACGCTTTCCAGAAGATTCTGGTGTGCAACCAGTTTGGGAATTACTGATGACAATTTGTGTCCTCCATTTACAAATACGGTAATCCAAGAGCCCCAAAGAGTGAAGTGACTTGCCCAGCCTTGCTAAGCCGAGACAAGACTGAGGAACATCTCACTTTTTAAACCTCATCTTCCTACTGCATCACCGTGTCTCTCTAAAGATGCTACTACCTTCTGTTAAAAATCAGCCTCTTCACTTGACCATTGTGGGGCTCAGCAGACAGCAGTCGGTTCTCTGGCCAACAACATGTGATGATGAATAATGCAGTGAATTGGCTTGTCATCTGGCATCGTAACTTTCACGCATGCCAGAACGCCTTCCCTTTATCACGGGCACCATCTGAGTATAAAGCCATGTGGAATTTCCAACAAATGGCATTTGATAGACATGTGTGATGGAAATCTCTGAAGCGAAAGGCTGTGGGGAATGAGAGGGGTCGTGCGTGCTGACAGAGAATCATTTATTCCTTGGTTCATTCATTCAATAAACATTTACTAGTGCCTTACTATAAACCAAGCACAATGCCAGGCACTGGGCATTTAGTCTGTCTTTTCATGTATCCTATAATTTGATGGAGGTAAACAGTAAATAAAAATAAATAATGGATAACTAATTAAATAGATAAGTAGATAGAGACACCTACAGTTGCTGTGAGTTTGTTACAGACAAGCACAATTCAATATGGAACACAAAAGAGGTAACAATTACCAAGTGCCTGTTATGCTCCTGGTAGTCTTTTGACATGTTATGTATGTACTGACTAATTTAATGCCCACAACAGTCCTGTGGAGGTACATGCTATTAATACTTTAACTCTCATTTTACAGATGGGAAAACCGAGGCAGGGATTGGTTCATTGTTTTGCCCAAGGTCACATGGCTAATGGTGAAGCCAAGATTTCAATATATGCAGTCTGGTTCCAGAGTTTTTAATCAGTGTGTTTTATGCCCTCGATAGAAAGGTGCCAATCTAAGAAAGCACCATTAAATCTGTTCTGGTATCTTTCACAAGTGGGTAGCACATACAGGCATTTTAAAAATATGTAATGAATGTATGAGAGGATTAAGGTGTACATATATCTATATATTCTTAAAAATTATATCTAGCATAAAATGAGCTGTAGTGAGTCCTGCATTATCCATCCTCATTTTTTTCCTTTCTGAGTATTTGAGCTATTACCAGCTATTTCAGCCAAAGCACTGCTGCACTTTAATAAGAAAGGTGAAATGCAATAATTAGACAGAGCTCATTAAATCAGTTCAATGATTCTGAAGTAGGAAGCAGAGAACCATAATTTACTGAAATGTTTGAAGTATTAGTATGCAGTGAGAATAATAAAACTATGAAGTTAAATTCTTACAAGATTGCTGCAAGAAAAAAGGCAGTGGATCATAAACATGGAAGTACCAACGGTGTATTTATTGCATTTTGTTAGCACATAAAACACTGTGTGTTTAGGAGGAAGTTAAGCAGACTCAGAGTCTCAGGAAGCATGTGTGCCCTAGAGGTTTGTAAGGATCAGATTCTTCTGAGTTGATTTCCCATTTCAGAGTGAGTCAGCAGGCAGGTGTTCTTCAAACCAATTTTAAGTGACATCTTTGTGAATCCGAAGTGGTGGGTCTTTGGAGCAAATTAGACTCCTTTTTTTTTTTTTTTTTTTTTTTTAAGCAGCCCATCAGCTTCAAGGTTAGACTGTTTTTTTGCCACCTCATGGAAGACCCACATTCTACCCAGGTAATAAGAGTAGAATCTACCAATACACTGGCTCTGATTACAAGCGTGTTTTTCTAAGCCATGTTTGAATCATAATGGCCAACTCTGGTCTTCTCAGTAATTAATACCCTGAAGGTATCCAAACACTTATTCTGCTCATGGGATATTTAACCATGTCAGATGAAAGAGGAGAATTTGGCTGGCTATATTTTTTGAAATCTTCAAATCCTGTAACATGGTTAATTAGCCCATCAAATGTCCACCTTCCATGTTCAGTCTTTGTACGTTGAGGACACATTGTAGCTCTTCCCTACTTTTTGGCTAACCTCTACTTTAAGACCCAGTTTAAATGTTGTCTTCTCAGAAATCCATGCTAAATCTCAGACTAGACTAGTTTTTCCTATATTTTCCCATCTTTCCTGTCCTTTCTGTTAATATGATTTGCATAATCGTTGTTTAATGCCTCATGCTCTGTGAGCATAGACTGTGTCTATCTAGTTCACCATCGTATACCCAGCCCACATGACCCAATGTAAAAATCTAGTCAATAGTCATATAATGAGCACATGTATCCTAGAAGCTAATGAGCTCTATTTGACTCCATCTATGAGCACTTTCTGGGCTCTGTGGTGTAAATTTTGTTATTAATTTGCCATTTGCTTACAAACTCTTTTAGTGTGAGTTCCTCCAAAGCAGAACCTGAAACAGGATCTTGGGTGCAGGAAGCTAGTTTGGGAGAGGAGATTCCCAGGAAGCAAGAGAAAGAAGTGGAGAGAGTGAACAAGAGAGGGAGAAAAGCCAAGAAAGATGGCTTCTATGGGCACCAGGGGCTCCTTTCTGCCAACTCTGCAGCCCAGAGGCTGGGGTATTTATCCATGCTCCCCATTGTTGAGAGCTGCCCCTGGGGGTGTTACCTCCTCCTAAAAGCAGAGAGACAAATGGTGGAAGAATGAGGTGAGAGCTGTCCATATTGCTAGAACCGTCAACCTCAGCTAAGGCTGAAATTAGGGAAATGTGATTGTGGGCGCAAGGGTCGGCTACTAAGCCAGAAAACTTCTTTTCTAAATATATTTTCTAATCTAGATAGAACGGTAAACTGTGCTTCAGAAACAATTCAGTGGACTTTAAAAAATTTTTTAATATAAAGAAAAACATCCATTCTGTTTGGAGGACACCATAAATAATTTAGGGAAAACAAACGTGGCACAAGATTTTAACACTTCGACCTCGGCCATGTTACCATTTTAGTGGAGTGCAGTAATGACAAGCAGTGTGCCCAAAGGGACACACTCCCAGGACCCCAAGTAGATGTTCAAAGACTGGTAGAAACATTGTTGCTTTTTATGTAGACTAATATTTTATTTTCTCTATCTTCAATATCACTTATTTTCTCTCTTTCTTATTACAAAAGTAAAGCATGTTTATTATGGAAAATTGAGAAAATACAACAAAGAACAAAGAAGGAAATAAAAGCCATTTGTAGTTCCCTTACCCAGATACAGCCATGCTAACCTTTTTTTCCTTTCAGTCCTGTATCCAGACATTACAAAAATATAACCATCCTGTTCATACAATACTTAAAATTTTTGCTTGCTGTGGACATTTTTCTGTATTGGTAAACATGAATAAATAATTCCCTCCTTTCTTTTCTTTTTTCTTTGTTCCTTCATTCATGTCTTTCTTTTGCAAAAATAACTTTAACTTTTTCTGGTTATAAAAGTAATACATGTTCATTGTTAAATATACACACACACACACACGTTTGTGTGTGTGTATGTGAATTAGACTGCACAAAACGAACTCCTACCATTTAAAGCAGGAGTCTGCAAACTTTTTCTCTACAGGGCCACATAATGAATATTTTTAGTTTTGTGGGCAACATGGACTGTGTTGCAGCTACTCAGCTGCGCCATTTTAGTATGAAAGCAGCCATAGACAACATGTAAAAGAAAGAGTGTGGCTGTGCTCCAATAAAACTTTATTTAGCCAGTCCAGGAACTAGTTTGCTGACCCCATCTAGAGGAAAGCACTAATAATGTACAGACATATGCTTTTTTTTTTTTTTTTTACAAAAATGGAATCATACTACGTAAACTGTCTTGTATGTATTTAAATATTCATTAGTGTCTGTTGTGTGCCAGCTCATAGACAGTGGTGTATACAATGGCGAACAAGACAGACAAGGACCCTGCTTTCCTGGAGTTTACTGCAGGAGACACGATTAACATAGTAAGTGCTCTGAAAGTAATGAGGGGGCTGTGATGGAGAAAAATCAGCTTTCTAGTGTAGCATAACTTTTGCAACCAATCTCTCCTTTACGGGCATTTAATTTCCTTAATTGCTTCTATTATAGACTGCACTGTCAAACATTTTTGGGACTAAGGCTTTATGAAAAACCATCATTTTTTCCTTAGGGTAAATTCCTTGAAATGGAATAGCTGAGTCAAAAGGCATATGAATTTTTTTAGTCTTTTGCTAAGCATGATCAAACTGCTTTCTCGAAAACTTACATCAACTTACACTTCTACCTCGGTTGGCGTTTTTTTTCTTACTTTGTGCAAACACTTTGAGTTTCATGAATTGACAAAGTGAAATGAAAGTGTCATACACCTTGGCTGTGAAGCAGAAAGGAAGAGGTAGGGAGCCCTGTTTCAGATGTTTTGTCTCTGGGGGCATCCTGTGATTCAATCCCTATATAAGTGATGGAAAGCTCACAAGTTCTTTAGAGATACTCGGCACCAGTTATTAACTGCCTTCACCACGTGCCAGAAACTAAACTAAGTCCTTGATGTGCATAATCTGAATTAAGCCTCAAAGCAAAATGGAACTGATGGCAAGTGGTTCTGATTTAAGCCTCAGAACAAAATGGAACTGAGAAGCTACAAATGGCCAGGTGATGGTGGAACAGGATCCTGAACCTAGAGTAGAAGTCTCAAGCTGCCAGCCCTGTGGTCTGTTTTCTTTGACTCACACAGTGGGAGCCAGCACAATGTTTAAAAATTTATTAACACAGTTAAAGACATTAAAAAATTGGAATTACAAAGTGTTGCATAAAATTCGTAGTTAAAACTTTGGAAAAATTAAAACACCTAGCCACACTTGGGGTCACCTTGTGCCCAAAATTGGTGGGTTTTTGGTCTCACTGACTTCAAGAATGAAGCCACGGACCCTCGCAGTGAGCATTACAGTTCTTAAAGATGGTGCATCCAGGGTTTGTTCCTTCTGATGTTCCGTCGGACGTGTTCGTAGTTTCTTCCTTCTTACCGGTTAATGGTCTCGCTGGCTTCAGAAGGGAAGCTGCAGACCTTCACGGTGAGCCTTACAGCTCTCAAGGTGGCATGTCTGGAGTTGTTCATTCCTCCTGGTGCATTCGTGGTCTCACTGTTCTCAGATGAGAAGCTGCAGACCTTTGCCGTGAGTGTTACAGCTCATAAAGGCAGTGCAGACCCAAATAACAAGCAACTGCAAAAATTTATTGCAAAGAGTGAAAGAACAAACCTCCCACATTATGTAAACAGACCTGAACCTATCACTGCTGTGGCCTCTGGCAGCCTGCTTTTATTCCCTTAGCTGACCCCACCCACATCCTGCTGATTGGCCCATTTTACAGGGAGCTGATTGGTCCATTTTACAGAGAGCTGATTGGTCTGTTTTACAGAGAGCTGATTGGTCCATTTTGATAGGGTGCTGATTGGTGCATTTACAATCCCTGAGCTAGACACAGAGTGCTGATTGGTGTATTTACAATCCTTTAGCTAGACATAAAGGTTCTCCAAGTCCCCACCAGATTAGCTAGATTTAGAGTGCTGAGTGTTGTACCCACGAACTCCAAGCTAGACACAGAATGCTGATGGGCGCATACACAATCCTCCGGCTAGACATGAAAGTTCTCCAAGTCCCCACCCGATTTAGGAGTCCAGCTGACTTCCCTAGTGGATCCCACGCAGGGGCCACGGGCGGAGGTGCCCGCCAGTCCTGCATGGTGCGCCTGCCCTCCTCAGCCCTTTAGCAGTTGATGGGACCTGGTGCCACGGAGCAGGGGGTGGTGCCCTTTGGGGAGGCTCTGGCTGCACCAGAGCCCACTGCGGGGCTCAGGCATGGTGGGCTGCAGTCCCAAGCCCTGCCCCTCGGGGAGGTGGCTGAGGCCTGGCCAGAATTAGAGTGTGGCGTGGGCGGGCCGGCAGTGCTGGGGGACCCGGCACACCCTCCGCAGCTGCTGGCCTGGGTGCTAAGCCCCTCACTGCCCGGGGCCGGTGGCGCCGGCCAGCTGCTGGGAGTGCAGGGCCTGCCGAGCCCACCCCACCTGGAACTGGCGCTGGCCCGTGAGTGTGGCGCACAGCCCTGGTTCCCACTTGCACCTCTTCCTCCACACCTCCCAGCAAGCAGAGGGAGTGGCTCTGGCCTCAACCAGCCCAGAGAGAGGGGCTCCCACGGTGCAGCAGCTGGCTGAAGTGCTCCTCAAGTGCGGCCAGAGTGGGCACTGAGGCCGAGGAGGGGCAGAGAGCAAGCGAGGGCTGCCAGCACGCTGTCACCTCCCAACGTTCCTACTTGCTGTTAGTTGGGTAAAGTCAGGGAGTGAGTATCTCCTTCTACACATGGGACAGGAGTTCCTTTGATGATACTATTGAACAGAAATTACAGCCCACTCAGAAATTCCTCCTTCTTCATTGTTACTGTTATCGCTGGGGATACAGCAGGAGAATGTGTTCTGCCTCCTCATCCAATCTACTTCTCTTATTTATTTGATTGTCCTGGGCTGTGGGATGGTATAGGCCTGAGGAGGAGGCAAACATGGGTGCAGCCCACCACTGTGATCCAGCTTGGGTCCCAGTGCGGGGGACACATCAATGCTTGCTTAAGTGAGGAGATACCAAGTTCTTATGGGGACTCTTGTTTTCTAGGCTTCTGCCTCCCTCCTTTCACATCCATTTTTCTCACTCATCCTTTATCCATCATCTGAATTTCTTTCTGGTACACATCACTGCACTTTTCTTGGCTACATGGATTTCCTTACTCCATTTCACCTTAGAGAATGCACTTGGCCAGGACCTGCTCTCAAAGCGTCAGATAATCATCTCCTCCTTTTTCCAATTCCTCTCTGCCAAATGCCATGCACCCCAGCCAGGCCATGTGCCCATCTCTCCCCCACTGGGAAGCCATGCTGAGATTGGTTTTCTACTGGGAATATTCCTGGGATTTTTTAAACTTGTAACTCTGTGTGTCTCCCTAGGCTAGAGGACAACTCTGATAGCCCTAGCAGCTTTGAGAGCCAGAGTTTGGCTAGCTCCAGGCATCACTTTGTATTTTATTTATTTAGAGCTGCATTATGCAGCCAAGAAATCTGCTTTTACATACATGTGCTTTCCAGGTGCCCGGCGCTATGCACGGTGCCAAGTCAGAGGGTACCAGGAAGCAAAGTACAGTCTGAGAGTCTGAAGGTGCCATCAGAGAGTAAGGACCAAATGCAAGAATATGACCCCTGCACCAGAAGTAGATTCAGAAGGTCCCTGACACAGAGCCAGCCAGATGCAAGAGGCTTCTATAAGGTGCTGCAACACAAGGCACTGTACATAGATACAGCTTTTAAAAACACCAAATCAGGTCTTTTAATGGCCATCTACTCAAGCCCATCTCTTCATCTCTTCCCTAAGCCCACCTGACTGCCTGTGTCTTCAATAAACTCTCCCATCCCCACACTTCTGGAATTGTGTTGTCCAGTATGGAAGCCATTAGCCACACATGGCAACTGAGCATCTGAAACATGGCAAGGCCAAATTGAGATGTAGTGTAAATATAAAGCACACACTGGATTTTGAAGGCTTAGTACGAAAAATAGAATGCAAAATATTGTATCAATAAACTTACGTCAGCTATATGTAAAATAATAATGTTTTGGCTATGTTGGGTTAAATATATTGCTAAACTTATTCTATTTTTCTTTCTTACTTTTATTAATGTGGCTGCAGAAATCTGAAAATTATACATGTGCCTGTCATTTGTGACCCACGTTATGTTTCTGCTAGACAGTTCTGTTGTAGAGTACTTCCTGACCTAGCCACATGAAATGTGCTTCTTTATGAATTTGCTATTTGCTATATAGTCTCAGTCTCTAAATAGGTATAAGACAAGACTAATGTCTAGTTTCTCTCTGTTTCATCAGTCTCTGCCCAAGTGTCACTTTTTCTATTAGAGATCCAATGTGTATTTGATAATGATTCTTTCATTCACTTGACAAATATGTGTTGAACTCATACTCTGTGCCAGGCTTCCCTGGGAACTTAATAAACTTTAACTCAATACCTAGCATAATCCTGACAGGGTAGAAATTATTAGCTTTGTTTCACAGATAAGGAAATTGGGGTAGAAAGTCTAAATGACTTGCTCAAGGTCACCCACTCGGTAAGTGGCAAGAAAAGATTTCGCTTTTGACCAGCTCCAAATCACATGCCCTTTCTACTTAAGCATGCCAATCCTGTTGATCCTTCACCTCTGCCCAGTTGCTTCCTCAATACTGTCTTCTTCTTTGTATATACACACTTATTACAATGCTTGTTAATAGTCCAGCTTTCCCAGTAGACTTCATGTGAGGACATAAACTATTTCTCTTCCGATCACTGTTGCATCCCTAGTGCTTTGCACATGGCTGGCACTTAGTAAATAATCTGGTGAACATATGAAGGAATAAATGATGATGCTTCTTCCTCCTACCATTATAAAGTTCGTGTTGAATTCCATTTTCCTGGAGAGGAACAACTCAGTGTCTCAACAATATTGTAAACATTTGTTTTGTATTTTATTTATTTAGAGCTCCATTATGCAAAGAAGAAATCCATTTATGTGAGAGTCTGGGAAAGAAATCTCTCCTTCCCTGCTTGTCTCTCTTTCTGCACAGTATGTTATCTCAGACCAACATGACACCACCAGCCACCTGTCTTTTGTCAAAAGAGAATATGCATCCTCATAACAGCTGTGTGCTGGCTGTTGCCAGGGCCTTAGTACAGAGCTGGGACTGGTGTTTTTTTAAATTATCTTGGCATAATTTTTTCATTATGGAAGTGATCTGAATAGGTTGTAACATGCCAGGACCACCTAGTGGTTATAAGAAGTAAACCATCTTACCCACCAGAGAAGAAAGGCATCTTGGCATGAGAGGATTGCTGAGCTACAAACCATAAGGAATGGTTGCTAGTCTCAGCTTTGCCATGTTCTGTCTCTGCACTTGTGGGTGGATAAGCCATGATACCTCATTGCTGTAAACCTTATTTTTCATACCTATAAAGAGAAGACATTAAAATAGACCAGGGAGGACAGCACCATGGCCTGTGTACCACCGTGCTGTTTCCACCTTCCACTGCAGACATTGCTGATCAATCACAATATATTCTTCCACTGATCCAGGCTACAGCTTCATAAACCTTATCACAGCACTTCCTACAGCTATCATCCATCAGTCACTGATCATTGCCAGGCCAACAGTTCTTTCTGGAGTCTCACAAATGTAGGTAGTGGTTTATTGTTTGTTTGTTTGTTTTGGTGCAGGATAGGAAGAAAAGAGATCGCAGCAGGACAGTTTTTATTCTCAAAAACCATCCCTACTTTACTTGGAAATCACCACCCTGGCTATGATAAAATCACACATCATCCTCTGATATTACCCTGATGTGGAAAGGTCCCTGGGGCCCTGCTGGTTCCTGGAAGCACTGAGAAGCAGAGGCTCGGAGTGGAAGGAGGGAGCCACATTCTTTCTGAAGCTCTGCTAGAAGTCATCATTAGGATATGGCCGCAGCCTTGTACATAATCTAAAACTCGAGATATTAGCTGGGTTGTGGGAATTTCTTCTTATTAGTCAGAGCCCCAGTGTGTGGCTCTTCAGATAACTGTTTAAATTTGGACTTTTCTGGGAAAGTTTAGTTTAGTGGGAAGGCCATCAGAAAATGACTTTTCATGGCAAATGTACCATCAGATGGAAAAAGGCCACAGAACTGGCTTACATTTTTTGTTGTTGTTGTTTTGTTGTTGGGGTTTTGTTGTTGTTGTTGTTGTTTTGGAGGTGGAGTTTCACTCTTGTCGCCCAAGCTGGAGTGCAATGGCACAATCTTGGCTCACTGCAACTTCCGCCTCCTGGGTTCAAGCGATTCTCCTGCCTCAGCCTCCCGAGTAACTGGGATTATAGGCACGTACAACCATGCCCAGCTAATTTTTTGTATTTTCAGTAGAGACGGGGTTTCCCCATGTTGGACAGGCTCGTCTTGAACTCCTGACCTCAGGTGATCTGCCTGCCTTGGCCGCCCAAAGTGCTGGGATTAGTGGTGTGAGCCACCACCCCCAGCCTATTTTGTTTTTTTTTGAGACAGCGTCTCACTCTGTCACCCAGGCTGGAATGAACCTGAGCTCAAGCGATCCTCCCACCTCAGTCTCCCAAGTAGCTGAAACTACAGGCCCATGCCATGATGCCTGGCTAATTCTTTTCAGGCTGATCTATAATTCCTGGGTTCAAGTGATCCTCCTGCCTGGGCCTCCCAAAGTGCTGGGATTACAGGCAAGAGCCACGACATTTGGCCTGAAGTGGTTTACTTTTTTAAAGCATAAAAACGTGAACATAAATAAATGTCTGAAAGTATATAATCATGATGGCTAATGATTATTGTCTGCAGGCATTGTATGAGATGCTTTACAAATTTCATCTCACCTCATTCTCACAACCTTGAGAAATCAGTGACCTCGTTCTCCCCATTTTACTGGCAGGGAAACTGACGCTGAGGAACCTTGTTCTCCCCATTTTACTGGCAGGGAAACTGAGGCTGAGGAAGGTAAAGTAACTTCCATGCCCACAAGCTTGTCAAGCATAGGAGTCAGGATAAGAAGCCAAATATATGACTCCAGAAGCAGCCCTCTTAGTTTCTGTATCATAGTGCCCTACTAAAAGTTTGAGTGATTGTCTTAAAGTATGGAGATTAACAATTTTAAATTGTTAAAAATTGGTCTAACAGTTTTTCTTTGTGCTTTTCTGGGTTTTCCAAAATTTCTGCATTGAACCTGTATAACCATTGAAAACAAAACAAAACAAAAGCCTTAGGGGAAAAAAAAAATCACAAGACTAAGAATTTAGAATCTGATTCAGAAGACCTGGATTTCACACTCAGTCTTTTTAGCTGGTTGTCTGACCTCAGGCTGATAATTTCACTTGTCTGGGCCTTGGTTCCTTGTCCAGAAAATGTGATCATAGGACTGGATGATCTGTAAGAGTCCTTTTAGGATGGAAGTTATACACATTTATTTGAATGGGGGCTAGGAGATAATATCTAGATGCATTCATCCGCTTTTTCACCTCCTGGCAAATGATGATTATTTAAGAGTCAACTCTTTTGGGTTATGTGGCACAAAATACTTGTAGCTTAGTGCTCTGGAAGCAAAATAAGCTCCTTTTTAAAGTCAAAACTGTAAGGTTCTCAAAACAAATGTGTTAGAACACAATCTTCGTTGTCATCATGCACGTCTTCATGCAGGACTTGACATTTTAAATACAGTTCATTTCTGTCATAGATGTCTATTTGGTTATCTAGTCTAAACTTAGTGGTTGTGCAGTATGGAGGTCGCTGAGGTAATGTTAGAGTTAAAATACATGGTATCTTATTAAGTTGGTTGCATTTATAGATCTTGAGAGGCCTTGGGGTGATAAAAATCTGAGTTATGCATTGAATTAAGCAGAGTTATATAAAGCCTGTTGAATATTAATTTTGTAATGATTCACCTTACAGTTTTACGAGGCTACATATAAAAAGATGCTGTGAATAATTGAGCCCATCGTCTACAAAATGAAGTCTAGGGAATGGAAATAAAGAGAGCAAAGCCTTTTCCTTCTTTGCTAGCTTCTACCTGAAAACTCAGCCTCCCCAGTTTGTTAGAGCATTACATGAATGTATACTAAAAAAATTCAAGGAATATACACTAAAGAAAAAATAAAAATGTGGACATTCTAACCATATTATAGTTTTCTTTATTCTTTATAGTCTGAATATTTTATAATTTTTTTCCAGGTTGCATTTTTTCAAAATTGTTTCTACAATAAAGTAAACGCTTGCACGAGACACAAAATTATTTGTATCTCTTGTATCTCAAATTGCCCTTTGCAGAAGTTATACAAATGAGCAATAAGCCCCCGAAAATGATGCTCAACATTATTAGTCATCTAGGAAGTGCAAACTCAAATCACAGTGAGATGCCAACTGCTTCATAGCTATTAAAATGGCTAAAATTTAAAGACTAACAATGGCAAGTATCAGTGAGGATATGGAGCAACTGGAATTCCCATACACTGCTGGTGTAAATATAAAATGGTAAAACCACTTTAGACCATAGATCTCAGTTTTTTATAAAATTAAAAATTCCCTGATCATAGAATCTCACAATTCCACTCCAGAGTATTTACTGAAAAGCAATGAAAATATATGCCCATAAAAGATTTGTACTGGGGCCAGGCGTGGTGTCTCACGCCTGTAATCCCAGCACTTTGGGAGGCCGAGGCAGGTGGATCACCTGAGGTCAGGCGTTCGAGACCAGCCTGGCTAACATGGTGAAACATCGTCTCTACTAAAAATACAAAAATTAGCCAGGTGTGGTGGCACACGCCTGTAATCCCAGCTACTTGGGAGGCTGAGCCACGAGAATCCCTTGAACCCAGGAAACAGAGGTTGCAGTGATCCGAGATCGCAACACTGCACTCCAGCCTGGCCAGTAGAGTGAGACTCTGTCTGAAAAAACGAAAAAAAAAAAAAAGATTTGTATTGGAATGTCCATGAGAGTGGCATTTATGATAATCCAAACAGGAAAGAATCCAAATGTCCATCAGAAGGTGAATGGATAAATAAATTGTGATATAGCCATACAATAGAATACTATAAAATGAAACCATACAAAATAACAAACTACTAATATGTGCTATAACATGGATGAATCTCAAAAACATCATGCAAACCAAAAGGAGCCAGAGACACAAAAAAATTCAGACTATGTGATTCTATTCATGTGAAATTCTAGAAAAAGTAATACGTAATGTCAGAGAGCAGATCAGTGGTTTCCTAAGGGAAGGGCAGGAAGTAAGAGAGAGAAATGAGCACAAAGGGATATAAAGGAACTTCTTCGGAGAGAAAAATGTTTTGTTATCTTCTAAATACCCTGACTTGATCACTACACATTATATACTTGTAACAAAATTTCCCATGTATCTCCTGAATTTATTCAAAAAAAGAGAAATATTCCATATCTTGATTGTGGTGGTGGGTAAAGAGTGTATATATTTGTCAAAATCTGTTTAACTCCACACTTAAAATGGGAATATTTTATTGTGTATATATGTTATACCTCAAAAAAGTTGATTTTTTAAATGCCTTCTTCAATATCTCTGTTATTGGTACATTAGTATGTCTAGAAGATGATCTTATAAGATCTTGATTCCAAATCAAGGTTCTGGTTATTTACTCATTATGGGATCTTGAGTCTCATCTTCACATATATGAAATAGGTACAATAACTACATTTGGCCAACCTCACAGATTTTCCCTAAGAAACAAAAGAGATGATGAGTATGTAAAAGAGACTTATAAATTATGATACTGTTTAGAAAATTTGCTGTCACTACCACTCTGTAGCTCACTGTGCAAGTCAGAGTGGAATTACCTTCATTTGATACCCATTTAAAGCTTCAGTTAGTTGATCCTCTTATTTGAGCCCCAAATGAACCACCCCTATACTGAATGCCTGGCTAGAACACAGAGTATCTCAGCAAAATTTCCCTAGCATTAAAAAAAACTCTACCTGCTTCAATCTGTGTGACATGTGGATCAACCCACTCAGACTCTGAGCCCTTCACTTCCAGCAGTCACTACCTACACAATCATTCCCTCAAGAAGCACTGTAAGAGTCATCTTAGCTTGTCAATGAGGCTTAAATTTCATTTGACTGATGTCTCCAAAGGGTCTTGTGTTTTCAGAGGAATGCGCTCCATGTCAGAGATTCTAAACTAGTTGTGGGGTGACAATGAGGATATTCACAGAGAGTGAGATATGTGTCTTCTGCAAATTAACTTGTCTTCCAAGCAACAAATTGAGTTTTAACTCTGAGTAGAGGGAGAACATTGAAAATTGGGTTCTAACTTAATCTAAAATAACACATGGCCTGGCGCGGGTGACTCACGCCTGTAATCTCAGCATTTTGAGAGGCCAAGGTGGGCTGATCACCTGAGGTGAGTTCGAGACTGGCCTGGCCAACATAACGGAACCTCATCTTTACTAAAAATGTGAAAATTAGCCAGGTGTGGTGGTGTGTGCCTTTATTCTCAGCTACTAGGGAGGCTGAGGCAGGAGAATCAGTTGAACCAGGGAGGCAGAGGTTGCAGTGAGCTGAGATCGCACCACTGCACTCCAGCCAGGATGACAGATTGAGACTCCATCTCAAGAAAAAAAATAAAAAAATTTGTAGGCTAGTCACGGTGGCTCACGCCTGCAAACCCAGCACTTTATGAGGCTAAAGTGGGCAGATCATTAAGTCAGGAGTTCGAGACCAGCTTAACCAACATGAGGAAACCTCGTCTCTACGAAAAATACAAAAATTAGCCAGGCATGGTGGTACATGCCTGTAATCCCAGCTACTCAGGAGGCTGAGGCAGGAGAATCACTTGATCCTGGGAGGCGGAGGTTATAGTGAGTTAAGATCACGCCACTGCACTCCAGCCTGGGTGACAAAGTCAGACTCCATCTCAGAAAATAAATAAATAAATAAATCAACACATACATTCATTTGACAAATAGTCACTGAGTATCTACTATGTGCATTGTCCCAGGCTACGAGGATGTAGCAGTGAACAGGACAAAGCAATATCTCCCTCCTCTTGGAGGTGAAATTCTAGTGGGACAAGAAAGCCAGCAAGCAAATAAACAGTGTAATTTCAGGACCAGACAGAAAATAAACAGGAGTAGAGAATAACACAAACGTAGCTTAATACTATTTAGGATATAGTGATCTGGGAAGGTCATGCGAGTTGAATTCGAATTATGAGATGGAGCCAGCTATGTGAAGATCCAGAGAAATAACAATCCAAGCAGTGACTCAGCAAGTGCCAAGTCCCTGCAGTGAGAATGGACTTGACCCAGTAAGGTGGGAAAAGGAGGCCAATGTGGGGTGTATTGAGAGTGAAGGGAAGACTGGCATGAAATGAGATTTCAGAGGTAGATAGGAATCCACATAGGAGCTGGAGTTTAAGTGTTAGTCTATGTAAAATCAGAAGTCACTGAGGAGTTTTAAGCAGGGGGTTTAATGAATGAGAAGTGGGATGATGCGGAGGAAGAATATACAGGTTTATGGCCTGAGCAGCCAAGGTTTGGCAGGAATCTTTCTTAGGAGGCCACCTGGAGTGATTGGCTAGGGTGTCTGCACTCTTTGTCTGCTGTTAGAGCAGAGACCGAATTGCTCCGAAGACTGGAATAGCAGTATTTGTAAATATCCTGTGACGTGAACTCTGGTTATAAAGACTGCATCGTCCCCCTTCTGTGATTCTCCAGACATGCTAATAAGTGGGTGCTGGAAATGTCATGATCTTCTAATCACAACCTTCTTTTTATGAGCCTTTTCAGCAGACACCCGTTCAGGGCAAGCTCCAAACCCTTTCTGGCTGCTGTCGTTTCTGGCGGGTATGTCACTTGTATGCATCACTCTGACCGCAGCGGGAGTGCTCGGAGGAGTTTACTTTTGCTTTGCGAGACTTTTTGGAAGGTTGTCTATTTTTATTAATTGTGGCATAGGAATTACTTTGTCAGAAATTTTGGAGCCCAGGAGTCTAAAAAATTACAGGGTATTATTAAATATTTAAGAATTGCTTAATTTCTCCACGTGGTATGAGATTTTGGCTGAAATTGGATCCTTGGGCTATTTACATCTAGTTTAGCATTACAGAGCCAGTTTTGCCTATTAAAACAAGTTTGAAAATTGTTTAAAACAATCTGGTGGATAAGTGTGTGTAGAGATTTTGTTGTTTCTTTATGTTCGTGGAGATGAGTAGTGAACATAGCACTGAAACAGAAGCAATCATCTTAGCTTGTGAAAATCCTGTTTGAGTAATAATGGGAAATGTTATCTTTTAAAATGTTTTGGTTATTTTCTTTTCCATTACAAACATGATATAAGTTCCTCCTAGAAAATTTGGAAGGTATGGGGTGAGAGTCAGGCGTAACCTAATCACACAGAAATCCATGAGATGTTGAAGTCTCATAAAATGATAGAGCTGGAATGCACTTTTATAACTATGTGGTTGAAAGAAAAAAACAACTTTATGTCAATAATCACAACACTTCTGATACCAAATGTGTGGATTTTCCACACTAAGCAGTCAGTTCTCCAACTCCTCATACACCAACTGGATGTCCTCAATTCAATTCAGTTCAATTTTGATTTCACAAAATCTACCTGAAATTAGCATCAGATACTGTAATCACCCAAATGTGTTCTTCTTGCCCGCTGCACAGATAAACCCAATTCACTGAGACAGCATTATTGCAGTAAACAAAGAGTTTAATTAATGCAAGGCTGGCCAAGCAGAAGGATTGGGGCTGTTACTCAAATCAGTCTCCCCAAAGACGCTAGGGTTTTTCAAGGATAGTTTGGTGGGCAGGGGGCTAGGGAATGGGGAATGCTGATTGGATGGGAGATGAAATCAGAGGGGTGTGGAAAATGGTCCTCGTGTGCTGTCAGCCTCTGGGTGGGGGCCACAGGTCCAGCTGAGTCCCTGGTATGGGTGAAGTTAGTCATCAAAATGCAAAAGTCTGAAAAACATCTCAAAAGACCAATCTTGGGTTCTACAATAGTGATGTATCTACAGGAGTAATTGGGGAAGTTACAGATCTTGTGAGCTCCAGAACAATGGCTGGTTATTGTTTTAACTGTGCCTACATCTTAGCAGAATTCAGGCCCTCTTGTAATCCTAACCTTGTGGCTTTTCATTAGTTTTACAAAGGCAGTTTAGTTTGCAGAAGGGCTATTATCATTCTTGCTTTAAGCTTAAACTATAAACCAAATTCCTTTGAAAGTTAGCTTGGCCTACACCCAGGAATGAGTGAGGACAGCAAGTGTGTGTTGCTGGAAGCAAGATGGAGTTGGCTGTGTCAGATTTCTCTTACTGTCATAATTTTGCAAAGGTGGTTTTGGCCTCACAGGTTAAGGGCTCAGTCCCATAAGACTACCCCATTTCAGATGCCAATTGCAAGTCCTGGGCCCTCTGCACTTTTGACCAACTTAACTACAAATTAGGGGTTCCTATGACCTCCTGCTCAGGTTTGACAATTAGCTATAATAGCTCATAGAACTCAGAGAAACACTTCACTTACCAGTTCATTAGAAAAGATATTATAAAGGATACAGACAAACAGCCAGATGGAGATGTATATATAAAGTCCAGAGGGGTCCAAAAAGCAGGAGTTTCTGTGCCAGTGGAGTTTGGGATGTGCCGCTCTCCCAAAAAGTGAATGCATTCACCAGGAGGCTCTCCAAACCCCATTGTTCAGGGTTTTTATGGAGGTTCCATTAGTTAGGCATGATTGAGTAAATTGTGGCCACTGGTGACTGAACTCAACCTCCAGCCCCTCTC
The DNA here is from genome assembly GCF_000001405.40 of Homo sapiens. Classification (NCBI taxonomy): domain Eukaryota; kingdom Metazoa; phylum Chordata; class Mammalia; order Primates; family Hominidae; genus Homo; species Homo sapiens. The sequence continues at coordinate 69,443,167 of NC_000003.12, read as the reverse complement.
CCCTCCCTGGGGGTCAGGGGGTGGGACTGAAATTTCCAACCCTGTAATCACATGGTTGGTTCCTCTGGCAACCAGCCCCCACCCTGAAGCTGTGTGGGGCTGGAATCCCCCAGCCATCTCATTAACATAAACTCAGATGTGGTTGAAAGGGGCTTATTATGAGTAACAAAAGATGCTTCTCTCACCCCAATCACTCCGAAGTTACAAGAATTTCAGAAGCTCTTTGCCAGGAACTGGGGAAGAACAAACAGATTTCTTATTCTATCATAACATCACACTGGCCCACCTTCTCATTGTGCATATGAAGAAACTGGCCCAAAGCCACTCAGAGTCTAGAACCCATTTCCTCACTGCCTGTTTGAGCTGTTGCCCTGATAATGTTTATGTGGCTTCATAAGCAGGTCTGGTTGTCAGGGCTTCAGTGGAGGCACATGGATCCGCAATGCCCTCTTCTTGGGCAAAGAGGACATGACATAGGACGTCAGTGGGTGCACGTATGGCTCCATCTGCCCCCTAGTATTTGGGAGGCTGCATCATCTTAAATAAGGATGGCATTAAATTGCCTTAACCTAGTATTTAATACTCATAAATACTCACTTATGAGTATTTCTCATAAGTGGTTTTTGGACTACCTATGTTAGAATGATCTAGAGTGCTTGTTGAAAATGAAGGCCCCACCCCTGGTTTGTGGAATCAGAACCTCTAGAAGTGGGATTGACAATCTGCCTTCTTAACAAACTCAGATTCACTTAAAAATAACAATTTTTCAATAGAATAAAACTTATTGGCAGGGCATAGTGGCTCATGCCTGTAATCCCAGCACTTTGGGAGGCTGAAGCAGGAGGTTCACTTGAGGCCAGGAGTTTGAGACCAGCCTGGACAATATAGTGAGATCCCATCTCTAAAAAAAATTTAAAAATTAACTGAGCATGATGGTGTGCACTTGTAATTCCAGCTACTCAGGGGGCTGAGTTAGGAGGACTGCTTGAGTACAGGAGTTCAAGGCTGCAAGCTATGATTGCATCACAGCCTGAGTGACAGAGTGAGACCCCATCTCAAAAAAAAAAAAAAGAAACTTCTTTGGTGAATCATTCAGATTGTGTAATCTGAGATAGATTAGATAGCTGGAGATTTGTAAATGGATAAATGGTTTCTGGATTTATGCAAATAAACTTAATAGCTATCTCTTAGGAGTAGAAATGGGCCGAATAGACAGTGGCACTTTCACTGTTCTAAGCCACTTGGAAACCTGGAATGCAGAACATAAATGTGTTTGGAATCCGTTTTGTAAGTATTTCTGCAGTTAAACTATTTGTTCAAGAGACTAGAAATGTCTTACATCATTATTTACTGCTAATATATGGGAGAAAGGAAATACCCCTTTGTTGATATAAGAGGACACAGGAGGAGCAACCAGGGGCATTAGGGGAGATCCACGTGAGTTCATTTTTCCACTCAGTTATCCATTCAGCTCATATTCACTGAACAGCTGCCATGTGCCAGGAATTGCTGTAGGTTCTGGGGACACAGAAAAGAACAAGGCAGCAAGGTCCTCAATCATGTGGAGCTTATAGTATATCGTGGGGAATAATACACCAATAAAGAGTTCAAAGAAGATAAATTCAAATTGTGGCAAGTGCTGTGAAGAAATAAAGAAGCTATGTCATTACGGATGGTTGGAGGGCTACTCTCTGGTGGGCAGGGATAGTTTCTCTGAGAGAAGACATCTGAACCGAGGCCCAAACAGCAGGAAGAAACTAGCCATATGCATATCTGGGGAACAAGATTCCAGAAAAAACACAGCCTCAAGGACAAGGGTCCCAAAATAAAATTAGCTTGGTATGTTTGAGTACATAAAGAAAACCACTCCACTCTCACTGCCTCACTTGACTAACCTTAGAAAAAAAAGTAAAGAAAACCACTGTGGCTAAAGCTTAATGACTAACAGAACATACAATAAAAGTCCAGGAGGAAGATAGGAAACCATGTCCTATAATCATGCTCCAGTATGGAGTTCAAATTTCATTCTTAGTGTAACAGAAAGCCTCAGGGGAGCTACATTCAGGGAGGGATGATTTGCTATCTTCAGATTTGGGTTTCAAAAAAATCACTCCAGAGCTCAAAACCACTCAGAAACTCAGAGTACGTTTTAAGAAAATATACATCTGCTTCAGGAAAAAAAGGTTATTGTAAATTATTTTTAAAAGAGCTAAAGAAATGACAAGATATACCATATACGTGGAAAGGAAGATCAATATCATGAAATGTTGAGTATTTACAAATTCATTGTAGTTCTAAGCAAAATCCCCAGCATTCTGAAATATGAATGCAAATGTAAGTATTCAAGAATTTTTTTTTTTGACAGAGTCTCTTGCTCTGTTGCCAAGGCTGGAGTGCAATGGCATGATCTTGCCTCAGTGCAACCTCTGCCTCCCAGGTTCAAGCGATTCTTGTGCCTTAGCCCCTCAAGTAGCTGGGATTACAGGGGTGCATCACCACACCTGGCTAATTTTTGTATTTTTTTTAGTAGAGATGGGTTTTCCCCACGTTGGCCAGGCTGATCTCAAGCTCCTGGCCTCAAGTGATCCACCTGCCTTGGCTTCCCAAAGTGCTGGGATTACAGGCATGAGCCACCATGCCCAGCCACATTCAAGAATTTAATAAGGGAGTTTTGTGAAAGAATAAAAGATTAGGAGTTCCTCTATCAAAATTTATTATAAAGCCATAGACAGTATTACTGGTGAAGGGTAATTGAAAAATAGATCAATAGGACAGAAAAGAGAGCCCAATGATGAACTAAACAAATATGGTTCTTTCTATATGATATAGGATGCTTTAGAAGTTACAGAGGAAAACACAGTATCAAAAGTAAATGGTATTGTTACAACTGATAGCCTGTAAGAAGAAAAAATCAGATTCTTACATAACAGTTTGTACAAGAATAAATTGTGAGATGGATTAAAAACTTAAATATAAGAAATAAAAATGTAAAACCTTTAGATGGGGAGAAAGGAATCTTAGAATAAAGTAGATTTTATAAACTAGAGTCTCAAAAGTCACACTCAAGTTTGGATGAATTTCACTATATCAAAATGTATAACTTCTGCATAACATGGCACCATAAAATAAAAAGACAAACAACAAACTGGTAGAAGGCATTTGCAACCCCAAATAACTACCAAAAGCAAGTTTCCAGAATCTCTAATGAACTCCTACAAATCAAAAAGGGAAATTTAAACTACCCAATAGAAAAATAGACAGCTTATTAACAGGCACTTCCACAAGGGGGAGACATGAATGAGCAGTAAAAATTGAAAAGGTTTTCCACAGTGCTAATAAAAGCAGGAAATGCAAGTTTAAAAATCATAATGAAACTGCATTTTATGCCCGTCACAATAGCAGAAATTCAAAAGGCTGACAATGAGACTTGGCAAAGAATTGAGGTAAACAGGCACTCTGAGCTGTGGCAGGTGGCACTTTGGAGAGCAAGTTGTCATTCCCTAGTTAGACTTCTAAACACACAGATTCTACCACACAAAGATTCTACTTCGGGACAGAAATCAGCAGCATTTCTCAAAGGAGGGACTCTTGGTATTTTGTGGGGGACAAAATATTTAGGACTCTCATGCACTGTACAAAATTTAGCATCCCCTGCCCCATTCCATCCCCATCTCACGAAAGATTCTCCCACATTTCCAAATAATACCTTGGAGGATTGGACCACCCCAGGTGAGATTTACCAGGAGAAATTCCTGCATATACCCACACAGTACTGCCATGTACTCTCATGTAGGTTGTGCCCCAAACACCTCTCACAACTAAACAGGGAGGCCTCTGTACAGAAGGAGAATCATGAGGATGTGTGCTGTCGCATCCTTTGTTATAACAAAAATCGGACACTACCCAAATAGCCATCAGTCCACAAATGGAGAATTAAACTGTAATTCAGTCATACGACAGAGCACTATGCAACAGTTAATAATCTAGATCGCAAAAAACCATGTTGAGCAAAATATAATAGGCAGCATAATACTCTTTATAAAAAGTTTTAAAATTACAAAATCATAGAATATGTTTGGACACATGCACACACACACACACACACATACACACACACGCACACGAACTAAATATCTACCAAATTCAGAATAATGGTTGCTTCTGAAGATGAAGAAAGAATTGGACTGGAGAAATTAACATAGAAGATAAATTCTGTGTGGTTCTATCACTTAAAAGAGTAAAGACAGGATGTGAAAAAATATGAAAAACAACGTTTGTTAGTTTTGACTGATGGGCGCATGGATAGGAGTTTGTTGCATTTTCTTCTGTATATTTCCATATTTTACCCCCACTTTGGCTGCTGAATATACAGTGAATGGGGATGAGTGGAAGGGTGAGGATGGAGATTGGGTGGTGGGAGGCAGTACTGGAACCAGAGAGGAGCCAGGCAAGGACCCCAGCATCCCTCCCTCAACTGCTTTGAACTCCAAGAGTGTGTGACCACTTTTTTGCTTCATTTATCTATTGCCCAAAAGGTTTTCCTGGATGAACACTTCCCCTTGTAGCATCCTCTGCCTTCCAAGTATTGAAATTGTCACCTAAGCAAGCCAGGAATTTGTCAACAGCTAGATTTTTAGCAGAATGACACATTCAAGTGATGTCTAAATAATTTAAGTCTGCCCCATCCCCATTCCTACAATTTTGCTTCTATATCCTTTTTTGTCTTGAACATATTTTTATTGTGGTAAAATATTCATAACAAGGCTGGACGCAGTGGCTCATGCCTGTAATCCCAGCACTTTAGGATGCCAAGGCCCAAGGATCATTTGAAACCGAGAGTTCAGGAACAACCTGAGCAACAAAGCGAGAACCTGTCTCTACAAAAAAAATTAAAAGTTACCCAGGTGTGGTAATGCCGCCTGTGTAGTCCCAGCTGCTCAGGAGGCTGAGGTGGGAGGATCACATGAGCCAAGAGGTTCGAGGCTGCAGTGAGCCACAATCGCACCACTACACTCCAGCCTGGGTGACAGGGCGAGACCCTATCTTGACAGTATATATGTATATACTATTATATTATATATAATAGATAATAATATATTATGTAATTATATATCATATAGTAGTATATATAGTTACATATAATATAGTAGTATATATAACAGTATTATATATACTTTTATTTACAATAATAGTATATATTTATGTAGTATTATATTAGTATATGTTATATAGTATATATAATATATAATATATATTATACAATAATAGTATATATTATATAGTATATATACTACATATATACTACATATATACTATAGTATATATACTATATATGAATATAAATATATATAGTATATATAAAAATATAAATATATATAAATATAGTATATATAGTATATATAGTATTTATACATACTTTATATAGTATTGTATATAATATGTATTTATATATATTATATTTATATAGTATATATACTACATATATACTATAGTATATATAGTATGTATACAAACTTTCTCTGTATATATATAGTATATATATTTATATAGTATATATAATATACTATTAAATATTGTAAATAATATACTGATATATAATAGTACATATTATATATTTTAATTAATATTTATTATATTATATAATACATACTACATATAACAGTGTATGTTATGTATAATACTATGAATAGTATACTAGTATATACACTAGTGTATATATTTTATATTATATATATGTATATATACACACATACATAACATAAGAGTTACCATTTTATCAATTTAAAAATTACAATTGGCCAGGCACAGTGGCTCATGCCTGTGAACCCAGCACTTTGGAAGGCAGATGCAGGAGGATTGCTTGAGCCTAGGAGTTCCAGACCAGCCTGAGCAACATAGTGAGACCTCATCTCTATAAATTTTTTTTAAAAAGCTGGGCATGGTGGCGCGTGCCTGTGGTCCCAGCTACTCAGGAGGCTGAGGTGGGTGGGTCGCTTGAGCCTGGGGGTTTGAGACTGCAGTGAGCCATGATTGTGCCACTGCACTCCAGCCTGGGCGACAGAGTAAGACTCTGTCTAAGTGCATTCACAATGTTGAACAACCACTACCACGATTCATCTCCAGAACATTTTTCATCATCCTGAACTGAAACTCTATGCCCATTAAACAATAACTTCCCATTCCCCAGTACCCCCAGCCTCTTGTAAACTCTGCTCTACTTTCTGTCTCTGTGTATTCAACTGTTCTAGATAATAATTACTATTCAACTATTCTAGATACTAATCACTCCATGTAAGTGGAATCATACAATATTTGTCCTTTCATGTCTGGCCTATTTCATTTAGTATAATGTTTTCAGGACTCATTTATGTTGTAACATATATCAGAATCTCGTTCCATTTTAAGGTGAAAAGAATTATAATCCATGTTATGTATATGCCATATTTTGTTTATCCATTAATCTGCTGATGGACATTTGGATTGTTTCCACCTTTGGTAATTGTGGATAATGTTTCTATGAACACTGGTGTACAAATATCTGTTCAAGGCCCTCCTTTCAATTCTTTTGGGTATCTGCCCAGAGATGGAATTGCTGGATCATATGGTAATTCTATATTTAACCTTTTGAGAGACTACTAAACAGCTTTTCATAGTGGCTGCACCATTTTACAATCCCATCATCAATGCACTAGAGTTCCAGTTTTTCCACATTCTCACCAACACTTCTTATTTTCCTTTCATTCCCCAAATATCCGTCCTAGTAGGTGTGAAATGGTATCTCATTGTGGTTTATCCTACAGTTTTTTTATTATCAGTGTTAAGAAAGCATTGTATATATTTCCGTCTGATTGATTGATCCGTAACACCTACGTTTTTTAGTATTTCAGCATTTCCCAAAGTGTGCTCCACAGAATATTGATTGCATTATTAGAGGTTTTATTATTAGATATTTATCATTAGAGATTGCATATATTAGAGGTTTCTATGGGATAAGAATAGTGAGGGAGGGGAACTCTCTGGTGAAGTAAGCTGAGAAAGGAAGCAAACTCCAGTAGAGTCATTTCCAGTGCATACATAACTTCTGCAAATTCAACAAGTGAGTAGGAGGTGGTAACTGAATCTCCTGTCCTTTGATTGGTCTCAGTTTTCTCAAGTCTCTTATGCTGAGAGTGATTCTGTTATCTAAAGATATGCACCTTTTTATACAAATGGCCCATAAATAGAGCCTTTTATGTAGTGCTTGAAGAAAATTTTATCTGTTGCAACTTTGAAGGAAAAACTGGCTATATTCATGATGATGTAGTTGCTGGGCTCTATGTTGGCACTTTCCCTAAGGGATTTTCCAGTGTTCATTTTGACTATACACAGTTTTCACTTTGAACTGACTTTAGAAACTACCTCCCACGTAAGATGCAATTTTACTATATATCTTCCCCTTGAAGATTGGAAAGACCTTGAAAAGCCCTACTGTAAAGAAACCTGATTAACACAGTTTAAACCAGGAGTTGGCAAACTTTCTCTGTAAAGGGCCAGCAAACTTTCTCTGTAAAGGGCCAGATAGAGTATATTTTCAGCCCTGTGGACCAGAGAGTTTCTGTTACAACTATTCAACTCTGCAGTTGTAGCTCGCTAACAGCCATAGACAATCAATACATAAATGAATAGACATGGCTGTGTGCCAATAAAACTTTATTTAGAAAAATATGCAGCATGCTATATTTAACTGGCAAGCATAGTCTTGTGATGCTTGGTTTACACCATAATGACCAAGGTTTATTAAATGGCCTTCCTCTCCTTTTTTTTTTTTTAACCTAAAACCTATAGTAAACCCTTAGATTCCTGAACTTGAATTCAAATATTAGAGGGCTTCAGCTCTTCATGAATGACACTGAAGGTTGATGATAGGTTGTTACTTTTCAGGTGTCTGGATTTTCATCTCTGCGGTACCAGAACTAGTCACTTGGTGAGTGTTATGGGCTGAATTATGGCCAGCCCTTAGATTGATATAGTGAAGTCCTAATTCATAGTACCTCAGAATGTGACTGTGCATGTGGATAGGGTCTCTAAAGAGGTGATTAAGTTAAAATTAGGCCTTGAGGATGGGCCCTAATACAATGTGACTGGTGTCTTTATAAGAAGAAATATGGGCACAAAAAGTGGTACCAGGGGTGTTTGGGTACAGAGGAAAGACCATGTAAAGAGGTGGCCATCTGCAAGCCAAGGAGAGAGGCCCCAGAGGATACCAGCTCTGTTGACACCTTGATCTTGGACTTTAAGCCTTCAGAAATGTGAGAACATACATTTTGTTCTGTAAGCCATGCAGTCTTTGGTATTTTGTTACGGCAGCCCTAGCAAACTAATATAGTGCGTGATTGTAACTCATCTACCCCAACTCATTGAGATCTTAACATTTCTTTGCTCATTCCCAGATACCCAATATCACAAGTATCTTGTACCAAATTTTATAGGTGGAGTCAAGTGCTTTAATTATATTTGCATATTTGGTGTGTTCGTAGATCTTAAAACATATCCCTCCTGCATGTTAATAGTTGTAGAATAGATTCCCATGATGCTCTAATCTCAGTTTTCCTTTGTTTCTCTCTTTAGTTTCCTTCCAAATACTGTCCACTTTGTTTCTATTCCTGGGTTCTGGGGTTTTCAAGTAGATGCATATTTCTTTGGTTTATAGTGCTGCTTGTTGCCGGCAGGAATGGAATCTGAGAACTAACCAGTTGTGTGTAACCTCAGACAAGGTATCTATTTCCCTGACTTGGTTTCCTTGTATTCCTAGTATAATAGCATCCATATTATCTTTGGAGTTTCTAGAAGCATTAGCAGAATACAAGTGATGTGCCTGGCATAGCATATGGCTTATGTTGGACACTTAACAAATAGTAGCTATTGAAGGCAACCAGAAGATATCTGTTTATTTCTCTTTTTTCTGCCTTTGTGATCCAAGTTGACAGCAGCTGTGTAGTCTTTGTTAACACCCACTAAAGAAGCAAGGGATTTAACTAGTTCTTTGCACGTGACATTAGACACTGCTTGGTATATCATTGTTTACAGGGCTTAATCCCTCAAGGAGCTTTTGTCGCCGGGCAGACACAAGAAAGATGTGGAGAGATGACGTGATAAGGCAGAAAATGTACTGAGTCATTCCAGTGCCAGCTCTGCCCTGTGTAACATTTTACAAGTTGCTTTCTCTCTCTCTTTCTGTACCTCATTTATCTTATTTGTAAAGTGGGGGCTTAGACTAAAACACATCTCTAGTGTATCCTCTTTTTGCCTAATGTTTCACTGAGAGATCATGAGGACCAAGAGGATAACTGGGTGTGAGAATCCTTCATACTGATCTTAGTACTACCCAAACCATAACTATCCATGCCCAACATGTTTTCCTCCTAAAGGGGTACTAAAAATTATTGCCTGTAGGAAACTCTCAACCTTTTCTCCTTTCTGTGCTCTCATTTGAGTTAAGCTCCTTGAATATGGAGTTCCTGCTAGAAAAATGACTTTGTTCCATGGCATCAGGAAGGAGAGAGAGGGCAAAGGTGTTTGTGAGGAAATCCCCTTGACTTCCTGCTTCTTGTGCCATCTTGCACCTAGATGCCTTGCACATCCAGGGGGAGTGGAGGGGCAGGTGGTGTGGGGAGGTGCCAAGCGGATGGTGCCACAGAGAGTTTCACTTACCACATGGCAGAACAAGGGATACCACATCTGCCACTTCTGCCTCCCTCCTTGTCCTGTTTTTACACTTGGGTGTGTGTGAAACAGTGTGACCTCACAAGTGACAAAGGAGAAGCATGCTTATTGACTGAAGTGGAGCTTCTGGGGGAAAAGCTGTTTTCTTTTCTGTAGTAGGGAGAATGAGAAATACATATAAATGAGGATATCTTATGGCGTGATATGCACGCTAGATTTCATCAGTATTCATGACGTGTTTCATTCTCGCCACACTGACATCTGTTAAAAAAAGATTCAGGAATGCCATTCTGGTTTCAGTAACTCTGAAACATGGCTTCGGAGGGGATGTATTACTGAGTTCTCTCTCCCACTTTGACAGCCCTGATTTTGCAACTGAGTGTAGATAACTTTGAGCACTTCAGAATCTCCTCCTACAGAGACAGTAGAAGTCTAAAACGGTGTATTCAGTGACATGCATCCTGTAAGAAGCCAAATTGGTATGAACTCTTTAGTTGTTAAGGAGACTAGCCTCAATTTCATCTGTATTTCGAGAGAACTCTATTCTAAATCTCATGGAATTAGGTGAATTTCTAAAACTGTGATTAAACTGTAGTCAGCCAGGGGAAAATTAGAAATAAATTAGAAGTGTCACTGACTTGAGATTTATAGTTTCTCCTCCTGTGCCTACAGAAATTAAGGAGCTTCTCTCTTCTGTATTACAGGCTTTGATGAGAAATCCAGAAGAAAGAGTGTATGAAAGAAAAAGATGACATCTATGCATAGCAAACAAAATCTGAAGATTATTACAGTAAAAACAAAAGAAAGGCAAGAGAATACTTACTAGTTAAAGGTAAGTTGACGTTTCTGTAAATGCTGAACTCTTTGATATGTTAGATAGAATAGAAAAGTGAGTTTATGTGTGTTTGCATGTGAGTACACATTGACTTGTCAAGCGGGGCTTGGACAGGATGTTATATGATATATGATATGGCATATTAACAAAATATTTACATTACTAGCAAATGATGAAGAAAATTAATAAATTAAGTTACTCCCCTACTTTCAAATGAAAGTCAAACACCCCAAAGTTGAATGATATGCTTACATTTTATAGGTCTTTTCCCACAGAGCAAAATAAACAAAAAAAAGTACTAATTGTGCTGTGCCTTAGACATATTTCCTATATTTCCAATATTTATACACGCATTTATAAAAGTATTTTCTTTTTATTTGCAGTTGAACAGCTTCACCAGCTTAAGTCCAGGGGACAACTGAGCAAAGCAAACAATTGATTCTTTTTATAAGTGCAATGATTTTCATCTTTAGCTTAATTGGAGTAAGGGAGAGCTTTGTATCCTTAGTATCAGTACTGGCGTTTTATTTTCCATTTTCCACTGCTTTTTTATAATATAATAAGAGGGGGATGGAATATTTGAACAGTTGCATAAGCATTGTCATAATGATAGCAATGCTATAGAAACCAAACTGCCAGGCATGTAGGCAACACAACCAGATGAGATCTCAAAATGTTTCTTCATGAGATGCTCTCAGAAGTTCATATCTGACAGGCAAAAACGGTTTGAAGGACATTGATGTAAAATATGCACAACTATGAACTGCACGTGAGTAAAATGTGCAACAGTTAGGAACAGCATTTTATGTCTCAAAATGCTTCCTTTGATGAAATCAATGGTAAGATTGCAAATCCACATGCTGGCGCCTGCTGGAGAGATGTAGCAGTCAAGGACGTCGACTCTGGAGATCTTGCCCTACCACCTACCACTTGCATAATTGTGGTCAAAATGATTAATCTCCCTTTGCCTCAGTTTCCTCATCTGTAAAATGCGGGTGATATTAAAACCTACCTTATAGAGTTGCTCAGTAGATGAAATGAGTCAATATAGGCAAAGCACTTGAAAGAATGCTGAGCCCATAAAAAGTGCTCAGTAATTATTGGTTGATTTTATCATTGAGTAAAGTGTACTTCAGGGATGGAAATTTCAGTTGTTTGTTTTAAAGGGGCAAAGATGTGGAAGAGCATAACAGATGTTGGGCAAGTGGAAGATATCAGTTCTTTAACTCTGGGCATATTTGTACTGTTCAAGCAGCTGTCACAGGACTGATGGGTGCCAGGCACAGATAGAAAAAAGCTACAGGGGCTCAGTGTACTTCTCAAACAAACTCTTATTGATTGTCTCCTTGATTCAAGCACCTTAAGAAGCATTGGAGAATACAGACTTAAATGATGCAGTACTTTTCTTAAGTTACAAATAAGACCATCTTAAACTCTTTGCTGTAATCTGTAAGGCTAGACTTGACCTGGTCCCAGACATTGTCTCTAGCCTCACCTCCTTAGCTCCCTGTCCTCATTCTTGCCTTCTTTGATTCCCTCTAAAACACAAGCAGCGATTTTCCACTTGGATTTTTTGCACCCACTGCACAATGCAGCCTGGCTCTTTCCCTCCCTTGTTCCTGTATCTTTTTCCTTTAAGTCTTAGACCGGGGCTTCTCTGGCTTCTCTACTAAAGGAGCCCCCTCTGAGAAGTGAGCTTCCAAAAATATTGTCCCTACTGTCATTCTCATCAACAATGGATATGAGAGCCTATTTTTCCATATCCCTGCAACAAGGAGTATTCCAAAGTTGTTTCATCCTTGCCAGTCTGATAGGTGCTGAACTTGATTATTTGAAGTAGGTTTAAGAGAGGATGCACAGATACGCAATGAGGGCAGAAGTCAGTCATTCATTAACTCACCTTTAGAGCCTTCCCTGTTTTCTTTATAGCACTCGTTACTACCATGAATTAATTTGTCTCTTCAGTTACTTTTCACCTGCCTTCTCTCCTGGTGTATAAGTTCCCTGAGGCCTGGGACAGCATTTGCCCTCTTCACAGTAATATTCTGGGATCCTGGTCCAGCAATTGCCATATACGAGGTACTCAGTAAACATTTTGAGAGTGAAAGAATGAATGAGAAAGACAGGATCTTGTAACTGAAATAGACAGACAACATCTTTACAACAGTGCTAGAGGCTCAGAAATAGAAGGGAGTCTTACAAAAAGTTAGACCCAGGTAGGCAGGAGCAATATTGAAACTATTAACAGCCTCTCAGCACAAATAAGGATCAGCCTAAATAGGCCTTGCCCATAGTGCTGGGCAGGGTCTGAAAGGGCCTCTTGTGGCAGTACGTTTTACCCTTGAGGTGCTGGATTGTGGGGAGGTGGCTGGGATTCAAGAATGGGGCTCAGGGACTGGTCAGTTGCCAACCACTATGGTGGAATTGTCAATATCTTAACTAAGCATAGCTGTATGTGTGCATTCCTACTCAATATCAGTCCTGATTATAGTACCAAGCAGAACTCTTTCTAGTCCCGTTTGTACTAGAATACCATTCTCTGCCTTGGATCAATAAGAAGAGTCATCCAGGCCCGGGCATGGTGGCTCATGCCTGTAATCCCAGCACTTTGGGAGGCTGAGGTGGGTGGATCACTTGAGGTCAGGAGTTTGAGACCAGCATGGTCAACATGATGAAACCCTGTCTCCACAAAAAAATACAAAAATTAGCCAGACGTGGTGGTGCATGCCTATAATCCCAGCTACTTGGGAGGCTGAGGCAGGAGAATCACTTCAATTCAGGAGGCAGAAGTTGCAGTGAGCAGAGATCATGCCACTGCACACCAGTCTGGGCAGCAGAGTAAGTGAGACTCCGCCTCAAAAAAAAAAAAAAAAAAAAAAAGAAGAGGTCTCCAAATAGAGACCAGAGGAGGATTCTGATGCCCTCAAATTTCACCCAAGCACCCTTCTGCCCGCGTTGCATACCAGCAAGTCCTCCCTTATACCTGTTTTATTTCATGTGTGTGGATTTTGTACTGATATGTCATAGTTGTGCACGTTTTAGGGATACATATGTTATTTTGATACATGTATACAATGAGTAATGATCAAATCAGGGTAATTGGGATGTCTATCACCTTGAATATTTATCTTTTCTTTGTGTCGGGATATCTATTTTAAATAACCATGCTCGTCACCTATGAGACTGGCAAGGACAAAAAAATATTTTAAATACTCGTCATTGGAAGGATATGGACAAAAAGGCTCTCATATACTGTTGATGAGAATGCCAGTAGGGGCAATATTTTTAGAAGTTAACTTGGCAATACTTATCAAAATTCTAAATGCACATTCTTATTGACCAGGTAACATAACTTTTAGGGATTTATCTTCCAGATAAACTGGCACAAATACAAAATGATATATGCACAAGTGTGTTCACTTTAGCATTGTTATAATAGCAAAATTATGGGTGCAATTTGTATGGTTGTTGATAGGAGAGAAGTGGATAAATGATGGTACTTCCATCTAATAGAACACTCTGACCTTTAAAAAGTGTCAGGGTAGATCTCTCAAAGGTATTAAGTAACAGAGGGAAAAAAGCTGCCAAAATGGTGTGTATTATGAAATCCTGACACATGCTACAACATGGATGACCTTTGAGGGCATTATGCTATATGAAATAAGCCAGTCGCAAAAGGATGAATACAGTGTGATCTTACTTGTATGAGCTACCTAGTGTAGTCACATTCATAGAGATGGAAAGCAGAGTGGTGGTTGCCAAGAGCTGTAGGGAAGAGGGAATGGGGAGTTACATTTTAGTGGGCACAGAGTTTCAGTTTGAGATAATGAAAATGTTCTAGAGAAGGATGAGAGTGATGGTTGCACAACAATGTGAATGTACTTAATACCACTGAACTGTACACTTAAAAATGGTTTAAATGATGAATTTTTGTTTTATCTACTTTACCACAGTGTTTTTTAATGTTAAGAAGAGGAAAACTTTCCTGGTTTTTCCAAAGAAAAAGTGTTAATAGTTTAAAATACCACCATAATACATTTTAGTGACAATCAGTTAAAATTTCTTAGTAGTCTCAGGATCTAAAACAAAAGTACAATATTTTTAAAAGAAAAAAAATCTATTTTCCTTTTAAATGATGCCTCATGCACCTAACTTTAGTGGTGCAAATTAAGAAGCAACAAATTACCAGCCAACTGCCAAATCATAGTACCTCCTAGTTCTGCTGGGGATTAAAAGAGTTAACACTTGTTGTTTTAGGAACTTTACAAGTGTTAACTCATTTAATCCCCAGCAGAACTAGGAGATATTGTGATTTCCATTTCACAGATGAGATCACTGAGAACAGAGAGGTTATGTAACATGCCCCAGGTCACACAGCTAGTGAGATGCAGAACTGGTTGTCATCAAACCCCAAAATTATATAGCTCCAGAGCACAAAATAGTCTGAGCCACTGTTTTACCAACTCCCAGCTCTGAAGAGCTTCTGTATTAGAAGAGTCATCTATAAACTATGTTGGCCTTTTTAAGATTTCTACTGCATAGTTACAACTGAAAAGCTTGAGTGCACTGATACAGCTACTAGCTTTTCTTCAGTAGATGCTTGTTAACTTGAAATATGTAAATGATTTGTCTCTAACTGGGAAATTATTCTTTAACATTTACCTAGCTTCTTGGCTGGGCGTGGTGGCTCACGCCGCCTGTAATCCCAGCATTTTGGGAGGCCGAGGTGGGCAGATCACTCGAGGTCAGGAGTTCGAGACCAGCCTGGCCAACATGGTGAAACCCAGTCTCTACTAAAAATACAAAAATTAGCTGGGCGTGGTGGCACATGCCTGTAATCCCAGCTACTTGGGAGGCTGAGGCAGGAGAATTGCTTGAGCCTGGGAGTTGGATTTTGCAGTGAGCCGAGATGGAGCCACTGCACTCCAACCTGGGTGACAGAGTAAGAATCTGTCTCAAAAAAAAAAAAAAAAAAAAAAAAAAAAAACATTTACCTAGCTTCTTACTAAACACAGTCATGGAGGAGAACAAGGAAGGGAAGGCTACGTGTAAAAACACAAGTGTTCTAAGGTTTTATCAGAGAAGAGCTCTGAAAGGAATTCTCCATATTGGACGGGGAAAACGTGATCTTATATTCTTCTCCCTAAGGTTCATGTCTCCCAAAATGTTAGGTTAATTTTAAAAATATATTTCATGTTTATATTCAAACAGATTTAGAAAATGCTGAATTAAAAGGCATTAAATAGTTTCTCTTCTGCAGGAATTCTTAAGGGCTTAAACACAATGAGTTGCCAAAAAAACAGGTATATTAAGTAATATATAACAATATATTATAAATATATTATATAACATATAAATATATATTATATTTATATAGTATGTAATTGTTTCCCAGAGTTATTTTTACCACAGAGCCCTTCTCCCACAGAAAATATTGAGGGGTTAATGCTTCCTGGATCACTTTTTGGAAATCTTTGTATTAGGGATTTTCCAAATTTACCACCAGAGGTCAGTTTTCCCCTCCTTTTATATTCTGACTAAACACTGACAAAACTTAATTTTCTCTCAGCACACCTGAGACAGGCTGACATTTTTCAAGTAGACTTTGCTTAAAACTTTTAAGGGATGAGTGAAAGAAATAAAAAAATAAGAATCCCTATAAATAGTCACATTTCCAAAATCTATGAGGCTGAGCCAAAGAAATAGCAAATCTACCAAGCTCTGTTGTACCAGTATGGAGAACAAATTCTCAGCCATATTGCTTGGCTCTTTTTCCCTCCTGTTTCTCAGCCAAGTGGCCTTTCTGTCATCTCAGCCCCTAAGCGCATCTGTGGGCTTATCTTATTACATCTGAGGATAAATCCCATAGACCCTGTGTTTTCACGGTTAAAATTATTTTCTGATTTAAATATCCTGGGTCTGCAGTGTGATCTTTCCTCTCAGTCCTAGCTGGCAGCTCTGAGATAGCTCTGTGGTAATGAACAAATATGGCACTCCTGTGAATCTTCTAGTCCTAAGAAAAGCAACTATGCAGTTAATATGCTCCCCTCCTTTCCTCTGCCAGGACAGACATTATTAATCAACACAGCACCCTTTCTTTGTAGAACTCAGAACGGGTCTCACAATACTTCCTGAAACAGGGCTCCAGGCAGGCATTACCAATAGGTTGGTATTAACGTGAGAAAACTCTAAGGCTAAGTCGTAAATTCCTTCCACTTCTGGACTATTCTCTGTTGACTGTCTTTTGAATGTTAATCTCCGTAATCCTTTACCCAACACACACACATGCACACACACACACACACACACGCTTTTAAAAGTTTGTTTCAAATCCACAATAATGAAAACCTATTCATTACAGCCCCAGCATTTCCTTATTCATACCTTATCCTTAGCAAACTATATGGGTGCAACACCTGATTTAAAGAGAAGGGCTGTTACATCCCAGCATATGCCAGAAGCTCCACACTTAGCCCATTCTGTTGTTTAACTTTGGATTCCTATTGATAACATGGCATATGCCCTGTTTTAAAATTAGCACTTGCTTAGAGTTGCCTTTGTGTGAGGTATTTAGGAAATGGCCTGTGTTCTTGATCAATCTTTAGCAAAAGCTGTGGTATTAAAGCTATTAAAAGGCCTAACCTGTTATGGTAGACTTTGAAACTAATTATCACCTGACGGTTCATTTCTTTTTAATGCTGAAAGCTTATTTTAGCATTAAAGAATAAGAGGGTAATATAGTGTAGTCATTAAGCATACGCTCTGGAGTTAGATGAGGTTCAACTCTTGGCTCCCCCACTTACTTGGGCTTTGGGATCTTTGGAGAGTTACTAATTAATCCTTTTAAGTCTTCTGAAAAAAAAGATAAAAATAATACCTATCTTATTGTGGTGCTTTTATAAAACATTATTGTGCATCTACTTTGTACCAAGTGCAAAACATCACAGTGAGGATTGAATGAATTGGGAATTTACTTCACCTGGCATCAAGATGGAACTATTAATCTTTTAAAGCCCTTTTATGTTTCAGCTGAAGCCATCACGAAAGGTAGGGGCAAAAGAAGACATGCATGTTATTGAATTGCAGATCGATTAGAGATGAGATTTAGGTGGAGGCTGGCCAGCAGGGTCCATATTTAATTTCTCAGTTGTGCATTGGAAGTGAACTTTCCCCCATGGGCAGTAGGGTGTGCTGTGTGAACAGGATAACTACTTCTAGCACTAGTTTCAGGTGAGAGTGTCTCTCTTCACTTTTGGGGAGTGTGTTCGTGAACTAATGAGCAGCAAGTTCCACTTTGCTGTTAGTTCTCTAGCTTCTGTTTCTTGTGAACTTTAACTCCATGCACGTTTCTTATGGCAATAGAATTGATTAACATTTACTGCATGTCCTTTCTGGCCAATGCAGTGTTGAAATGAATTTACTGTGTAAGAAGGAGGTGACGCTAATACACTGGATATTGTTAAGAAGGCATCATGGAAATACTATATAAATTAACTACTGATAAGAGATAATAACACCATGAAAAACCATGGAAGAGATGAAAGCCTTTTAAAACACTAATAGCACATCACCTACCTTCCTATTTGCCTAAGTCACTGTCTGGCTGCAGAGAAGTAAGCAGAGGTAAAGTACATAAAAGCAGAGGGTTGCGGGTAGGTAGAAATAAAAGGCTGTTATAGTTCAAGTCCTAATTACCAAAGGCTAAAGATAAGGTCAACAGCACCTGTGATTTTTCTATATTACATCTATATAACTTGTTATTTAGAATCTTACATTCATTATTTTAGCTTTGCCTCTTGAAATCAGCTTCAGAATTACCTTCCTAAGCAAATTTTAAATTCATCTTTGAATTTTTAAAGAAGTTGCTTTTTTATTTAAATCCCATATTGGGATTTAAGGTAGTCAACATATATCTTACCTCAATTCTTTTGTCTTATAAAAGTAATTCTGTTTCTGCCAATCTAATAGGAGAAAAAATATCTCATTTGTTTAATATTTATTTCCGACTATCAGTGAAGGATTTTTGTATATTTATTGGCTGTTTGTGTTTCTTATGAAAATTGCTTATTCCCATCCCTCTTTGTCTGTGGATTTGCTTCTTATATTAGTAAGCTAAGAGAGAAACCACTCAGAAGTGACAGACTAAGGCACATGTGCCTTAATAATACAATCCTGGCTGTGCTGTGGCTTTCACCTGTAATCCTATCTCTTTGGGAGGCCAAAGCGGGAAGATCGCTTGAGTCCAGGAGTTCGATGCTGCAGTGAGCCATGATCACACCACTGCACTCCAGCCTGGGTGACAGAGTGAGACCTTGTCCTTTTAGTGTCAGTATACAGTCAGTTCTCATTATTTGAGGTAGTTATATTCAGTAAAGGCATCATGAACACCAAATTAGCAAATACTGAAACATCACACCTAGGGGGAAATAAGTTATGCTGCTATAAACCTCGTCACAACATTCTCATCAGCCAGTCAGTACATAACCTTGTTTTAAGTGTGTTTCTGTTTAAAGACACATTATTTAATATATGTAGTTGATTCATTAACATTGAACTCATATCAAAAGTACTATAATTCATGTTTGAATGAAGCTTATCTAAGACATTATTTTTTTTTAACAAGGACATTGCAGCTGCCTTCCACTTAGGAACTTTGTCCATTTGGGCTGCTGTTACGAAATACCATAAGCTGGGTAGCTTATAAACAACAGAAATGTATTTCTCACAGTTCTGGAGCCTGGGAAATTCACCATGAAGACACCAGGCCATTCAGTGTCAATGGATGAGGGTCCTGCTAATACCACTTGACAGTCCACTTGATTTGGTAGACCCTGATAAGGGTCCACTTTCTGGTTCATAAATGGCACCTTCTCATTGTGTCTTCACTTGGTAGAAGGGGTAAGGCAGCTCTCTGGGGCCTCTTTCATGAGGGCACTAATCCCGTTCATGAGGACTGTGTTCTCATGACCTAATCATGTCCCAGAGGCCCTATCTCCTATCATTCTGACACGGGTGATTAAGCTTCAAACTATTAATTTTGGAAATACACAAACATTCATACCACAGCTAATTTAGCAGTTCAGCACTATGCTTAGGGGGCATTTTAAACAGCAAAATCACCAACCAAAAGCACCAACATGTGTAAAACAGGTTGCTACATAGACTCTGAAAGGGACGTGTGTACCTAACATGAACTGAAACAAGAGGGCAGCGCTTTATTTTGTTATATCTCAGCTGAGAACAGGAGCATTGGGTGACTCAAATTTTTTGCTGTTCCCCACAAGTCAGAGAATGATTGCAAAAATACCTCGAGCAAAGGCTAAGTGTGGTGGCTCATGCCTGTAATTGCAGCGCTTTGGGAGGCCAAGGCGGGAGGATCACTTGAGCCCAGGAGTTTGAGGCTGCAGTGGGCTATGATTGTGCCACTGCACTACAGCCTGGGCAACAGAGCGAGATCCTGTCTCTATTTTTCAAAAAAGTACCTTGAGTATTGATTTTGGAGTTATGAATGAATTCTAACCAGTAGGCAAGTTTGAATTTTGTAAATAATGAGGACTGACTATATCAATAAATTTGTCTCACAAAAAAGGGCCCTTATGGTCCTTCCCTTCATTCCTGAACAACATTGGCTAACTATACAACTTACATGGGACTCATGCCCAGTGAGTCATATATATAAGTCAGAGCTCAGCAATCCCTGCCCTACAGTTCAGCAGTCTCTCCATCAGAGAACTTTCAGGACATAGGGGTCTGCAAGCTACTGCCTGTGGGCCAAATTCAGCACACTGCCTGTTTTGCTACCGTCCTGAGCTAAGAATGTTTTTTTTTTCCTTTTTCATTTTTAAATGGTTGTATGGGAAATCAAGTAACTATTTGACACATGAAACTTATACAAAATTCAAATTTTGGCGTCCACAGATAAAGTTTTATTGGAACAAAGCCATGCGCATTTGCTTACATATTGTTGATAGCTGCTTTCATGTAATAAGGCAGAAATGAATAATTGCCATAGTGATCATATAGCCCACAGAGCTGAAAATATTTACTGTCTGGTCCTTTATAGAAAAGTTTGGTGACTACTGACCTAAAACATTGCAGCTTGTCACAATGGAGGCTCTTGCACAGGCAGTTAAAAGCTCTGTATGGAAGTGATATCTCACCTAGCAGGGGAGGGGTAAGTACTAGAAGTAAAATAGGGTTTCTCTCTTCCCTGCCCCCTCTCCTTTTCTCTTCTTTTTTTTTTTTTTTCAGAGTCTCGCTCTGTTGCTCAGGCTGGAGTGCAGTGGCATGATCTCAACGCACTACAACCTCCCGGGTTCAAGCAATTTTCCTGCCTCAGCCTCCCGAGTAGCTGGGACTACAGGCACATGCCACCACGCCCAGCTAATTTTTTGTATTTTTAGTGGAGACGGGGTTTCACCATGTGTTAGCCAGAATGGCCTCGATCTTCTGACCTCAAGTGGTCTGCCCTCCTCAGCCTCCCAAAGTGCTGGGATTACAGGCATGGGCCACCACGCCCGGCCCCTCTCCTTTTAATATAAGTTTAGATTTCAAATCCCTATGAATGTACTTTGTGTGTTGAAGCAGATTAGAAAGTATCAGGCTGCTTCTATTAACAGATCTGCAGAAACCAATTTAAATGCAACTGAAGGGAACTCATCAGAGTGAAAATAAAATAATGACACCAATATTTTTGTGTTATGGTTATGCCACGAAATTCCAGTAGCGTTGTTTCCTATCAATTAAGAAAGTAACCTTTGTTTCATTTTGTCTTTATTTTTTGTTTTACTAGCTGAAAGTTATCTTAGACATCACTTAGGCCAGGGCTATCCAAGAGAATTTTCTACAAAGCTGGACATGTTTCAGATCTGTGTTATCCAATATGGTAGCCACTAATACCTGTGGCTATTGAGCAGTTGAAAGGTGGCTGTTGTGACTGAGGAAGTGAATTTTTAATTTTTGTTTAATTTTAATTAATTTAAGATGAAATAGTCACATGTGGCTAGTGACTAGCTTATGGGACAAGGCACATCTAGACTCAAGATTGCCAACTGCTCTGCAGGCTTGATTTGTTGCCAACACTTAAAGATTGGGAGACTTTATGTAAAAGTCTGAATTGTGGCTTCCCAGGAAAAATTGGAGCATCTGGAGACACTGGGAATGCCCTCACTGGACAAAACATGTGCTCTCCAGTCCCCACTGTTCCCTGTCATCCTGTACCCAGCCTGCTACATTTTCATTGCCTGCCTGGCCTCTGTTGGCACTTGCATGTACAATCCCTAATCTAATTCAACCTCAGATGACTCTTCATACGGGAAATAAAAGCCCAGAGACACAAAGTGCCTTATGCAAAGTCATCCGGTAATTAATACTAGAGCTGGCACCAGAATTCAAGGGCCTGGCTGGTATACTGTCTCCCAGAGATCTGACTACTGGCACCTCTGGGGCTGTGTGAGGGTGGAGGAAAAGGGGGACCAAGTAGCACCTGGGTGTATCTAAGCTGCCCTCACAAATCTCATCCTCACTTATTTCCAGGCCATGGGTAGGGTGGACACTGGGTGGGTGAGGTCTCTGCCTTCTTCCCATCTGGGCTGACTCAGTGTGAGCCACAATGGGGAGTGAGGGCGTGGGAGGGAGGGAGGCCTGAACTTTCCCTGGCCCTCTCCGTCCCTGACTTCCTCTCTTATTGTTTACCCTTGCCAAGTCCAGTGTTCTCAGGGAGGGCGCATCTGGTAACATATTGTTGGTCATTTATCCTCCCTGGCATCTTTGCTTCATACAGTTCCTCTGCTCTTTTGGATCCACCTTTCTTTTTCCAAAGGGCTTTTGGCTTCTTCTGATATCCTAGCCAATTAAATCTTAGGCCAGAGTAAAAGTAGACTACCCACTTAAATCCACACAGGAGGCTTTGAAATAGTGTTTCACAGTATGAATGTTACATATTATTGTGCATTTCTCCATTCTCATGTCCCGTTCAGGTGCCTAAAGTCCTTACAGGGATAATCTTGTTTACCAACCCCAGCAGATCAAACATCTTGACCCATTTGAAACCCGAACATCTCTAATTCAGAAATAGGGGGTTTAGCATAGTGACTCCGGAGACACATTCACCTGAATTTGAGTCCTTGTTCTGCCAGTTGCTAGGTCAGTGACCTGGGGAAAATCACTTAACCTCCTGAGCCTGAATTTTTTCAAGTGTTAAAACGCTTACTTTGTAGGGCTATTGGTGAGAAATAAATCTGATCATGAAGGTAAGGTAGAAACCATGGCACCTGAGACATATGATTGTTCCATAGGTGAAAAGAATGTAGGGTTGTTTTGGTTGTTTTTTTTTTTTTTTGATATCCCTTTTCATACAAGTTACACCTGTTGCTAGAAAGCGATTCTGCCAGTTTAATCAAGCCACGCCCCTTCTGAGATTTTTCCCAGGGATTATTTTGCTTATCAACCCCAGCAGATCAAACACCTTGACCTGGCCAGGCACAGTGGCTCATGCCTGTAATCCCAGCACTTTGGGAGGCCAAGGCAGATGGATCACCTGAGGTCAGGATTTCAAGAGCAGCCTGGCCAACATGGTGAAACCCTGTCTCCACTGAAAGTACAAAAATTAGCTGGGCGTGGTGGTGGGTGCCTGTAATCCCAGCTACTCCGGAGGCTGAGGCAGGAGAATCACTTGAACCTGGGAGACAGAGGTTGCAGTGAGCCAAGATTGTGCCATTGCACTCCAGCCTGGGCGACAGGGCAAAACTCCATCTCAAACAAAGAAACAAACACCTTGACCCATTTTAAACCCAAACATCTCTTCCTGTATCTCAGTCTGCAAGTTCTTCTCTGTGTATGCTGCATAGGAACTTCCATTTACTGCTTGGTTATTTGGTTCTTGACTTTACAAGGCCTCTTCCATCCTTTTCCCAAATGTGGAGTTGCCATCCATGCACTTCTACCATACTGCATCCTATGTCATGGGCACCTGTGATTTTTGCCTGCACAGTATCCAATCCCCATTCTGGTAAGAGAGTCCCAGTTTTCCTTTGGGCTTGGGTAGCTTTGCTCTCCTGCCCCTTTTTGGTATCAAGTTTAGACAGATGACTCAGGTCTAGCCAGTGAGCCAGTGAAGGATAACTGAGGGAGTCTTGCTGGAATTATTGGGAAAGAGAATCTCACTTTCCACAACGGGTTGCTCAATGAGCCGAATATAAGCCTGGACCTATGAGTGGCCACCTCTGGCTCCACTGGAAGAGGCTGCCTGAGCATGAGATCAATACTGAGGAAAGGGAGCTGAGAGCTAGAGAGAGACAGATTTCAGGGCATTGGTGCCTGAAGCCAGATACGTCTGGGCTGATCAGGTATGTGAGCCAATAAACTCTCCATATTCATCTTCATTGAATTTATTCATTCATACTTGCTTTGGTCAGTTTCAGTTGGATTTCTACTCCTGTAACTGAAATAGTTAGGTGAAAACTCACCCCTTTTCACTTCTAAGTTTCCCCCAAACCTATTTCCCATATATTTCCTAGTTAATGTAAATCCATTTGCTGGCTGTCAACCATTTCACATATGCAACCTACATTTTCTTCCCAGTGCACTTTGCTATCTGGCCATTTGGTGCAGTTGATTCTCTTCATTTTGGTTATCTGTGCTTATTCATTCTCTACCTTATATCTTGATAATAAACACTTTGCAAACCAAGAGTATTAGTTTTTTATTGCTGCATAACAAATTACCACAAATTTAGCAGCTTAAACAACATATATGTATATATGTAATTATATATGTGTGTGTGTTATACACACACACACACACACACATAGTTGCTATGGGCCAGGAGTCTGGGCACAACTTAACTGGGTCCTCTGCTCAGTTTCTTACCAGGCTGAAATTAAGATGTTGGCCAGAGCTAGGATCTTGTCTGAGGCTCTACGTTCCCTTCCAGGCTCACTGGCTTTTGGCAGGATTCAGTTCTTTACAGTTGTAGGACTGAGGTCCCCAGCTTCTGGAAGCCACCTGCAGTTCCCTGACATGTGGCCCCCTCCACAACATGCCAACAACATGGAATTTTGCTCTTCAAAGACAGCAAGAGAACGTCTTTCGCTCTAATCTGCTAAGATGGAGTCATTGTGGGTTGATAACCCATCACCTTGGGCATATAATGTGAGTTAATCAGAGGAGTGACACCCCATCATCTTTGCCATCTTCTCTTGGCTAGAAGCAGATACAAGCCCTGGCTACACTCAAGGGAAGGGGATTACACAGGGTGTGGAGGTCATAGGGCCCATGTTAGATTTCTGCCTACTATACCACATCGACCCTCCTACCAAATGCTCTAAGCCCAATTCAGAGTAGTAATGTTTAAGGATTAATAAAATTGTTCTATGTACACCGTGTATATTTTTGGTAAACATGTGTTATTAGTTATAATGTATGAGCATATGCCTGTGTGTATACATTTTAGAGATGAAAAAGATGGCCTCAGTAGGTTAAATAATTGCCCCAAAGATATTAGATTGTAATCCCTGGAACCTGTAAATGTTACCATATATATACATCAAAGACTTTGCAGATGTGGTTAAGTTTCTTGAGATGAAAAAATTATTCTAGATTATCTGTATGGGCCCTTCATACCATCACAAGACCCCTGTGAAAGAAAGGCAAAGGGAGGCTAGAGAGACACACAGAGGAGAAAGAGATGTAAAGAGAGAGAGCAGAGATTAGAGTGATGTGGCCACAAGTCAAGCAATACTGGCAGCCACTAAGAGCTGGAAGATGAAAGGAATGATTCACCCCTACAACCTCTGGAGGAAGTATGGCTCTGCTGAAACCTTGATTTCAGCCCAGTGAAACTGATTTTGGATTTCTGACCTCCAGAACTGTGAGATAAATTTCGGCCATTTTAAGCCATCAGCTATGGTAATTTGTCACGGTAGCCAGATGAAATTAATATAATGGCGATAGTGTCTGCTTTATAATAGAATCAGGTTTGCCCTAGGCAATACATTCAGGACACAATCATGGGCAAAGACTTCGTGACTAAAACACCAAAAGCAATGGCAACAAAAGCCAAAATTGACAAACGGGATCTAATTAAACTAAAGAGCTTCTGCACAGCAAAAGAAACTATCATCAGAGTAAACAGGCAACCTACAGAATGGGAGAAAAATTTTGCAATCTATCTATCTGACAAAGGCCTAATATCCAGAATCTACAAAGAACTTAAATTTACAAGATAAAAACAACCCCATCAAAAAGTGGGTGAAGGATATGAACAGACACTTCTCAAAAGAAGACATTTATGCAGCCAACAAACATATGAAAAAAAAGCTCATCGTCACTGGTCATTAGAGAAATGCAAATCAAAACCACAATGAGATACCATCTCACACCAGTTAGAATGGTGATCGTTAAAAAGTCAGGAAACAACAGATGCTGGAGAGGATGTGGAGAAATAGGAGCCCTTTTACACTGTTGGTGGGAATGCAAATTAGTTCGACCATTGTGGAAGACAGTGTGGCAATTCCTCAAGGATCTAGAACTAGAAACACCATTTGGTCCAGCAATCCCATTACCAGGTATATACCCATAGGATTATAAATCATTCTACTATAAAGACACATGCACACATATGTTTGTTGCAGCACCATTTACAATAGCAAAGACTCGGAACCAACCCAAATGCCCATCACTGATAGACTGGATAAAGAAAATGTGGCATATATACATGATGGAATACTATGCAGCCATAAAAAAGAATGAGTTCATGTCCTTTGCAGGGACATGGATGAAGCTGGAAAACATCATTCTCAGCAAACTAACACAGGAACAGAAAACCAAACACCACATGTTCTCACTCATAAGTAGGAGCTGAACAATGAGAACACCTGGACACAGGGAAGGGAACATCACACACCTGGGCCTATCGGGAGGTTGGGGGCAAGGGGATGGATAGCATTAGGAGAAACACCTAATACATGCAGGGCTTAAAACCTAGATGATGGGTTGATGGGTGCAGCAAACCACCATGGCACATATATACCTATGTAACAAACCTGCACATTCTGCACGTGTATCCCAGAACTTAAAGTATAATAATTTAAAAAAAAAGAACAGGTTTGCATTTGAGGTTTTTGAGCCTGAAGACAATTTGGCCAGATTCAGTGGGTTGCAATCTAACTTATAATTTATATTCTCAGCTGGGTGCAGTGGCACACACCTGTAGCCCCAGCTACTTTGGAGGCCAAAGTGAGAGGATCACTTGAGTCCAGAAATTCAAGGATGCAGTTTATTGTGGGTGCCTGTGAATAGCCATTGCATTCTAGCCTGGGCAACAGAGTGAGACCCTGTCTCTACAAAAAAATTTTTAATAAAGCAATTTCTCCCAGAAAGATCCTTGGAACACCTGCTTTTTCTTTCTGTATGTCAGCTTTCAGCAGCTGAGAATACCTGCTTTGCATCTTTGGGGATGCTTATTTAGAAATGCATTACTCAGAACCACGTGCAAAACAGTACCTGTTATTAAGGGCAGGCCCAAAATTTAGCTTTGAGCTACTTGGTATGCCCTGGCAGTCAAAGCAAAAAGTGGTTCCCCTATATAAAACTTTTAATATTTAATCTTTCTAACTCAGAGGACAGGGCACTTTATTCAGCAGGGGAGTCTAGTTTTCATCTTGAATAAATGATTAATTTCATAGAGAATAAAAGATGAATAATAGCCAGTACTACTGTCTTTTATCTGGTCCTTAATGTGTTAACCGAATACACTGAGTATTTCTTTATTCAACAAACATTCCTTGAGCCCTACAATGTGCCATGAAGGATGGAGAAACAATAGAGACCAAAAGCAGACAAAGTAGTTTCCAGCTCTCAAAACCCCACAGCCCCATGGAAAAGATCAAAATTAAATAGTCCCATTAATAAATGCATAATTGCAGACTAAAGTAAGTCAAAGAAAATAATTGCTGTTCTAAGAAGTTACTTATCAGAAGAACCTGGCCTAGGCTGAGGGAATCAGGGACAGCTTCCTCCTGGACATGACTCTTTAGCTGAGAGTTGAAGACTGAGTAGCACCTAACCAGGAAAAGGGAGAAGAGGCTGAGGGTTCCATATGGAGGCAACAGGGTGTGCAGTGGCCATGCAGCCAGATATTGTAGTGTGTTAGAGGGCAGAGGGGGAAGAGGGGGCGTAGGACAAGGGGCAAGGGAGAGGTAGATGGGGCTTGACCACAGACATAGAAGACTCTTGGGGCATATGGTTGAAATGAAAGAACTGGGGGCATGGATCTGCTCCCCAATCCATAGTATCTTGTGACTCTGCATCCTTTTAGAGGTGGGTGCCCAGCCTTGAGAAGTCAGTATGGGGCTTTATCTCCATTTGATGGATTCACTCATATTGTTGCCTGTTCACAAAATATAGATGTTGACTATTTCTTTCTTTTCACTGGGCAGTGGTCAATGCCTTAAAAAGTTTGTAAGCTGGCCGGGCACAGTCGCTCATGCCTGTAATCCCAGCACTTTGGGAGGCCAAGGCGGGTAGATCACGAGGTCAGGAGTTAGACACCAGCCTGACCAACATAGTGAAACCCCATCTCCACTAAAAATACAAACATTAGCCAGGTGTGGCGGTGCACACCTGTAATCCCAGCTACTCAGGAGGCTGAGGCAGGAGAATCGTTTGAACCCGGGAGGCGGAGGTTGCAGTGAGCCGAGATCTCGCTACTGCACTCCAGCCTAGGTGACAGAGCGAGACTCCATCTCAAAAAAAAAAAAAAAAAAAAAACAGCTTGTTCGCTGTGAGTCTCAACATAAGTACAATAGAAGCCAAGGTTAGAGAGTTCCTCATGGGAGTCCCTGGAGGACAACACAGCTACCTGCACTTCTGGGTACGCCCTACGCAGTTACCTGCACAGGCTGGGCCTGCTTTCTGGGCACACCCTTGACCTCATGCAGCTCTCATGATAGTGTTGAAATGCAGCCCCTCGAAATGTGCTTTACGTCAACCTGATGGCACTGCTCACCTGGAGCAATAAACAGCATCTATTGATTCAACCCTAATCCCAGCACTTTGGGAGGCCAAGGCAGGCGGATCACGCCCTAAGATTACCATTGACTTTTTCTGCCCCTGGACCACAACATGTTCATCGAAGGAACACCTTCTAATTAAAAAGAAGCATTATTTTCCTTCGCTGAAAAGAAGAACCATCTCTTACATGATGCATGGTTTCTAGCCACATAGTATAGATTTGTAAAAAGCGAGGGGAAGCATACTTTTAGTGCAGAACTGTTTTTGTGGTTTTTTTCCTTCCCCATGTCTGATCTGTGCTACTCATCTGCTTGACGGACAGTCTTGTCCTAGTGTGTATCTCTCCACTGTTAAAGCAGCACCTTGATTATTTCCTGTTTGAGGTCTTTTGAAGTAGGTATTGTGTGTTTTGTGCAAGCTCTTATGATTTTATTCAGGCAGGCATCTGTTACCTGCAACCACTTTTCTCCTCTAGAAGCACTCTCTCCCTATAGATGAAATGCAGCTGTATGATATTTTCTAGTTTCCTTCTGGAGATGGGAACATATGTGTTTTGAGGAACATGCCATATGCACGTCTTTTCTCCAAGCCAGCATCATCCTTAGTAAGAATAAATGAAATTCAACAAAACATCCCAGAATCGAGAAATTCCAGAAGGTTCCAAATCCCCAAAGGCATGGAATGACATTAATGTAAACAAAAGAAAATAAGCAAATAGAAATTTCTCTCCACTTTTTTCTTACATCTCTGAGAAACACGTAGGAGCCGTTTACACCATTTTCTTCTTGCCCGCACTTCTCTGCAGCTCCCGGCATAGGAGATGCAGGGTTGTATTGTCTTCATTCTGCTGCTTTGTGAAACGCTGCACATCTTTTGGACGTGTGGTGAATGCGTCACATTCCCTTGAGATTAATGAGGCAATCAAGTCAAACTCTAAAGCTAGGGAAAGAGGAAAATGGGAAACCTTGCTAATTCAAGCATCTTGCATATTTATTTCTATCTTAAAGCCACTGCTAGGATTTAATGACATTTGAGGGAGCCTGGTTATGAAATGGGGTTACTGTGATTTGTGACTATGGGCAGGTACCGTTCTGAGAGAGGCACTATAGTGGGAAAGTATTTGAGAAGAATTAGTAAGAACATTTAGTGTGCCTAATTGCATTCAGTCAGGACAGTAAAATAAAGGGAGAGATACAGTTCAAGGTTTATAGATCTGGCTCTAACATCAAGACGGCCTGGGGTCAAGTCCAGGCTAAGTGACCTTGAGGAAATCACTACTCTGTGCCTCGTTTCTTTAACTGTAAAATGGAGATAATCAGGATAATGCCTACATTATAGAGTCATTGAGAGATTAAATGAAGTTATAATACATGTAAGCACTTGGCTCATTCATGCTCAATAAATACTAATGATTACTTTCATCCATATTAATGACTAGTTTTATGTGTTAGTCTAGTTGAGCATCTTTAATCCCGTCGTTCAACAAACCTGACTCTTATGCCTACTATACATTAGGCACTGTGCTGCGTATCAAGAGTATAGCAATGAACCATTATCATAGACAATGGAATTACTGCAATAGAGGTATGAATAGACTACAGCAGTGGGACAAAAGAGGAAACCATGATAACTCAGAGACCCATCGGTGATAATAGGTAACCACAGAGAAGGTTTGATTTCATGCCTGGTGCGTGTGAAGCTTCCCACCCAACTTCAAGGAACTGGGAACAAAGTGGAGCTTCTCGTCTCAAAAAAAAAAAAAAAAAAAAAAAAAAAAAGTGGAGCTTCTCATTGGAATTCTCTTAGGTCTCCTCTGACTGCCCATTCATCCACTCAGAGGCCCCAGCTTTAGCACTCAACATGACGAATTAACCCTTTCCAATGGTAAAACTTGAAATTAGTCTTTTCGCTCATTCAAGTTCTGCATCTCTTAGATAACCTAAGTAAATTAATGGGTAGGAAAGAATGAATGCTTTGTAAATGTGCATTATGTTACAATACAGCCATTTGTGTTTTAAACAGAAACTCAGCCAAATGAAATTCTCTTTGGCCTCTACAGGGAAGAACTTTGAGCAAGTGACTGTCTTACTTCCCTTGGATACTTGAAGCAGCCCATATTCCACCTTTATCTCTTCTTCCTCCTGCTTCTACCTACTTTCGGTCCCCTCTGCTCTCACTAACTTTAGGGTTATCAAAAGAATAGCAATCAGTAAAATAAAATCAGACTTCTGAAAGTTGACCAGTCCACCACATAGTCTGACTCCAGTAACAACTGTTGATTTCCAGGCACCCTTTTCCTGTGACATCAAGTGTCCTCAGTTTATCTTTCTTCTATTCTAATTCAAAAGGTCTATTGAATCTGCATCTCAGTCTTGTAAAGCAGTTAGCTTGGGTTGTGGGGCCAGAATTCCTGGGTTCAAACCTGGCTCTACCAGCTACCAACTGGAAGACCTTGTATAATTTTCTTAATCCCTCTCTGCCTTATTTGATAAATGGGCATAATAAATGGACCCACCTCCTAGGGTTTTTGAGCACATTAATAAATTTATAGATGAAAAGTGCTGAAAGTAGTGCTTGGCACATAGTGAGCACTCAATAAATGTTACCTGTTTTTACTGTCATCTAGAAAGAAATGCAATTTCTAGCTAGATTAGCAAGTGGGTAATATTCCTGCTGTATTTCTGAACACTCAGCCACTTATTTTTGCAATTGGGCTTCAGAACAATAAAACTTAAAAATCACTCAGTCAGGAGTTTGTTCTGATTTGATATAGATAATTGTTCAAAAGCAAGGACCTCGGAAATCTTCCACTTTAAGAAGTGCGTGGTGAAACTAGATTGGAGGCTATATCATTAACTGGAATCCCAATGTGAATTATATTATAACCACGTCCCTAGGCAGTTATCCAGGATATTGTAAATTACTCACTACTTTATTCGATGAACTTCTTAAAAGTTTCCCTAGACAGGAGATCAGGGTCAGCTTTGGAACTGGAGACTTTGTTCATTAGTGAAATATTTTTATGAAGTCGGGAGACAGAACATTTCTGATTCCTCATGCTTCTGACAAAGAGATTTACCCTGCTGAAGGATGGAGCCTGGGGTGATTCATATCCTGTAGGATGAAAAACATAACTCAGAAACTCAATGCTGTCAGCTTCTCCCTCTCTATCCCAGGTTTAAATTGTATTGCCTAGATACATTTATAATCATCCAGGTGTACCTTGCTTCAGACTGAAGTGTGGGTGGTTAATTGTATTTTTGTGAGTTGAGTCATATTTGTAAATACTCTCAGGACAATGAAAATTTAAAAGAGTCCTAACTTAAACCTTCTTCAATTTTGAGAAACAACAGAGAATGGACAGCATTAGTTGCAAATTGGTGACTTACAGTTAGAATACCATATGAATTAGTAGCCACCATGTAGAAAATTAGGATAGTTCAGGTACAAATCTGGATAAATTGTTCTGATGTGTTTTGTTTTTAAATCAGAGTTTTGGCACCACTGGGCCATCATTATCACTTGGCACCATTCAGGGCTGAATGGCGGTGTCCCCACTTCAATCAGGGATGCCATCTCTAGTTTGCCACAGGAGAATACGGCCCATGGGACTCATGGATTTCACTTGGCTGACCCCTTATGGCTTACAGCCCCTCTTCTATAGGCCAGGTACAAATTTTCAAACTTCAATTTGTTTAAAGTAGTGTTTTCCATTGTAATTAAAAATATTGTTCTTGAGACCTGAGATGGGAGGATTCCTTGAGCCCAGGAGTCAGAGGCTGCAATGAGCTGTCATCATACCTCCAGATTCCAGCCTGGGCAACAGAGCAAGACCCTGTCTCAAATATATATATATATATATATATATATATATATATATATATATATATATTTATTTATTTATTTATTTATATATTTCTTTTTTTCCCTTGTTCCATAACCTTTCAGGCATTACTTTTATTAAGAGAAGATGCTGAACCCGTAGGTAAAATATTCTATTTTCCTTCCTTCCTCTCAATGGCCGTTTCTGGGCCATGCCTGTGCCATCAGAGGGCATCAGTTTGACAGTCTGCCCCTAGGTGGAGCACTTTTCCAGAAACAGCTTGTACAGGTCTTGCAAACTACATACACGTTCATACACTCACATACACTCACGTACTCACACACATATTCACACTCGCTCATGCACAGACATGCTCACCCTCATACTCATACTCACACACGCATTCCTACATTTACACTTATCCATTACACTCACGCAGATATTCACACGCTTACCCCTGCATTCACACACTCACTCTTAGGCACAGGAGTGCCAGTAGTATCTGGAGACTTAGTGGAATTTCAGAGCTGATATCGGACCTGCTTTTGGAACTTGAAATTGGCCCGAGTGTCCTGAAGGAGAGGAATAGTCAGGAGCAAGAGATGGGCTCAGAGAGGAAGGTACCAACGAAAGTTAACCTTTGTTACTTTGTCCTTTTGCTTCACAGTCTGAGGGAAGCAAGCCAGGGGTCTGTTCTGTGCACTAGGAAATTGTGTTTGTTGTCAGGAAATCTGAGCCATTTGAGGAAAGGGTGGAGTTCTTGTTGGCATTGCTGGGGGTTCTGAGGATCCTGAAAGTGGAAGAACCCATATGACCAGGAGAAACCCCATTTCAGACCAGCTTAAACCATAAGAGCTGCTTATTGGCTCATGTAACTGAGAACCTGAAGGGTTCTAACTTCAAGTGCAGTTGAAGAGGCTGCCAGTGTTCTCTGAATTCTCTCTACTCTGCTTTCCCCACATGTGGGCTTTGTTGTCAGATTTTCTTCCTTTTTAGTACCAAGAATGGCTGTGGCAGTTTAGTCCTCACATCTGAGCTTTCTATATGCAGAGAAGAGAGGGTACCTTTATCCTAGATTTCCAAGCAATAGCCCTGAGATTCCCTCTGTTGGACTGGCTTCTGTCCCAGGTCCCCTCACATGCCAATTGGTTTATGCCAATTAGGTTTTCCCCTGAAGTGGAGGTTAGCACCTGGGTTGTGTGAGGGAGGGGTGGATAATGTATAAAAATCGAGATTTTTCTCAGCTAGAAGAATGAGGGTGAATGCTGGTGGCCACTATGCCATCTGGCCAACCCCTTGGCAGTCCAGAGGTGACTGGGAAGTAGCTCATTGTGTTCCTGATGCCTTATGAGGACAGATGATGCACTAATACTCCTTCTACTGGGTCATTGTAAGCTTTCTGTGGTGCACACAGAGAAATGGGACCATGCCTAGGAATCTCCTGGTTGTATGAGTTTCCAATTGAAATGAATTCTTGTTGGAAATGTCTCAACAGCCGAGTGGATTTGCTTCTCCAACTCAAAGAGAGAAGTTCAGGCATCTAGCTCTAGGGTAAAGACTGAGCCGGAATCCGCTAGTAACCTCTGCCTTCTTCCCTTTTGCATTCACACATTCAGCACAAAGAAGTGCTGAACCAAGCAATGCCAGTTTTCTGCTGAGACTGAGTAGTGGAATGACTACAGGCTCCCTTTCCTGAAAACTCACTGTGAGCCAAGAACTGGCCTTTTAGACACTCTGCATATATTCCTCACGAACAACCTCAGGATGGAAGTGTTTTTCTCTCTATTTTACAGATGCCAAGCCAAGCCTTAAGGTGGTTAAATAATTCCTCCAAGATTATAAGGTGGGTAAGTGCAGAGCTGGGATTTTACCCCAGGTTGATAGAATCTGACTTCAAACCTGAGTTTCTCACTGGCCTCTCTAAAAAACACACTCTAAGCAGTGGTCCCCAGGTGCAACTTGGGAGTGAGCCCTCCAGTCGTCGACTCTTCCCTGCTTGAAATTCCTCCCACTGGCGCCATCCCTGCTCTAAGGTGGCTCTGGTCCCCTGCCAGGACTCCACGCAACTATCTCCAAATGCTGCTGGCTCCAGCTCAGCAGAGCTGCCCTTGTTTATTGTCCACCCCCCACTCCCCCTACCAAGCCCTGCCTGCCCAGGCAGTGCAACAAGCCCTGAGTCCTTTTTATGATATCATTTTCCTGTTTTACAGCATTTTCCACTCAAAACTTACAGGTCCCACGTTCTGCTCCATCACAGTCCTGCTCTCTCTTAACTAATATGTTCTCCAAGTGCTGGTGGGTTATTGGATTAAGTGTTCTGTGGAGACGGCTTTACTTTTCAACAAGGGCTTTCTGGAGAAAGCGTCAATTGGCGGAACTTTCAGACTAGCAAGATGATGCCTTTGGGGGCACTTGGCTCTTGAACCACACTTGATAGGCAGCAGCCTCTTGGTTGCATGTGGAGGAGCTTATGATTGCATTACAGACTATTAATTGAAAAGAACCTTTCAGGCCTCATGACTTCAGGATTCTTCATCACTTCAGAAGGGAGTTTTCAGGTTTGCTCCTAAATTCCTTTCTAGAAACAAATTTTCCCCTGATTTCACCTTCCCATTTCATCTATGCATTAATTCCTACCCATCTCTCTCACGATCTAGATTGGGGTTGGCCATGGCCTGTTTTGTAAATAAAGTTTTATTGGCACGCAGCTGTGCCATTTGAGTATGCATTGTCTCGGCTGCTTTCCCACTGCAACAGCAGAGTTAAGTAGCTACAATTGAGACTGTATTTTTAAAAAGTGTGCTGAGCCGGATGACCTAGGTCAGTAAACGCCACAGACGCTTTTCCGTGACCCCCTAACTCCTTTTTCCCCCACATGGCCAGGAATAAAAACCTCAGCTAGCCCTGGCTCCACGAGGAAAAAAAATCAAATGCCTAATATTTGGAAAGGAAAAACACAATACAACCCTCATTTCCCTCTCAATGAAAGAAATGGGTGACACTTCTGCAGCCGCGTCTGGGCCTATGGCAGATATTGCTGATCAATCATAGCACTCTTTCCCACTGGGCCTTAGAATCCTTCTCGAAGCAATGCCCAGGCAGCCACTACCAATCAACTGGACTTGGCATTCAAGTGGAAAACTACTTTCCATCCCTGGCCCAGTGGACACCATCAGATCAGAAAATCACAAAGACAAAAATCCTGTGTAATAAGTAACCCCTGAACATCGTTTGGGTTGCCATGTCAGACATTGCACCTCTTGTTAAGTCCGGAGTTGAAACTTAATTCACTGTTTCTGTTTCTTAGATTAAGCACCAGATAAAGTAGTTGTCTTGAGGTTAGGGACCGTGTTGTATGAAAAATGCCTCCCTTTAAATAGTAGAGTGATTACACTGTGCAATGCTGACACCGTGAGAGATATCCAGGAACTAAGCCCCATTGAGAATATTCCTAAGTCCCATCTAACGCTCGCCTTTACTAAGTGGCTTCATAGGTGGAATCACTTACATTACATTATTTCTTTCTCATGCTAATCCTTACTGTCTTTTATACCCAAGCACCTGTTGAATTTACATTCAGTAAAAGATGTATATAGTATTGCCAGGGGCTGGAGTGGGAACATCTATATTACCACTTTCTTCCTTAAACCACGCCACCCTCACCCCATGTTCTAGTTTATGCAAATTTCAGGAAGATTCCAAAAGACACTCTTCAAACACTGGTGCAAATACTTGCTTAAAAACCTGACATTAGGCTGGGTGTGGTGGCTCACATCTGTAATCTCAGCACTTCAGAGGCCAAGGCAGATCCCTTGAAGTCAGGAGTTTGAGACCAACCTGGGCAACACAACAAGACCCCTGTCTCTACAAAAAAAAAAAAAAAATTAAAATTAAAAATTAACTGGGTGTGGTGGTACACACCTGTAGTCCCAGCTACTTAGGAGGCTGAGGCAGGAGGAGTGCTTAAGCCAGAAGTTCAAGGTTATGGTGAGCTGTGTTTGAGCCACTGCACTCCAGCCTGAGACACAGAGAGAGACATTGTCTCTAAAAAAAAAACAAAAACAAAACCTAACATTAATGACATTTGGTAAGACTTGGCTAAACATAGTCATTATTGACAGCTATAGAGACCTGCCCCTAAGGACATGTTTGCTGCCACAAGACTGACTGAACCGGCTTCCTTTGAGGAGGAGATGATAGCAAAGTTGCAAACGAGGAGGCAGCATCACTTAGCAGTTTCTCACTTGTTTCCCCAGAAGTTGGAGAGGAGAACAGAAAGGAAAGTGAATATTTTACAATGGAAATGTGGCAAGGCTATTTAAAGGATCAGTTGGTGGGGAGGATGCTCCTTCTTACTTGCTGAGGACCAGCTGAGCCTGTGGGAATGACAGCTATTAACTGGGAGGAGCCAGATGCACTGGGAAAGTCTCGTTAGAGCCTTGCACAGTTGGCATCTTGACAGCAAAGTTGTGAGCTGTGAGTATCGGCTGGGATCCAGCATGAGGTTTTCCAAGAGCCATTGTTCATTAAATGTGGTGCTCTAGAAGTTGGACCCTGAGAGTGTGAGTGTGCCTCTGGCCATTTAAAAGCATTAAGCCAATCTTGGCAAAAGGTTTTAGCTGTTGGCACCTCATGTGTTTTTGTGTTCGATTTGTGGAAAAGGGAATAAGAAGTGCAAGGGTGAGTGCCTTTTTAATAAAGTTTTAAGCTTTGAGATTCATGGGACCCCAGTAAAATTAATAATGTGGTGTTATTGATATTCTTTGGGTGAAAAACAAAGCAATGCATCCCTTTGCTTTGGAACAGATGAAAGAATTTAATAATTATTATACCCAAGGTGCCACATAACCAAGTCATTGAAAATGCAAAATATTATTTGAAATGACATTAATAAAAAGTTTGATACTATTAATATGGTGCCTATCCTGCAGTACTGTTTCACTACAAGGGACCAAGTTAAATTTAAATTTCAGTTGGAACTAGGAGGCTTTTTCTGCAGACCAGAAAGCAGGTCATCATGGCTCATTTAATTTCTGACACCAAAGAGGGTAGGACTGGGAAACATGGTATCGGAGTGAGCCAGATGTTGTGGCGTATCGCAGAACTAGAACGTCACGGCTTAGCAATGGTTCCTCCCTTTGCTTGGATATGTTTGCCTCAAAGGTAAGAGCCCTTGTAGAGAACATCGGCTGCTTCTGCTGCCCAACATCCTTCTACCTTCTTCTTCTGGTAACAGGAACTCCCTTTTATTGGGGAAAATGTTCTTTTCACACATCTGACCAAGTTGCCCTGCACAGGGCTGCCAGTCATGGTACCCACCCTCCCAGACCACAGGATGGCTCCTGCTTCTGGCTAAGCCAGTCACTACACAAACCGCTATGTCCTCCACCCTGGCCACAGTGGTTATGATAGTCAATCAGCATCCTTGCCCATGATTTAACCTACAGGAGCTAGCAGCGAAGAGCTCTCTTTCCTCTCTGATGGTGAGTCTGTAAGGACATACACTTGGAGGTGCCTTTGGTTGTGGTTTTATACCCTTTTGTGATAGCACACTCAACAGAATGAATGACACGTGTAAAGGAACACACCAGAGAAAATGAATGAACTGTGTAAAAGAAGCAATGGCAAGAGCAAGGAGAAAGAAAACATTCTTGGCATCTACAAGGTCTGTTTGACCCTGCCTATTCCCTAGTTTGTCATATGAGCCAATAAATTCCAGGTTGCTTAAATTAGTTATAATTATGTTTCCATCATTCGCGAGCAAAGAGCTCTGATGAAGACTTTATAGCCCCTGTATAGTTGGCACCTCACATTTCTCTTCTAGGCTATTGGACCAAGTTTTTAATCTCTTTCATTCCTGCCTGTTATTTGCAAGCACTGTGATAAGCCCTGAGGACACAGTTGTGAGGAAGACAATCAGGATCCCTGCCCTCCTGGTAACCATACCTGAGTATAACAAGATCTCTTGCATCCTCTTTCCATTCCTGTGGAGTCTGGGGTTCTGAACCATCTGACTGTCACCCTTCTCAGTGTCTTCTTGATTGGTGTCCTCATTCCAAGCTGCTCACATGAACTTGCTTTCTGTTTGTCTTGACCTACTTCATTTATGCCCAACTCCACCCAGTACCAAGCACGAAACTCACAGTTCTGCCTGGATTATTGACCTCTGGATACTTCAGAGTCTGAACCTAACCCATCAACTCCCTTAACCTAAGTTTCAGCTTTACCATAATAGAAGTAATAATAATAAAGTAAAATAGAGGCCATAATAATACTTTATTTCATAGGTCATTGTGAAAATTAAATGATTAATGGCTGTTTCATGAAAACAAATCAACAAAAAGTAGCTGAAGTTATTATTTGATGCTTCTAACTCTAATAATCACATCTCAAAGCCAGAGTTACATTTTCTATCCTTAATATTCAAGAAAGTAATACTATGAAAGAATCCTCTGGATCAGAAAGCCTGTGCATTTATTTAATTTTATTTTTTCTGAATTCTGTTATTGGAGAGAAATCTTATGGGCAAAAATACACTCACACTGTATTTTCTATTTGCGATTTTCTTCAAGAAAATCCAAAAGAAAACATTCTTAGGAGACCAGGCACATTGGTTCAGGCCTGTAATCTCAGTGCTTTGGGAGGCTGAGACAAGAGGATCACTTGAAGCCAAGAGCTCAAGGCCAACCTGGGCAATATAGTGAGACCTGTTTCTACAAAAACATTTTTTTAAACAGCCAGGTGTGGTGTTGGATGCCTATAGTCCTAGCTACTTGAGAGGCTGAGGCAGGAAGATTGCTTGAGCCCAGGAATTCAAGGCTGTGAGCATAATTGTGCCACTGCACTCCAGAGCCCG